>NT_187601.1:604444-906666 GCF_000001405.40 Homo sapiens
GCTGGGGTCCGGTGCCCATGACTCTCTCAGGGTGGAGTTCCAGCTCTCCTGGGCATCCTTTGAAATCTAGGTGGAGGTGAATACACCCCCATGCCTTTGCTGGGTACAGTGCATGCTGCTCTGCCCAAAGGGCAGCTGAACAATGAGGCACTGGGGTATAGGACTGAATTTTACAATGTAAGAAGGTGCCTTGTGAGGGGGTGGCATGCCCTGAAGTCTCAAAAGTGCTGGTGGCCTCTCCTCTGAAACCATTTCTCCCCCAGGGTCCTTGCACTCTGGGTCTGTGATGGGAGGGGCAGTGCAGAGGATTTCCGAAGTGCCTCTGGGGTCATTCTTCCATTGTTTTGGACAATACCTCCTGGCTTCTGTTGAGATGGCTGACTAATCTTATTAAATGGTCACTTGGCTACACTCTCCCCATTCTCTTCCTAACAGGCTTCTTCATCCTGTCAATACAGATAGGCTGAGGGTTTTCCAAATCTTTAAGTCTTCTTCCTCCTTGATTAACAATTCTGTCTTTGGATCATTCTCTCTCCCCACATTTTATTACAGTATAAGCAGTCAGAAGAAATCCAGCTGGGCCTCTCTTTCAACACTTTGCTAAGAAATTTTCTTAGCCAAGTATCCAATTTTATCACTCACAAGTTCTACCATCCACAAAACACTAGGACATGAACACAATTCAGCCAAGTTCTTTGTCACTTTATAGCAAGGATGGCCTTTCCTCCACTTTCCAGGAATGTGTTCCTCATTTCTGTCTGAGATCGCATCAGAATTGCTTTTGCTGTCCGTATTTATACTAACATTCTCTTCAGGATCATTTAGGTATTCTCAAAGAAGATTGAAGCTTTTTCTACTGCTTTCCTCTTCTCTTTTTCAGCACTTGCCAGAATTGCTTTTAAAGGTCTATTCATGGCAATATAGGCTTTTTTCTAGCCTGCAGATCAAAACTCTTCCAGCCCCTACCTGTTACCCAGTTCCAAAGCCACTTCCACATTTTTAGCTGTTTGTTACAGCATCACCCCACTTCTCAGTACCAATTTTCTGTTTTAGTCCATTTGGGTTGCTATAACAAAAATTCTATAAACTGGATGACTTATAAGCAATGCACATTTGTTTCTTATAGTTCCAGGGGCTGGGAAGTCCAAAATCAAGGTGCTGGTAGATTGGATGATCTGTGAGAACTCATTTCCTGGTTCATGAATGGCTGTCGTTCTGCTGTGTCCTCAAGTGACAAAAGGGCAAGGGATTTCTCTGGGGCCTCTTTTATAAGGGCACTAATCACCTCCTAAAGGCTCCACATCCTAATACCATCACATTAGGGGGTTTGGATTTAACAGAAGAATTTTGAGGTGACACAAACATTCAGTCTGTAGCATTCTTTAAGTATGAAATCTCTTATGATTATTATATAGATATAATTAAAATATATATATGGGGAAATTATATCTTATATATCTGTCTGGCTTAAAATAATCAAAATACTATATTTATTATATATTATGTCCTTAATAAAACCATTTATTTGGAATCTAGTTAATTAGAGTCTCATCATGCCAGTCTGGTCCAAATTTCTAAGCTAGTTGGGTAGTAAAGCAGGGTGCTTTGAGATTAGTCGTATGTGGATTCACATCTGAGCTTACCTGCAAATTGCCAGTTAGTGAACTTGAGCAAGTTTTTTACCCCCTGAAACCAAGTGTCCTCATCTATAAAATGGAAATAATTCTTCTTGCAGTACTTTAAAATGCTGCTGTGAAGATTTAATGGGTTACATATATGTAAAGTGCTTACTTTAGTGACTGACAAATTGTAAATTCTCAATAAATACTGAATCCCTACAATTTGCCATTTTCTTCTTGGAGTTGAATGTTGAGTTGAATGTTTCACTGGAAAACTACTGTGGTCAGGTAGAGTTGCATCTGTTATTTTAAAATCTGTATCTTCATTTGTTCATGAGGAAATGTTTATAACCAGCTACTGTATACTAGGAATCATAGTTGGGACCCAAAACTAGTCTTGTGATATAGGAAGCACTTAAGCGAGGCAATATCCACCAGGGGCTCTCTGGGACCAAGTGGTAGGTCATGGTTCTGTTGTTTGAATTTTTATTGGAAGAAGCACAACTGGCAACTTGATCCTTGTAGCTGATTGTGTATCAAGGATAGAACACAATCCTTACTTAAGTAACCAGCATTCATTGAGCACCTTCTATATACAGGGCTTTGTGCTAGGCATTGTGAAAACCACACAAAAACATAAGATATGGTACTTGCTATGAAGCTTATGTCTAATTGGGAAGATCAGGCATATTTACATAAATCATTAGTTAACAATGTAATGTAGTACATAGGAGTACTAAATAAATATATTAGACAGTGTTAATTTATCAGAAGGAGGGAGCTGTATGGATTGAAATGATCAGAAAAGATTTTGCGTCACTTGGGCCAAGGATGAGTTTTAAATTATGGAGAGAGTTTTGTTTTGTTTTATTTTTCGAGATGGAATCTCACTTTGTTGCCCAGGCTGGAGTGCAGTGGCACGGCTCACTGCAACCTCTGCCTCCTGGGTTCAAGCAATTCTCCTGCCTCAGCCTCCCCAGTATGTGGGACTACAGGCACATGCCACCATGCCCGGCTAATTTTTGTATTTTTAGTAGAGATGGGATTTCATCATGTTTGCCAGACTGGCCTCGAACTCCTGACCTCAAGTGATCCGCCTGTCTTGGCCTCCCAAAGTGCTGGGATTACAGGCATGAGCCACCATGCCTGGCTGGACAGAGTTTTTATTGATAAGGTAAATGGGGCATTCTGGGAGGGGAAGCTGTTTTAACAAAGGAACTGTCCAGGTATGTTCATGGGTCAGTGATGGCTCTGAACAACGTTCATATAGCAGACCTGTGGAGATCAGCAGACACTATGTACAAGAAAGTGTCTTGGAACATCTGCACTTGAGAATTCAGTGATGGCTTAAGACCAAATTTCCAATTCTAGAGCAACCATTCAATCAGTAGTCACTGAGTATCCACCATGTACTGGGCACTGGGGGCTCCATGGTTAGTGACATGGGACTGACCCCATCCTCATCTCAGGAAGCTTATCGTATGGTCGGGTTGAGAGGCGAGAAGACAATCAAATAATCATAAAATCAAGTGTAAAATTTTGCTTGTGACAAGTGCTTCAAGTATGTTATACTATAAGATGTTATAAAAGGAAATTTTGCTTTTATTGAGGAAGTCAGGAGGGCTTCTTTGAGGAAGTAACCTTTGGTTTGAGAACTGCAGGATGAATAATGTGAACAAGGCCTACAAGGGGGGGCGGTTCAGGAAGAGGAATCTCATGTGTCACGGGGGAGTCTGGCAAACAGCTGAGACTGAAGGATCAGTGTAGCTGGAACTCAGAGTGAGGGCTCCCTGGTGTGACACTAGACTTAAGAGTTCCATGGGCTGGAACATGCAGGGTGTTGTGAGCTATGTTAGGGAGGCCTGCGTTTATTCCAAATCTGATGGGAAGCTGCTGAACGGCTTTGAGTGGGCTGTGGTGTCTGTCACCCCTGCTGCAGTTGAGAACGGATTGAGAAGAAGCCAGGTTGGATATAGATTGACCTGGAAGGAGGTCATTGCATTTGCGTAAGCACTTCAAAGGCAGGGACAATTGAAACTGAAGAATAAGCAGATCTTTCTGAAAGCTATTTAGGAAGTAAAATTGATAGGACTTGGTAACATATTGGCTAGAGTGGGTTTCTGGATGCACTAACTGGATGCATGGTGGTCATATTAGTTTGTTGTTGCACTGCTATAAAGAAATACCTGAGACTGGGTAATTTATAAAGAAAAGAAGTGTCATTGAGTCATGGTTCTGTAGGCTGTACAGGAAGCATAGTGGCTCCTGTCTCTAAGGGAGGCCTCAGAAAACTCATAATCATGGTAGAAGGCAAAGGGGAAGCACGTCTTACATGGCTGGAGCAGGAGGAAGAGAGAGAAGGGGAAGTGCCACATATATATATATATATATATATATATATTTTTTTTTTTTTTTTTTTGAGATAGAGTTTTGCTCTTGTTGCCCAGGCTGGAGTGCAGTGGCACAATCTCAGCTCACTGCAACTTCCGCCTCCCAGGTTCAAGCAATTCTCCTGCCTCAGCCTCCCAAGTAGCTGGGATTACAGGCACCCACCACCACACCCAGCTAATTTTTTGTATTTGTAGTAGAGATGGGGTTTCACCATGTTGGCCAGGCTGGTCTTGAACTCCTGACCTCAGGAGTTTTGATCCACCCGCCTCGGCCTCCCACAGTGCTGGGATTACAGGCATGGTGCCACACACTTTTAAACAACCAGATCTTGTGAGAACTCTATCATGAGAACAGCACCAAAGGGATGGTGCTAAACCATTCATGAAGGACCCACCCCCATGATCCAATCACCTTCTGCCAGGCCCCACCTCCAACACTGGGGATTACAACTGAACATGAGATTTGGTGGGGACACAGATGCAAACTGTAACAGTGGTTCTACTCACTGATACTGGAGGCATTGGAAGAAGAAGATCAGGCCTCTGAGGGAAGATCTTGAGATCTGTTTCAGACGTGTTGTGTTCACAGTATCTTTGAGACACCTAATAGGAGCTGGTAATTAGGTAGTTGTATTATGGGTCTGGAGCTCAGAACAGAGCTTTGGACTAGAGATAATGAACTTTGAGCCCACACACAAGTGTCCAGTGACCTTCACTGAATTGCATATAGATGGCTGCTGAAGTTGTGTGTGAGTGTGAGATTGCTTAGGGGAGAGCAGAGAATGAAAGAAATGTGGAGTGGTTCTGTGATTAGGCCTTCAGAAACTTCAACAGATAATGGCCCAGTGGAAGAGGATGAGCTCTCCAAAGAGACAGAGAGGTTGCATCTGTTAAGATGTCTTTGGCTGACAGAGGCTTTAAAGTATAAACACATTGGTTGTTTACTTAATAGGAAGTCCTGAAGATAGCTCCACAATATCAGGGGGCTGAGATCTTGGAATTCCCCTCATGTTTGCAAGAAAGCTGCCACTGTGGAGGTTATTATAACCTCGTATAACTACAAAACAGGTAATAGGATCAAGCAGAGTCATTAAGAGAAAAGTCTCCTGGTGTACCTCTTTCGTTTTATCAGAGGGAGAAAGTATGTCTCAGAAGCTCCCCAGCAGATTTTCTCTTCATTCTTACTGTCCAGAACTGAGTCACGTGGCCATCTCTAGCTGCAAGGGGCTTTGGGAAAGCATCTTGCTTTTGTAGTCTGTGTATTGGTGTATTAGTCCGTTTTTACACTGCTATAAAGAACTGCCAGAGACTGAGTAATTTATAAAGAAAAGAGGTTTAATTGACTCCCAGTTCCGCATGGCTGGGGAGGCCTCAGGAAACTTATAATCATGGTAGAAGGTGAAGGGGAAGCAAAGACCTTCTTCACATGGTGGCAGCAAGTGCAGGGAAAACTGCCTTTATGAAACCATCAGATCTCGGGAGAACTCACTCACTATCACGGGAACAGCATGGGGCAAACTGCCCCCACGATCCAATCACTTCCCATTAGGTTTCTTCCTAAAACCTGGGGATTACAATTCAAGATGAGATTTGGGTGGGGACACAGCTTAACCATATCAATTGGCAAATGGACAAGAAAAAAAGGGTGTTGACAGCAGTTGAGTAGCAATAGTGTTGTCCACCACAGGTGACGGGAGGGTCATTCATATGAAGCCAAGGAGTGTTTCAAAAAGGAGACAGTAGTCAGCACTACTGAATGTGGCTGAAAAGTCAAGTAAGATGAGGACTGGAAAATGTCCATTGGATTGAAGGACACGGAGGTCATTGGTGAATAAAGTGTGAACTGCTTCAATGTCAGCATAGGCCTGGAATATAGATTAGGGAAGGTATCAAAAGGCATCTAACTAGGTTGAAAGAATCTTTGTTCCCCAAGTGAAGATAGGCAAATCAAGGAAGCTTGCTGTCATGTAGCTTTTAAAAATTCCTCTATAAGATGGAACTGATGATGAAATTATAAAACCCCACTCTAATCCATCAAGTCTGTCACTTCCTATCCATTCAACCTTGGGCAAGTTGGAAACTGAGGCTTAGTTTCCTAACTGCACCATAGCAATTGTGAGATAATACATATAAAGCTCTTTCTACGGTATCTAGCAAATAATGAATGCTCAATAAATGTGAGCTTTTATTATGATTCTGTTGGGCTAGTTTTTTTTCTTATGTAGATCTTATGTTGATACAAGTTTATTTTATGAATGTATGATTACTACCGACATTAAAAATATTTCCATTGTTAACATGAAGCATGAAATACTTCTCAAGGACCTTGGGACAAAGCTTGATAAAGTCAAGGGCTTATGTGATATTTTTTAAGTATGAATATATGGAGAGAAGTTATTTCTAATTTAATGATTAGAGACTGAAAAGTCATATTGAAGTAATTTCTTATATATGTATATCAAAGGATGTTTTGTCTGGTATTTACATTTCATGTATGAATTACATTTTCTACATTACAGTGTATCATTGTCAATTACTGGAATGCCTCATGAAATATAAACAAGAAGTCTGGAAAGTAAGTTTTGGGTCAAATTTAACCCATAGTCACAAACTTAATTTGTATAATACAGTAAAAACTGTTTACGTATTAAAACTGTTGTTTAGGTCAAATTTATTGACGTCCTATTATTTTGATGTGGCAGAACCTATAATTCTTTCTTTAATGGTTAATTATTTATCATTTAGAGCAGAAATGGTACTTTAAGAACATCGTGTCTTGACGGATAAAGTAATTGAATGTATCTTATTCTTGGAATTAAGCTAATATTATATGTTATGACAAACAATTTTATTTAATTTGAAAGATTGCTTGAGAATGTGTCCTCTTTCAAATAGGAGATGTGAATGTTTAAGAAATGTGATTAGGGAAATGTTTTTTCAAATATGGTATTTGGCAAACTGTCTTGTGCTATTCTAAAATCTTTCTTTAGCATCAATCTGATTAGAGATCAATTTGTTAGAAGATAAAGTACTTTGTACTCTACCTGTGAGGGCTCATTTACAGAAGGATCAGTAAATAAATAAATCATGAAAATATAATGTTTTGACGTGATCTAATCTATGAAACATGTCTGCATGAGATTCCAGGGAAATTACTCACCTCAATCCCTCCATTAGAATTTTCACTGCTTTGGTAATGTTGAAGTCTCTACCTTTCTTTTTATTTCATGATGCTAAGTCAAAATATGCTTGCTGTTTCCTTTAGGATCTTTTGTATGTGATTGCGTATGGGCCTTCACAAGTGAAGCCTCCAGCTGTGCAAATGCTTTTCCACTACTGGCCCAATTTAAAACCTCCTGGGGCAATAAGCGAGTACAGGGGGTTGCAGTACACAGGTAAGAGGAGAGGAGCCCTGTGATGCCCCATCTGTATTTCTCCTGTGCCACACTGGCCTCACCTACTTATACATACATTTTTATCTTGCTGGATTATATTTTCTATGCCTTTGGACATGGTCATAAATCCTTTCTGAAACTAAGTGGTTTAAAGATGAATTAATTCAAATCAATTTCAAAAGCATTTATGGCCTCAGGGCAAATTGCCTTAAGTCTCAGTCCCATTTGCTGTACCACTGGCTGAGGGTCTTAACTCTGGCTACCATTAATCACTCCACAGGGATGAGCAGTGAGAGTGATGCTGCAAATTTGCTCATCATTTAGCAGAAACCCCAACTAGCAGATTCTGCTCTGATAAGAAGACTTGCAGCACTTTCAATATCACCAGCTCATGCACTAAATAAAAATTAAATGACCCAGACTGGGCACAGTGGCTCATGCCTGTAATACTAGCACTTTGGGAGGCCAAGGCGGGCAGATCACAAGGTCAGGAGATGTAGACCATCCTGGCTAACATGGTGAAACCCCGTCTCTACTAAAAATACAAAACTTAGCTGGGCGTGGTGGTGCACGACTGTAGTCCCAGCTACTTGGGAGGCTGAGGCACAAGAATTGCTTGAATCTGGGAGGCGTAAATTGCAATGGGCCAAGATCGCACCACTGCTCTCCAGCCTGGCTACAGAGCGAGATTCTGTCTAAAAAAAAAATTAAGTGACCCCGATAGGCTGGGTGCAGTGGCTCATGTCTGTAGTAATCTCAGCACTTTGGGAGGCTGAGATGGGCGGTTCGCCTGAGGTCCAGAGTTTGAGACCAGCCTGGCCAACATGTAAAAATTAGCCAGTTTTGTTGCTTGTGCCTGTAATCCAGCTACTCAGGAGGCTGAGGCAGAATAATCACTTGAACCCAGGAGGAGGAGGTTGCAATGAGCCAAGATTGTGCCACTGCACTCCAGCCTGGGTGACTGAGCCAGACTCTGTCTCAATAATAATAATAATAATAATAAATAAAAAATAAAAAATAGGTCAGGCGTGGTGGCTCACACCTGTAATCCCAGCAGTTCGGGAGGCCTAGGCGGGTGGATCACAAGGTCAGGAGATTGAGACCATCCTGGCCAACATGGTGAAACCCCGTCTCTACTAAAAATACAAAAAAATTTTAGCCGGACGTGGTGGCACGTGCCTCTAGTCCCGGCTGCTTGGGAGGCTGAGGCAGGAGAATCACTTGAACCTAGGAGGCAGAGGCTGTGGTGAGCCGAGATCAAGCCACTGCATTCCAGCCCGGGTGACAGAGTGAGACTCTGTCTCAAAAAACAAACAAAAAAATGACCCCGATAGCCTGGTTGCTCAGCCATTCAACAGGGAATGAATTTTGATGTAATTAATAATGAGAAAAGAACATTAACTTTAAATATAATGACAGATATCTACCAAAAAATCCTGCGAAACAAACAAACAAATCAACAACCTCCAGGTCCTAGGAGGTTGTTTATGTATATATATTATTAAATCAAAGAAGAAACCTATGGCTAATGGAGTTTTTGATGCCCTTGTTCACCTTTTTGCCCTGCTTAATTGTAGGTATAATTTTCTGAAAATGAGAGAGAGAGATATTTTTGCAAGGTTGACTTTTCTCCAAGTTATTGTAGGATTGCACACTGATGTTCTGAGAATCTACTTATTTGTTCACATTATTGTTATTTACAAAGGTGATTTGAGGTGGTTTTCAAGGGGATTTAACTGAATTCAGGTGTCTGATTTACGTTCCCGATGAAAGACTTAAAATCAAGTGTTAGAGATGGTAATACTTGTTGTTTGGGCTTTTGGTGGCCCTTGGTGGGCTTATTCTAAGCCCAAAATACATGGTAACAATAATAAAAACAATGAAAGTAGATAGTAAGTAAATTTTTTAAAATGGGAATTGGTATCATAGGTGCTGTATATCACAGATAGCAGAGAATGTTTAAGTGTTGGTAAGTGAATGATTTGAATGTAAAAGCAGCACAACATACGGAAGCATTAATAGAATAAAAGGTGAAACAACTGAAATATTTGACACTCCTTCCCATTCGATCCCTGAAATAAGCACTTACGTGAAGTATAAATGGATAATCAGTATTAAATAACATTTATTTATTTGATAAATATTTGATGAGTAACTACTCTGTGCCAGACACTGTACTTTCTGTTAATAATACAGGAACCAACACAAAACCAGGTCTCAGGGAACTTACTACAATCTAGACATGGAAATCCATTCATTTTATTGAACAAATAATTATGGAGTGTCTACTATTAGGCAGGCATTATTCTAGGCGCTTTTGGTGAAGCAGTAAAGAAAACATGAAAATCATTACTATCTTGGAGCTTACATTCTAATTGTTGGGGAAAGACCCCAAAACTGCCTTACAGGGTAATAAGTGCTAAAGTAGAACAAATACAGAGAGCTGTGGGGACACACAGAAAGGGTCTCTAACCTCAACGGGATGTGGGCAAGTTTGGGAAGGGGTATTTGTTAAGGCAGATTCTCAAGTAAGTGACATTTAAGCTGATACCTGAAGGATATATACACACTAGATGTCAGAAACGGGTGAGGCATGAGTGAATAAAGTGTGAGTTGCAAGGCAGAACGTACTGCAGGCAGAAGATAGCATGATAGTATTTAGGAATTGGAAAAAGTCCAATGTAGCCAGACATTGGAGTGAGAGGAGGAGAGTAGCCAGAGGTGAGCAGAGAGGCTGATAGGCCTGGGAAGGAGTTTGGATTTTATCCTAACAGCAAAGGGACGCCAGGCACAGGCTTTAGATGGAGAAGCCACTTGATGAGATTTGCCTGTTCAGAGCATCTCAAAAACCCAGCAAACTGACAGCCACTTCCACCCATCCCCGTGGCCATTGCCCCGAGAAAGGTTCAGTCAAACCTGTCTTCACTGAAATAGCTCAGCCTATGCCCACTACAACCAGAGCAACTTTCATCTTAGCGTACCAAGATGTCTCTGTCTGAGGGCATTCATTCTTCAGTCCATCCTTGCAATGATATGGTCATGCTTCCATTCTTTCAGCAGTCTGTTATGGGATGCCTGCTGCCCTCCAGGCACTGTCCTAAGTACTGGGGAAGTAGCTCTCTTGAAACTCCCATTCTAGTAGACCATGGCATTCTGTGTAGGAAACAAAAGATCACAGAAAAAAAAAATCATTCCGGTCTATAGATTACTACTTATCCAGCACCGGCTGCTGGTCAGACATTGTTTAGCTGCTTATGATATTATCTAATTTTTTTTAGCCCTCTCCTAATTGAAGACAATCTATGGACCAGGCACCATATTAGGTTTTACAGATGTTTTCTCAATTAAACCTTACAAAAATATTGGGAAGTCAGTTGTCCTATTTCTGTTCTACAAATGAGGAGTGGGACATAGAGTTTAAGTAACATGCCTAAATTCACACAAATAATAAGGGCACAGATTGAATTTGAGCCCCACATTTTTCTACTTTAACTGTGTTACATCACTTTTTTCAGTTCAGTTCTTTAATTAAACATTAGGTAAAGCATTAGAAATTGTCTGCAATGCCTACTGCAAGACATACCAAAGAGTATCATCAGTATTGAAATGGCACTATAACCCCAAATATTCTTAATGAAAATTGTATGGATTTTATTAACTTAGAAGCTCAAAGATGAAATGCTTTCTTAGGAACCAGCAACTTTTGTTTGTTTTCCCAGTGATTTACAGCATTTCCTCTTTAAAAAGTAAAAATTTGGCCAGGTGTGGTGGCTCATGCCTATAATCCCAGCACTTTGGGAAGTGGAGGCAGGTGGATCACCTGAGGTCAGGAGTTGGAGACCAGCCTGGCCAACGTGGTGAAACCCTAGCTCTACTAAAAATACAAAAATTAACCAGGCATGGTGGTGCACGCCTGTGATCCCAGCTACTGGGGGGTTGAGGCAGGAGAATCCCTTGAACCTGGTAGGCAGAAGTTGCAGTGAGCCAAGATTGCGCCATTGCACTGAAGCCTGGACGACAGACCAAGACTCCATCTCAAAAACATAAAAATAAATTAAAAAAAAAAGCAAAATTTTTTTTTAAAAAGGAAAATTTACTTATAGAAAAATTACAGTAACATGTGGCCAGCGCAGTGGCTCACGCCTGTAATCCCAGCACTTTGGGAGGCCAAGGTGTGCAAATCATGAGGTCAGGAGATCGAGACCATCTTGGCCAACATGGTGAAACCCCATCTCTACTAAAATACAAAAAATTAGCTGGGTGTGATGGTGCGTGCCTATAATCCCAGCTACTTGGGAGGCTGAGGCAGGGGAATTGCTTGAACCCAGGAGGCGGAGGTTGCAGTGAGCTGAGATCGCACCACTGCACTACATCCTGGCAACAGAGCAAGACTCCGTCTCAAAAAAAAAAAGAAAAATTATAGCAATATGTAAGGAGGAAAAACACCACCACCATCCAGAAATGACTATTGTTAACATTTTGGTTTATTTACAGGTTTTGGTGAACTTTAAAACCTATAATTAAGATCATATTGTATGTAATTACACAAGGCTCCTCCCAACTATTTATGATAAAAGATGTCAAACACAGGAAAGTTTAAAGAATCACTATTAACACACAGGGTTAATGATTGTTAGTAATTCACCATAATTTTAACTTCACATATATGTGTAGGAATTATATATTATTTTCTAAACATAGTTAACATAGGAATATTTACAGCTCATACAAAGAAGATCAAATAATAAGAATTTGGTGATCTACAATGTTTTTTCCTTTTTGGTTTATTAGTGTATATCAACAACAACTGCTCCAATTATTTTGGCCTTAAAGTTGGAAAGAATTGGCCGGGCATGGTGGCTTATGCCTGTAATCCCAGCACTTTGGGAGGCCGAGGTGGGTGGATCACCAGGTCAGGAGATCGAGACCATCCTGGCTAACATGGTGAAACCCCGTCTCTACTAAAAATACAAAAAAAATTCCGGGTGTGGTGGTGGGCACCTGTAGTCCCAGCTACTCTGGAGGCTGAGGCAGGAGAATGGTGTGAACCCAGGAGGCGGAGTTTGCAGTGAGCTGAGATCATGCCACTGCACTCCAGCCTGGGTGACTGAGCAAGACAATGTCTCAAAAAAAAATGCAAAAAATTGATGTCTCATATTTTTATGGGACTCCCATGTGTATGTATATAATTAAAATGACTTTTTCTCCTGTTTAAAAAAAATGCAAAAAATTGTAACTTAAGTTTCTTGACAATGAAAATAGCCATTATGTTGTTCTATGCTTTTCTGCTTCTGTGGGAGAGAAAGAAATTATTTAGCAATTTTCCTGTTACAGTGTCCCAACTAGAAAATAATTTAGCCTTTGTTAGTAAGGAACAGCAGCAGTTATTGTTCAGTTTCCATTTGAACTATAGGACAAAAGATGTTACACAAGATGTACATCTCCAAGAAACAGACTCCACATTTCCAAGACAGGGACTGTACCTTTCTAAGACACAGACTGTTGCAAAAGCAGATAGAGAATAACTCAAGACAGTACTACAAGGTGAAATTTTGGTCTAGGCTACCAAATATCACATCAGTACATTGGATTTTTGAGATGTATACAAGTTAAGTGCAAGAAGGTCTACCAGTTCTTTTATGTCACATTGAGTTCTTAGTTATCTGTTTTATTAACTCAATCTTATCTCTACATAATTAAAAATGTTTTAAAACTTTTTTACCTGTGCCTTGTGTACATGCAGATAATCACAAATTTATAAGTGTTCATGGACCACCTCCTACCATATGTTCCCTCTTACACCCCAAAGGTAACTACTGACATGACTTCCAATACCCAAGATTAGTTTTGTCTGTTTTAGAATTTTATAAAAATGGAATAATCCATTATTTATTTGTATGTGTGTGTTGTGTGTATGTGATTTGTTCATGGTGTTGAGGATAACTGTACTTTGTTTTTTTATTGCTGTGCCTATTCTACCAAATGAATGTACCATAGTTTACCTATCCATTCTATTATTAGTGGACTTTTGGATTAATCCCACTTTCTGGCTTTTATATATAATGTTCCTGTGAACATCCTTGTATATGTCTTTTGGTGCATACTTGCATACATTTCTGTTAGGTGCCTAAGGTGGAATTCCTGGATTGGAGGATGTACATATATCCAACTTTAATGGATAATGGCAAACAGCTTTCCAAAGTAGCTGTATTAATTTGTCCTCTCATTAATAGTGTATGAGAGTTCTTTTTGTCTTATTTTCCACATTTTGGTTATTATTTGTTTTGATGGTTTTAAAAATTTTAGCCATTTTCAAGGGTGTGTAGAAGTATCTTATGATTATAATTTGCATTTCCCTGATTACTAGTGAAGCTGAACATTTCTTCCTATGTTTATTTGCCATTTGAACATCCTCTTATATGATCTTGGTCAGTTATATATGTTGCAAATATCTTGTTTTTTTATTTTCTGAATAATGTCTTATCATTAAATAAAGTTATTTTAATATTATCAACTTAGCATTCTTTGTCTTCATATTTAATCCTTTTCATGTCCTATCTAAGAAAATCCTTCCCTACCCCAAAATTATAATGCTTTTTTGTCATCTTCTATAATCTTTGTTTTTCATCTTTTAGATGTATCTGGAATTAATTTTTCTATATGGTATGAGGTAACGGCCAATCTCTTCTCTTATGGATAGCCAGTTGGCTCAACATTATTTATTGAAAATATTATTCTTTCCTTACTATTCTGTGGTACCATTTTTGTCATAAATCAAGTGTCTATTTAAAAATGATTCTGTCTCTGGATTCTTAGTTCAACTGGTTTATTTCTCCTTTTACCAATACCATACTCTTTTAATTACTGTAGCTTAATAATAAAATTTTAAATCCACCTGTGCAAGTCCTTTACCTTGTTATTATTGCTCTCTTCATCTTCCTTGTCTTCACCTACCTTCTCCTCTTTCTGTTCTTTCTCCTCCTCCTCCATTTCTTCCTCCTCCTTCAATAATATCTTGCCTATTCCTAGCTGTTTGCTAAGTTAAAAAATTTGTCAAGTTAAACATATACAAACACTCATACTGCTAGGATTTTGATTGGGATTGTCTTGAGTCTGTGTTGAGATAATCTTGATCAATTTGGGAAACTGACTTCTTTATAATATTGAATCTTCCAATCCATGAACATGGTATATCTCTTCATTTATTTAGGCTTTTTTAAGTTGCCCTCAATCCTTTTTCTAGTTTTCTACTAGATGTAGATGTGTAGATGTCTTGCATATCTCTCATGTAGTTTATTCCTAGATATTTATTTTTAGAATATTATTGTCAATTATATATGTTCTAAAAATTACATTGTCTAACTCTTTGTTGCTAGTATGTAGATGCAATTAATTTTTAGTATATTGGTCTTGTATCCAGCAACTTTGCTAAGTCACTTTTCACTTCTAATAATTTATTATGGTAGTCTTGCTTAAAAATTACTTTAATATGCACAATTATATTATTGTTGAATAATACACATTTAATATCTCTTTCTCAATCCATAAGCCTTTTATGTCTTCTTGCCTTATTGCAGTGACTTAAATCTCACTGCTATGCTGATTCCTAAATCCTGTGCTATGCTGATTTCTAAATGCTTCATGGTTTCTTCTTTGACCCATGGGTCATTTAGAAGGAGATTTATAGCTTTATCCTTCTGTGGTCAGATAACATACTTTGTATTATTTCATTCCATTGCCATTTTTAACACTTTCTTTAGGGTTGAACATATGGTCATTTTTGTAAATGTTCCTGTGTAAAGAACTTAAAAAGAACTCAAGAATGTAAAAAGAACTTCTATTTGGCAGTTGTTTGTGCAGTGTTCTACATGTGTCAATGAAATTAAATTTGTAATTGTTTAATTCAAATCCTGTATATTCTCATGATATTTTTGCCCATTTCTTCTATCTGTTACCAAGAGCAGGGTGTTAAAAATCTCTTACTATGACTGTGGATTTGTCTATTCCTCTTTGTAGTTCTGTCAATGTTTGTTTTATATATTTTCAGGCTGCATTATTAGGTGTATACAAGTTTAGAATGCAGTATCTTCCCAGCTAATTGAAACTTTTACCATTACAAAGTGCATGTCTTTATCTCTTCTAATACTTTTTGTGTTAAAATCTACTTTGTCTTATACTAATGTAGCTATACCAGCTTTCATGAGTGTTTGCATGGTATAACTTTTCCCATCTTTTAATTTTCAATTTTTTTGTATTCTTATATTTTATGTGTGTCTTGTAATCAGCATATAGTTCTTTAAACTCAATACTTACGATTTTTACCTTTTAATTGGAGCATTTAGCCCATATATATGTAATGTAGTTACTGGTATATTTGACTTTAAATCCACAATTTTCTATTGTGATCTATTTTTCCTGCTTCTTTTTTCTTTTTTCTCTCTCTCTTTTTTTTTTGCCTCTTTTGCACTAAGTATATTTAAATATTTCATCACCCCATCTTTGGCTTTGTAAGTTATTTAGTCCTCTACTATTCTTTCAATCATTACCCTAGAGATTATATCATGCATTCTTGACTTATCAGTGTCCAGTATAAAGTAGTACTTTTATATTGCTGCGTAAAGTGGCAGAAAATTTTAACTCCATTTACTCCCTCCTGACTTCCATGCTATACTTTATTTTATATATATACATATTATATATTCTACAAAACATAATTACTGTTGTTCAGTGCATCAGTTAGATTATATTTTCCTTTTTCTTGCTATTTTCCCCTTTTTGTATCTCTAAGCTCCTATCTGGGATTGAAGTTTTTTAAAATAATATCCTTTTATATTTCCTTTAGTGCCATTCTACTGAAGATACGTTTTCTCAGTTAGTGTTTGTCTGAAAATGTTTGTTTTGCCTTTGTTTCTTAAGGCTATTTTCTCATTGTATACAATTTTTTTTTTTTTTTGAGATGTAGTTTCGCTCTTGTCACCCAGGCTGGAGTGCAATGGCACGATCTCAGCTACCTGCAACTTCTGCCTCCTGGGTGCAAGCAATTCTCCTGCCTCGGCCTCCTGAGTAGCTGGGATTACAGGCACCTGCCACCATGCCTGGCTAATTTTTGTATTTTTAGTAGAGACGGGATTTCACCATCTTGGCCAGGCTAGCCTTGATTGGCAGTCATTTTATTTTTCATACTTTGAAGGTATTTCATGATTTTCTCATTTTCATTGTTTCTATAAAAAATTGACTATCAAAGTCAATTGCCAATTATTACTCTTTTGAAGATAAACATTTTTTTCTTTGTCTTAAAAGTTTTCTCTTTATTTTTTATTTTTGGCAGCTTTACTATGATATATCTAGTTATGATATTATGTATGTTTGTCTTTTTGGAGGGGTTCATAGGACTTGATCTGTGGCTTGATGTATTTTGTCACTGGAAAATTGTCAGGCTTATCTCTCTTTTGTTAGTGATAGTACTTTATTAAGGTATATTTTACATAAGTTAGATGCACAAGTATCAAATGTACAGCTGGGTCAATTATGACAAATGTATAATGCTCATGTAGTCGTCATCCAAAAAAGACAATGGAATGTTTCCATCAACCCAGAAAATAATGGTATGCCTTTTCCAAACACCATCCCCTTCTCTCATTCTGAAGTGATCACTATTCTGGTTTCTACATAATTCATATATTCATCTAATTCAGGTATTCAGGTAAATGGAGATCAAACATGATACATTTTTTCATTTCTGAATCCATTCAGTCAACATATTACTGAGATTAGTCCATGTTAGTGGATATTAGTAGTTCTTTTTTTTATTGCTAAGTATTCCATTGCATGGATATGTCATTTGTTTATCAACCTTCCTATTGATGTATATTTGGGTTGTTTTCAGTTTTTAGCCAATATACATAAAGCTGCTATGAATATCTTATACAAGTTTTTTTGTGGACTTACGCATTTATTTCTCTTGGGTATATACCTAGGACTGGAATTGCTGGGTCATAGAGTTTATAAGAAGTATCTAAACAGTTTTCTAAAGTGTTTATGCCATTTTACATTTCATCCAACAATTTATGAGAGTTTCAGTTGCTCTCCACTCTGCTATCACTTGCAATTGTCTGTGTTTTTAATTTTAGCCATTCTGGTGAGTGTGTATCTTGTGGCTTTAATTTAAATTTCTTTGATGACTGCTGTTGAGCACATTTTTATATAATTATTGGTTATTCCTATATCTTATGAAGTACCTGAGAAAGTCTTTTACCAATTATTGATTGGGTTCTTTATCTTCTTTGTTGTTGATATGTAGTTGTTCTTTATTTAGTTTGATACAAGTCATTTGTCAGATTTATATAATACAAATATTTTATTCCAGTCTTGGGGTTACTCTTTTATTTTCTTAACAGTGTCTATTTTGATGAGCATGAGTTTTTAATCTGGTAAACTGAAATTTATCATTTTTGCTCTTATGGTCAATGCCTTTCATGTCCTGTCTAAGAAGTCTTTGCCTTCTCCAAGACTGTGAAGATTTTCTCCTTCCAGAAGGTCTATATTTCCATTTAAGTCTATGATCTGTCTTAAGTTTAATTTTTGTGTATGATGGCTATGGCTTATTGTCTTCCTTATGATTTATATTTCCTTATTTCCAGTGCCCTTTGTTGAAAAGATTATTTTCTCCCCTTTGAATTATATTGGCCCCTTGGTCATATTTTTGTGGGTTTATTTATGGACTGTGTTTGTTTTCATTTATTTGTATCTCTGTCTGTACACCAATACAATTGTCTTAAATACTTTTATGTTATAGCCTTGAAATCAGATAGTTCAAATCTCTATATTTGTTCTTTTTCTTTGACTACTTTGGCTATTTTAGAGACTTTGCATTTCCATTTAAATTTTAGCATCAGCTTTCAATTTTCAATTTCTGTCGAAAAAAAAAAAAACCCACTAAACCCGAAAAAAGGCCAGGCATGGTGGCTCACACCTGTAATTCTAGCACTTTGGGAGGCCGAGGTGGGAGGGTCACATGAAGCCAGGAGGTCAAGAACAGTCTGGGCAACATGGTGAGACCCTATCCCTGTTTATTAAAAACAGCAGCAGCAGTAGCAGCAACAACAACAACAACAAAAAGAATTTCTGCCAAAATAATCCTGCTGGGATTTTAATCTGGATTGTGTTAATCTGTGATTCCATTTGGAAAGAAATGGCATCTTAACAATATTGGATTTTTGAATCCATGAATGTGGTATATCTTTCTATTAGTTAGGTCTTTTAAAATTTCTCTCAGTGGTGCTCTGTATTTTTCACTGTAGAAGTCTTACATTTCTTTTGTTAAATGAATTCCTAGGTGTTTGAATTTTTTTATGCCATTGTAAATGGCATTATTTTAAAATTTAATTTCCAATTGTTTATTGCTTGTGTAAGGAAATCCAATTGAGTTTAACATATTGATCTTTTATCTCATGAGTTTGCTAAATTCAATTATTAGTTCTAGTAGTTTGTTTATTAGTTGGATTTTCTATATAGGCAATGGTGTCATCTGTGCTACTTCCTTTCAAATCTTTATATCACTTATTGCTGTTTTCTTTCTTTGTTTTATTGTCCAGTACTTTCACAACAGAGTCTGTTGAATAGAATTGATAAGAATGGATATTGCGTTAGTCTGTTTTCACACCACTAAAAAGAAATACCTGAAACTTGTTAATTTATAAAGAAAAGAGGCTTAATTGGCTCATGGTTCTGTGGGATATGCAGGTTTCTGCTTCTGGGGAGACCTCAGGAAACTTACAATAATGGCAGAAGGTGCAGGGGAAGAAGGCACATCTTCACATGGCTGGTGGGGGAAGTGTGTACACATCCTTTTAAACAACCAATTCTCTGAGCACTCACTCACTATCATGAGAGCAGCAAGGGGGAAATCCACCCCCATGATCCAATCACCCCTCACCAGGCCCCTCCTCCAACCATGGGAATTACAATTCAACATGAGATTTGGGTGAGGACACAAATCCAAATCATATAATTCCACCCTTGGCCCCTCCAAAATATCATGTCCTTTTCACATTTCAAAACACAATCATGCCTTCCCAACAGTCTTCCAAAGTCTTAACTCATTGCAGCATTAACTCAGAAGTCAACAGCCTGAAGTCTTATCTGAGATAAGGCATGTCTCTTCCACCTATGATCCTGTAAAATAAAAAACAAGTTAGTTACTTACAGATTATAATGGGGATACAGGCACTGGGTAAGTACTCCCTTTTCAAAAGGGAGAAATTGGCCAAAACAAAGGGGCTACATGGCCCATGAAGTCCGAAACCCAGCAGCGCAGTCATTAAATTTTAAAGCTCCAAAATAATCTGCTTTGACTCCATGTATCACATCCAGGCCACACTAATGCAAGGGGTTGGCTCCCAAGGCCTTGGGCAGCTCTGCCCCTGTGGTTCTGCAAGGTACATCCTCTGCAGCTGCTTTCATGGGCTGGTGTTGAGTACCCGCAGCTTTTCCAGGTGCATGGTGCAAGCCATCGTTGGATCTACCATTCTGGGGTCTGGGGGACAGTGGACCTCTTCTCACAGCTCCACTAGACAGTGCCCCCATAGGGACTCTGTGTACGGGCTTCAACTCTGTATTGCCCTAGTAGAGGTTCTCCGTGAACGCTCTATCCCTGCAGCAGACTTCTGCCTGGACATCCAGGCATTTCCATACATCCTCTGAAATCTAGGCACCGGCTCCCAAGCCTCAACTCTTGCCCTCTGCATATCCTCTGGCTTAACACCACATGGAAGCCACAGAGGATTATGGCTTGCACTCTCTGGAGCAGTGGTCTGAGATGTATTTGGAGCCCTTTTAGCCACAGCTGGAGCTGGAGTGGCTATAATACAGAGAACAGTGTCCTGAGGTTGTGCAGGGCAGTGGGGCCCTGCCCATGAAACCATTCTTCCCTCCTAGGCCTTGGGGCCTGCCGTGTGAGGTGGTGTCACAAAGTTCTCTGAAATGCCTTCAAGAAATTTTCCCCATTGTCTTGGATATTAACATTTGGTTCCTCTTTACTTATGCAAATTTCTGCAGCTGGCTTGAATTCCTCCCCAGAAAATGGGTTTTTATTTTTACCACATGGTCAGGCTGCAAATTTTCCAAATTTTTATGTTCTGCTTCCCTTTTAAATATTAAGTTTCAGTTTTGGATAATCTCTTTGCTTATGAATGTAAGTATGCACTGTTAGAAGCAGCTTGGCCACATTGTGAATGCTTTGCTGCTTAGAAATTTCTTCTGACAGATACCTTAAATCATCTCTCTCAAATTCAAAGTTCTACAGATCCCTAGAGCAGCGGCACAATTCTGCCATTCTCTTTGTTGAAGGATAGCAAGAGTGACCTTTACTCCAGTTCTCAATAAGTTCCTCATCTCCATCGGAGACTGCCTCAGCCTGGAATTCATTGTCCATATCACTATCAGCATCTTGGTCACAACAATTTAACAAGTCTCTAGGAAGTTCCAAACTTTCTGTCATTTTCCTGTCTTCTTCTGAGCCTTCCCAACTGTTCCAACCTTTGCCCGTTACCCAGTTCCAAAGTGGCTTCCACATTTTCAGGTATCTTTATAGCAATGCCCCACTTCTCTAGTATGAATTTCCTGTATTAGTTTGTTCACACACTGCTATAAAGAAATACCTGCAACTGGGTAGTTTATAAAGAAAAGAGGTTTAATTGGCTCATGGTTCTGTGGGTTATATTGGCTTCTGCTTCTGCGGAGGCCTCAGGAAACTTACAATCATGGCAGAAGGTAAGGGGGAAGCGGGCACATCTTCAAGCGGTGGCAGGAGGGAGAGGTGGTGGGGAGGTGCCACGCACTTTTAGACAACCAACTCTCTGTGCACTCACTCACTATTATGAGAACAGCAAAGGGGAAATCCACTCCCACGATCTAGTCACCTTCCACTGGGCTGCTCCTCCAACACTGAGGATTACAATTTGACATGAGATTTGAGTGAGGAAACAAATCCAAGCCATATTAGATATGGTTGCTTTGTTCCTAACTTGAGGGAATATTTCACCATTAAGCATGCTATTAGCTGTAGGGTTTTGCAAATCTCCTTTATATCAGTTTCAGAAAGTTAAATTTTATTTCCAGTTGACTTAGATATTTTATTCTGAATAGTTTTTATTTTTTATATTTATTTATTTATTTATTTTGAGACAGAGTCTCGCTTTGTCACCAGGCTGGAGTGTTGTGGTGCGATCTCGGCTCACTGCAGCCTCTGCCTCCTGGGTTCAAGCAATTCTTCTGCCTCAGCCTCCCGAGTAGCTGGTATTACAGGCATGTGCCACCACGCCCAACTAATTTTTGTATTTTAATAGAGACGGGGTTTCACCATGTTGGCCAGGATGGTCTCGATCCCTTGACCTCGTGATCCACCTGCCTTCACCTCCCAAAGTGCTGGGATTACAGGCATGAGCCACCGTGCATGACCAGTTCTTAAATTTCACCAAATGCTTACATAAACTAAAACAAATAAACAAAAAACAGAAAAATGATAAAAGTTGTGTTCTGTATGTATCATTGTTTTCTGCTTTTATCTTTACTATCTTGTTTCTTTTACTTTCTTGAATTTAATTTTTTCTTCTTTTTCCTAGCTTCTTGGGATTAAAAAATTAGATTGTTTATTTCCAACATTAATTTTTTTCTAATTATCCATTTAAAATTACCAACTTCCCTCTAAGTTCTATATTTGCTGCATCCCACAAATTTTGATATTTTGGGTCTTTACTAGCATTCATTTAAAAATATTTAAACACTTTAATTGCTCTATCTTTATTGCCTGTGTTATTTAGGAGAGTAGTTTAACTTGCAAATATCTGGGCTCTAGTTACCTTTTTGTTTTGATATCTATGGTAATTCCATTGTAATTAGTGAACATTGCTTCTCTCATTTAACTCTTTAAACGTATCAATTCATTGTATCCAATAGGAAATTACATATTATTCTTGTAATTGTACCTCTGAATGTAGTATGATATTTTTCTCTGCCTCTTTGAAAGATTTTCTGTTTATTTTTGGTATTTAGTACTTTCATTATGTTCTGCTTGAGTGTGGTGGTTTTTGTACTTATTTTGCTTGGGGTTTGCTGAGCTTCTCGAATCTGTGGTTTTATGTTCTTCATCAGTTTTGGAAAAATTTGGGATATTATTCTATCCAGGTATTTATTCTGCCATTTCTGTTTTCTCCTCTCATTCTGGGACTTTAAAAAAATATTTGGTACTTTTTCCAGAGGTATCAAATACTCCATTTTTAAAAAATGTTTACCTGTGCATTAGTTTGGATTTGTATTAATTTTTCAAGTTCACTGATCCTTTCTTCTGCTGCGTCCAATATTTTTTAAAAGTCCAGTCAATGAGTTAGTAATTTTATATATGCTATCTTTTCTAATTATGTTTTTAGGTCTAGAATTTTCTTTTAGCTATTTTTTACAGTTTTCATCTCTCTCTGGGAATTTTCATCTGAATGATCTATTTCTGTATATTCTTTAACATATTTGAACTACTTATTTTAAAATTCTTATTTTTAATTTGAAATGAGTCTAGGTCATTTGCTTCTTTTCACTCTTCCTCTTGATTATGGATCACATTTTCTAGTCCTTTCACATGTCTTGTAAATTTTTTATTGTATGATGGACATTGTAAAGAATATGTTGTAGAGACTCTGAACTATTTTATTTATTCTAAAAAGCATTGTATTTTGTGTTTTGTATTTGCTGGTGTGAAGTTACTGGTGGATCACCTTCTTGCATCAAGGCTTAGCTTTATTTATTTTTATTTTAAATTTTCAGATTTTATAGGCTTCTTGATCTCTAGTCTTTTAAAACAAATTTTACTTGTACATATTTTTGTTTTTTTGTTTTTCCCTCCCTCCCTCCCTCCCTTCCTTCCTTCTTTCCTTCCTTCCTTCCTTCTTTCCTTCCTTCCTTCCTAACATGGTCTCACTCTTGCCTAGGCTGGAGTGCAATGGCATCACAATCATAGCTCACTGCAATCTTGAACTCCTGAGATCAAGTGATCTTCCCACCTCAGCCTCCTAAGTAGCTGGAACTACAGGCATGACCAACACACCTGGCTAATTTTTTATTATTTGTAGAGATGGGCCTCCCTATGTTGTCCAAGCTGGTCTCAAAATCCTGGGTTCAAGTGATCCTCCTGCCTCAGCCTCCCAAAGTGCTGGGATTACAGACATGAGACCCTGTGTCTGGCCTAATTGTACCTTTTTATGGGATATAAAGTATCCCATACATTTTTGTTATGGCCTGATATTTTGTTACCTGCACAGACTGTGTAATGATCAAGTCATGGTATTTGGGGTGTCCATCACCTCAAGGATTTATTATTTCTATGCATTGGGGACATTTCAAGTCGTCTCTTCTAGGTGTTTTGAAATATTGAAATATACAATACATTGTTGTTAAATATAGTCAACCTACTCTACTATCAAATATTGGAACTTATTCCTTCTATCTGTTTGTACCTGTTAACCAGCCTCTCCTTCTCTGCCCTTCTCTTCCCAAGGACTTAAATTTATAACTTGTTAAGCCAAGTATATTTCAGTTTTGCCTTTAGTCCTAGTGTATAACTATGACTCCTATAGCATTATCTTCAATATTTGTGTTATGTAGTAAAAGCAGTGTTTAGAGGGATATTTACAGCACTGAAGACATACAGTAGAAAGAAGGAACATGTAAAATCAATGCTATAGTCTTCTACTTTAGGAAACTAGAGAAAGAAGAGCAATTTAAGCCTGAAGTAAGCATAAGAAAATAAATAACAAAAATTAGAGAACAAGTCAGTAAGATTTAAAACAGGAAAACATAGAGAAAAATCAACAAAATTAAAAACTGTTTTTTAAAAAATCAATAAGCTTCTAGCCAGTCTAACCAGGGAAAAAGGAAAAGACATTAGACACACATTTCTAATATCAGAAAGGAAATAGATATTATTATTTCCTGATCTCATGGACATTAAAAGGATAGTGAAGGATTACTATGAACAACCCTATGTCTACAAATTTATAAACTTAGGTCTAGAGCACGGTCTTTATTCCTAAGGTGTGACCTATCTGTTACAAACTATTGTCTCCTGAATTTCTGATGTGTTCACTAAAGCTCTTTGCTTTGGCTACATTGGAAATACAACATATATCTAGCCCTTTGTGACCTCCAAAATCTCTGTTCTGCTTTCAACCATTGAGCAGAGTTCTCTGCTAGTCCTTGCAGAAGTTTGCTCTGAGCACATGCGGGCCAAAGACCTGAGGGATGCCCTTCCACTGATCTGTGATACCTCTTCTTGGTAGCTCTCCTCTGTTCTCTACCTTTACTCACAAATTCCATCCGCCTTAGCATTTCTTTATTTTGATTTCTCTACCCACTGAAAATCTGTTTCTTCTACCCACCAAAAACGCTGATTTCTTACTGAGTTCCATTTTTCTATGCTGCATTTTGGAAATATCACCAGGCAGAAAGCCAAGGTGAATGTAGAACTTAACTTGTATGCTTTACTTTTTAAAAAAGAGAGCAGCCCTGTGCTGTATCTATGCCCAATGTCTGAAACCAGTTTGTCCAGTGGAAAGATAAGTTCAATACCAGCTTTTTATTATGGTTGTAACTGGAAGTTTCCTTATCTCTTCAAAAGTGGCTTCTGACACATTCTCATCCCTCTTTCTGGAATTCTAATGGCATTTATGTTAGACCTTTCTCTCGTACATCCTTTTATGCATATTTTTTGTATTCCCCGTCCCCCACCATTTCATCTTTCTGTGCTTCACACTGAATCTGTTTCTGACATGTCTTCCTGTTCTCAAATTCTTGATCCTCCTAATTATGTTTTAAATTTTGATTATTATATATCTTTTCTTTCTAAAGTTTTGTAGCCTTTGACCAACATTCCCCAAATTCTACCCCCCATTATATTTTTCACTTCTAGAATTTCCATTTGGTCCATATGTATATGTGTGTGTGTGTGTGTGTGTGTGTGTATTTCCAGTTCTTTGATGATATTCTCTTATCTTCTACTTTATAGAACATATTAAGCATAATTATTTTAAAATCTGTTTCTGATGACTCAGTGTTCTGGATCCCTGGAGATTCTGATTCTCTTGTCTGTTGTTTCTTTTGTTTTGTTTTCTTGTCTTCTTGTTTGTGTGGTTGTTTTTTATTGTGTTCAAGACAATAGATATAAAAACTATAAACCTAATTTGAGACTTAGTATGATGGATTCCTTCAGAGAGAACTTAATTTTGCTTCTGGTGAAAGGGTATAATTCTTAGGTCAGATTTTCATTGTTTGTGCTCTGTGGCTACTGTAACCACTAATTTCATATATTTATCTTTCCCTCTATATTCTTACCTTCTCAGGTTTGCTTACCCTTTGTGTGTATATGTGAAGTTACCAATGAACTTTTTGCTCATTTTTAAATTGGGGTGTTTATTTTATTATCTTATTATATTGTATGTTCAAAATATAAGACTTTTGTCAACATAATGTGAATATGCTCTCTCATTCAGGGGCTTCCCTGTTGAAGTATTTCAAAGAGAAGGAGATTTTAATTTTGATAAATTAATTGAAATTTATCTTTTTTTTTTCTTTTGTGGTCCTTTTTTTGGTCTCTCCTAAGGTTGTAAAGAAATTCTATGCTTCTAGAAGTTACATAGTTTAAGATTTTACATCTAAGTATATGATCTATTTGGAATCAATTTTAGTATATAGCAAGAGGTAAGGGTTGGATTTGTTTTTCCTTTAAGGATATCCAGTTGTTTCAGTTCAATTTGTTGAAAAGAGTATCTTTTCCGTATTGAATTACCTTGACCCTTTTGTTGAATAATAATTAACCATATATGTATGTGTCTATTTCTAAACTCTCTATTTTGTTTCATTGTCTATCCTTATACCAATATCACATAATCTTGATTACTGTAGCTTTACGGTGTATTTTAGAATCATGTAGTATAAATCCTCTAGATTTGCTCTTTTAAAAATTTTATGGGCTATTTTAATACATAAAATTATGTAGTGTAAGTACTCCAGATTTGTTCTTTTAAAGAATTTTTTGGGCTATTTTAGTACCTTTGCATTTTCATATAAATTTTACTATCAGTTTGTAATTTCTACAAAACAATCTGCTTGGATATTTTTTTTGGGGGGGGGGGTGGGGGATGGAGTCTTACTCTGTTGCCCAGGCTGGAGTGCAGTGGCATGATCTCAGCTCACTGCAACCTCTGCCTCTCCGGTTCAAGTGATTCTCCTGCCTCAGCCTCCTGAGAGGCTGGGATTACAGGCATGTGTGACTATGCCTGGTTAATTTTTGTATTTTTAGTAGAGATGAGGTTTCACCATATTAGCCAGGCTGGTCTCAAACTCCTGACCTCAGGGTGATCTGCCTGCCTCAGCCTCCCAAAGTGCTGGGATTACAGGTGTGAGCCATTGCATCTGACCTCTGCTTGGATTTTTGAATGAGATTACATTGACTATATAGTTTAATTTGGGGAGAATTGACATCTTAACAATATTGAGTCTTTTCATCCATGAACATGGTATATTTATCCATTTATTTAGGTCTTCTTTAATTTCTTTCAGCAATATTTGCTGGTTTTTAGTGTACAGATATTATATTTTGTTAAAGGTGCTCCTAAATATTTTATGATTTTATATGCTATTATAAATAGTGTTTAAAAATTTTAATCTTCTACTTGTTTATTGGTACTCTACAAATACCCTGCAACCTTGCTAAATTCACTTCTTAGTTTTTGTGGCTTTTTTGTAAGTTTCTTGAGATTTTCTGTATACCTGATTATGCTCTCTGCAAATAATTTTTTTTCTTTTCTTTCTAATTTGTATGCCTTTCTTTTTTCCTTCCTTCCTTCCTTCCTCCCCTCTCTCCACCCCTCTCTCCCTTTCTCCATCCCTCCCTTCCTTCTTTCCTTCCTTCCTTTCTCTTTCTTTTTCTCCTCTTTTCCTTTTCTCTCTCTCTTACCCTTCTTTCCTTTCTCCCTTTTTTTCTTTCTATCCTTCTCTTTTTTTTTTTTTTTTTGCACTGCTTAATATCTCCACTTGAATAGAAGTACTGAGAGTGGACGTCCTTGTTCTTTCTCCCAATCTTTGGGGAGAGTATTTGGGCTTTCACCATTAAATTATTATGTTAACTGTAGGTTTTTCATAGATTTTTTTTTTTTTACCAGATTGAGGAAATTACTGTCTGTTCTTAGTTTGCTGAGAGCTTTAATCATGAATGTCAGTTTTGGTCAAATGCATTTTCTCTTTCTATTGAGATGATTATATGATTTCTTCCCTTCATTCTGTTAATATGGTAAATTACATTGATTTTCTTGGCAACGTTATGCCTTTTATGCCTATTTTTTGTATTCCCCATCCCCCACCATTTCATCTTTCTGTGCTTCATACTGAATCTTTTTCTGACATGTCTTCCTGTTCTCAAATTCTTTAGCCTCCTAATTATGTTTTTAATTTTGGTTATTATATATCTTTTCTTTCTAAAGTTTTGCAGCCTTTGACCAACATTCCCCAAATTCTGCCCCCCTGTTATATTTTTCACTTCTAGAATTTCCATTTGGTCCATATGTATATGTGAGTGTGTGTGTGTGTGTGTCTGTGTGTGTGTGTGTGTGTGTGAAATGCAATCTTGCATTCTTGGGATGAACTCATCTTGTCATGCTGTATTATATTGCTAGATTTAATTTTCTAAGTTAAGTGTTCAGGTTCCTACATTTATGAGAGATATTGTTTTGTTTTATTTAATTATGATGTCTTCATCTGGTTCCATTTACAGAGTAATACTGACCTCATAAAATGAGTTGGAAAATGTTTTTTTCTCTTCTAATTTCTGAAAGAGTTTATGTAAGATTTGTATTATTTATTCTTTCAATGATTAATAGAATTTACTGGTGAAGCCATATGGACTTGGGGTTTCTTTGAGGGAAATGTTTTATGTTGTGAATGTAATTTTAATAGTTATGGGTTTTTTTTACTTTTATTGAGTTATAGTGAGTTATTTGTGTCTTTTAAGGAATGTGAGCATCTCATCCAAGTTTTCAAATTTATTAGCATGTCTGTAGGATCTGTAGTGATGTTCTACCTTTCATTCCTGATATTGGTAATTCATGAATTTTCAATTTTTTTTTTGTCCATCAGGATGCTGGGGCCTATCAAGTTTTTGGGACTTTTCAAAGAACCAGTTTTTGATTTTATTGATTTTATCTATGGATTTTCTGATTTCAATTTCATTGATTTCTGTTTCTTTATTGTTTTCTTCCACCTACTGAGTTCTGTTCTTTTTCTGTCTTCTTAAGGGAGATGCATAAACTTTTTATTTCAGATCTTTAATATTTTCTCATATAATAATTTTTAGCTATAAATTTCCATTTAATCATTGCTTTAGTTGCTTCCCAGAAATTCATTATATATGTTATGCTTTTATTGTATTTCAGTGCAGGATATTTTCTAAAGTTTCTTCTTTCATTCATGAATTGTTTAGAAGTGTGCTTTTTAATGTGTAAATATTTGGTAATTTTTCAGATACTTTTGTGTTATTGGTTTCTAGTTTAATTCTATTGTGGCTAGAGAATATGCTGTATGATGTAGCTCCATCTAAATTTTTGAGACTTATTTTATGGACTGGAATACCTATCTTGTTAAATGTTGCACGTGTACTTTAAAACAATGTGTATTCCACAGTGGTTGAGTGGAGATTTCTAACATTATAAAATAGGTTAAGTTGTTTGAGAGTGTTTTCAAGTCTTATATATTTGCTGATTTTCTGTCTGCTTGTTTTATCAGTTACTGAGAGAGGATTATGGAAATTTACAACTTCAGTTATGCTTCTTTCAATTCTCTCACCTTACTAAGGGTACAAATATTTATGGTTTTTATGTTTTCTAGGTTAATTGACCCTTTCATCATTGTAAAATTGCCTTGGTTTTTCTGGTAATATTCTTTGTTCTGAAATCTATTTCTCTGATATTAATATAGACACTCAAGCTTTCTTATAATTTCAATTATGGTATAACAATTATGCCATAATTGCATAGTATAACTTTTTCTGTTTACTTCTAGCTTATCTGAGCCTTTATAATTTAGCTATGTTTTTCACAGGCAGCATACAATTGGGTCATGGGTTTTAAAAAACTCAAATCCTATTTCACAATCTTTGCCTTTTAGACCATTTACATTAGTAAAATTATTGTTTAGACCATTGGCATTTAATGTAATTTCTGGTATGAATTGAAGCCTATCATGATACACTTGTATGACTGAAGCCTATCATGTTACACTTGTTTTATATTTGTCCCATCTGTTCCTTTTTTTTCTTTTTGATATCTTGCCTTTTTTGAATTAATTATTTTTAGTGTTATATTTTATTTCTGTATTGTACTGTTAGCTACACCATCTTTAAAAAATTGCTCTTGGGTTTATAATATGCACTTTTAACTTCACAGTCTACCTCAAATTATATCAGTTTACATATAATGTAAGGCCTTTTTGTATTTTAATTTTACCCCTCCTATCCTTTTTGTTATTGTTACCAAACATCTTACTTCTATATATATTATTAGCCTCTATTCATTATAATTATTTTTTGTTTTAAATAATCAACCATCTTTTAACAACATATTAATATGAGTAAAAAAGCCTTCTGTAGTTATTCAGCATACTTACCATGTCCAACACTCTTTATGCCTTTGTGTAAATTTGAGCTACTATCTGGTATCATTTTCCTTTAGCCCGAAAAACTTCCTTTAACATTTCTTGTAGTGGAGCTCAGCTGGAAATGAATTCTCTTATTTTGTGTTTGTCTTCAAATAGTCTTTATTTCATACTCATTTTTGAAGGATAATTTCACTGGGTATAGAATTCTAGGTTGACAGTTTTTTTCTTTCAGCCTATTAAAGATGTCGTTCCATTGTCTTCTGGCTTGCATTGTTTCTGACGAGAAATCAGCGATCATTCTTATCTTTGTTCCCCTGTAAGTAATGTGTCTTTTTTTCCCTCCTGGCTATTTTTAAGATTTTCTTCTTATTGGTTTTCATCAATTTGTTTATAATGAATTTTGGTGTTATTTTCTTTGCTTTTATCTTGCCTAGGATTCATTGAGCTTCTTGGATTTGGGGGTTGTTTTCATCAGACTTGAAAATTTTTAGCCATTGTCTCTTCAAATATTTCCCCCTTTTATTTCTTTTGTGCTTTAAATCACATGTACTTGGAGCAATCATAAAAATTTGGCTTTATACTAAGTAAAATATATGTAAGGTAAAACTGCCTGAAATTTTCCCACAGTTCACTGTATCTCTATTTTTCTTCCATTATTTCAGTTTGGGTAGTTTTGTTATGTCTCCTAATTCACTGATCTTTTCTTCTGCATTGTCTATTCTTCTATTAAGCCCATTCAGTGAGTTTTTCAAGTTGTATTTCTGATTTTTAAAGTCACATTTAATTTTTAAATTATATCTCCCATCTCTATCCTCATTATGCCTATCTTCATGCTTTCCTTTGCCAATGTTTATGATAACTATTTTAAAGTTCTTCTTTGCCAACTACTTCATCTCCACAGTTTCTGGGTTTGTTTCTGCTGATCTGTTTTCCCCCTGGTTATGAGTGACATTTTACCCCCTTTTCAAATATCAAATAATTTTGACTGGATGCTGGATTTCATGATTGTTACATTATTGAGTGTCTGAATTTTGCTGTCTTCCATTACAGTATGTTGAAGTTTGTTTTGGCAATCAAGCTACTTGTGGATTAGTCTGACCATTTCAAGGCTTATTCTTAGGTTTTGTTAGAATGAGCCTAGAGTAACTTTTTCTCTAATGTTAGTTTAACCCTATTACTAAGAAATGACCCTCCTAAAGTTTCTATGATTGCTCCAAGTATTTAGTGATTTCCCCCTACTCTGACTGGTTGGACCTTGAATATCTTCCAGCCCTGTACAAGCTCTAGGAATTGCTTAGCTCACAGAACTCTCACAGTTTTTCTCTATCCAGCCTCATAGAGTTTTACCTTACATACATTTTACTTAGTATAAAGCCAAAGACTCAAAAGGACTCCTATTTAGATTTCTGGATCTCTTTCTTTGCCTAGTTCCCTCTTCCTTCATACTCTATTCAGCAAATTTCAGCCATCTGGCCTCTCTAAACTCCAGTTTTTGTCCCCTCAACTAAAAACAAGACCATACTATTCTGCTTATCTTTCCCTTTCTAGGGCCAAGGTCTGGAAGTTACTGTCAGGAAGAAAGCCAGGGTGATTGTGGGGCTCACTGCATTATTTCTCTTCTCTCAAGGATCACTGCCCTGTACTACTTGGAGACCAGTTTCTGAAAATAGTGTTTCAAATATATATTTTTTAGTTCTCTAGTTGTTTATGGTGGGAAGGCAAGTCTAATACCAATTTTTCTATCATAGTTGAAAGAGTAATTGTTGTCTGCTGTGTTTTTATGCTATCTTTTTTGTTATTATTTTTGAATGGTGATCTAGTATGACTATATTTGCCACAAGATAAGGTATGCTGATTGTCCTTATATCAAAATCAATTGTAGTGCTTTTCCCAATTAGAAATACCTGTGTTCTATCCTCAAACATTTTGATTCAGAAGATCTAACATTGGTTCCAGACATCATATTTTTAAAATCTTGACAGTTGATTTTTGATACATAGCAAAACTTAAGATCACTGTTTTAGTAAGTTTAAATCCAATGTGGCTTTTATGAACTTAAATTGATTATCTACAACCTGTTCTTAACACAGCAACACTCAGTAAAAATGGAATGCAAAATTAAAGCAGTAGGACCTCCTGGATATCTCCATTATCCACAAAAAAGCATTTATTTCTGGCAGAATAGAAGTCTTTAGAGCCCTAATTACTGTGGCTGGTGCACACTTCAATTTGTTTACCTGTGCCATAGCAGTTGTTATATGTTTTGAATATTAATTCTTCCCATAAGTGTCATGAACTTCTGTAAAGCAATCTGCAGACATTCTTATAATACACTGATTTGGAGATGGTTAGCAGATTTTATCTTGTGTGCCAATTTTGTTTTGATTAGTGGTGACTTCTTGGAGCACAGTGATAAGAAGGATCCTAAGGCCAGTTCTGGACTCAGCAGGAAGGAATGCTGTAATGGATTAGTGATGTCTGTCATGAGTTTGGGATCAGAAGAATGCAGCACATGTTCCATGTTTTTGCAATTCATGTACTGGTTAAAGGCAGCTTTTTCCTCTATGTTACTCTAATTGTACAAGAAAACTTGTTACAACTCTTTATATTCAGCTTGACTTTACCATATATGGGAAACTAATCTCATAGTTATGAAGCGCCTATACCGAAATTATTTCTTCATCAATCTGTTCATGTACTCATTCATTTCCATTTCTTCTTTGTTGTGCTCTAAAAATATGATCAAAATGATACTATCTTATTATAGTAGTGGTCTCTGGTCTGTATTTCTTGTCTTCTTTTCAAATAAATAGACCTGTTGTATATTTTTAAATGTCAGTCGTTCTGGTAACTATATTTCCGTGAATCCCCAACTAGACACATAATCTTATACATGGTCTAACAATGGGATAGAAAGTTTGAAGGTGGGAAGCTCCTAGGTAGAAAATTTTCTAAAGTGTTTGGAACATAAATTAGCTCGGATCATTAATAATATATATTTTTGAATTATAATTGAATATGTAACTAAGTAAGAATATCTTCTCATCTGCAAATTCCCACGTATTAAGAATAGGCCAACATAGTCCTGTGAGTTTAAAATATGACACTTTAGAAAAATGTCCTACTTTCAAGCATATAAACCCCTTACATGTTTTTAATGATGGAATATTGTTAGCCAAGTGCTTTGGGCTACAGAATCATCCAGATGATAACTACTGGTTGTGATTCTCAGTCTGACTTATTACAGGTCACTTGGTTCTTTTCCTCATTCTGTGTGTATACTGAGCTTAGGAGTTGGGTATTAGCAGACTAGCAGAGATTTAATTGGGTATTAGCAGACTAGCAAAGGTTTAGTAGGTGGGTCACGTGTAAGAGAGAGATGCATTTCATTTGGGCAAGAAATTAATCTTTCCAGTCTCCATGTTTGTTGGGGATGGGATAGGAAATGGAATGGTAGAGGACGTCTTACTATTCATTTCAGTTGTTATCAATTTAAAACGCTTACTGGTGCCAAGAATCTAGGATGTTTAGCATAATATACAATCATGAAAAGAGCAGAATGTCAAGCACCAAGAAATATAGGTTCTAGTTCTAGCTTATCATATACTAACTCTGTGACCATATCAAGCTACTTAACCTTGCTAACTTTAATTTATTCTTATATGAAATGAGATTAATAATCTGCTGTACCTACCCTACAGAGTTGTTGGAGGATCAAGTGAAACCATGGTTGTAAAAACCTTTGAAAACTTATTAATGGCATACCATTGTGGTACTGTACATGCCATCTTATATTGGCTTATCTCTTATCCTAGGAAAATGGATGGAGTTGTATATCTTTGCTTGTCTTTTAAATTTTTTATAGATTAAAAAGATGATTCTGTTAGAAAGCTTTCTGATGATGGTTCTGTTTAGAAAAAAGAAAATAGTAAAATATCTGTTTTTACTAGGGCATGAATAATTTCAATGAGAAGTATTCATCAGCTGTGCTTTACTTTACAGCTTGGAATCCCATCCACTGCCAGCACATTGAATGCCACAATGCAATTAACAAACCAGCTGTGAAGGTACTGTTTTATTAGACCTGGTGCCATACTGTATTGTCAGTGGTCAAATTGCTGAATGAAGTGGAGTAGATTGCATCCTTCTCTGTAAAGCAGAGGCATGTCCTCTGTAGTAATTCGAAGTACCTCCATATTCAATCTGATTGTACTTTGGCAGACTGGTCAAGAGAGAGCAATGAATAGCGTTGTCTGCAGTTTTGGCTATGCGTTCGTAGCCAAGTGCTATGTAGCACTGAGCTAATTATCTATCAGAAGGATCCTAGTAAAATGCTTACATGGTCCTTAACTGGTTTCTATTTCAGCTAATGAACTCAGGGAAATGTATTTTCTCTCTGTTTTCATGTGTATGCTACAAATCATGAGTGCTTATGCAAATTCAGGAGTGGTAGGACAAAAAGATAAAATTGTTAATTTTTAGCTCATATTACAAATATGACTTAACTGAAATGACTGAAAGGTGTCTGGACAGCATATACATGGAAAGTTACATTAAAAGTAAGGAAACAGTGGTTTACAGAGTCAAGTCATTTTCCTAAGGTTGCCAGTTAGCAACAAAACTGGAGACAGAACCAGGTATCTGGACTCCTAACCTTATTGTCCTTCTACCACACCAAATTGGTTCTGTCCTAGTATAACCCTGAATCTTGAAAGTTGAATGTGAAGAAAAATAATCACACCTTTTAAGAAAATTATTTATGATATATTTATTGGATATAAAATATTTGGCTGGATGAACCTGTGTCTGGATTTGCAAGGTATAATTTTTATATTATGAGGAGTAGGAGTTACCTGAAGTTATCAGAGTTCACAGTTACTTTGGAGAACCAGGTGTCCTGCGGGTTTGCTTCTTTTGTTTTATAGATAGCCTGTAGAAAACCAAATACTAATAGAAAACTAACACCATCTCTTTATAGAAACAAAGTAGGAAAGGTGAAATGAGATCCAATAAATATAAAAGAAACCAAAAATGTGTTTCATGAACCAAAAACTGGCAGAGGAGTGCCGGTAATAACACTGTCATCTAGATACATTATACTAACAAAGGATGGCCTTGTATTATTATTTTTAATCTCTGCTTTTGTTGAAGGCAAATTGAATGGATTGATATTAAGAGCAGGTAACTGGCTGGGTGTGGTGGCTCGAGCCTGTAATCCCAGCACTTTCAGAGGCCGAGGCGGGTGGATTGCCTGAGGTCGGGAGTTTGAGCCCAGTCTGGCCAACATGGTGAAACCCCGTCTCTACTAAAAGTACAATAAAAAATAAGCTGGGCGTGGTGGTGTGTGCCTGTAATCCCAGCTACTCGGGAGGCTGAGGGAGGGGAATTACTTGAACCAGGGAGGTGGAGGTTGCAGTGAGAGGAGATTGCACCACTGCACTCCAGCCTGGGCAACAGAGCAAGACTCCATCTCGAAAAAAAAAAGAGCAGGTAATGATGACCCACACAATGGAAGTGTAGGCCCTTCCCATTCTACTGTGTGCACCCCACTGTTGACCTTCAATAGACATTTGGGGTTCAGAGGTGCTCTTCTTTGGAGTGAGGATATTTTGAGCTGCTCACATGTGAATTCATAGTTTATTCATATAGTTCAGCTCGATTTTTCACAATGATGAGACTTTCATGGTTCCTTCTTATTATCCTTCTTTTCTTCCTCCTGCCTAAGTTATAGCTCCTTCTTTTGGGTCACCCAGACATCAACATGAAGGGGATCCTTTCTGTCTGGTTTCTGCAGTTATTTTTCCTTGATTTTATGTCAGACTGCATTCTCAGGAGTCCTCTGATATCCTGGTTAGTAATGCTTTCTGGCCTCCTACTCACAGAAAGCATCATGAATTAGATTTTCTACTTCTTTTCTAGGCAAACAGCCCAGTCCATTCCACTGAGTTGGCCTCACTTTTCTTCCTGAAGTGAGTCAGCCATGATAGGTCAAACCATCCACTTTCTGTCATTTTATAAAAATAGAGGCAAAATTCACATAATGAACAATGAATTATTTTAAAGGGAATAATTCAGTGTCATTTAGTATATTTACAATGTTTGCCAACACCACCTCTTTCTAGTCCCAAGACATTTTCATATCCCCCAAATCTTACTTTCTGAACTCCAGTTTCCTTAAAGACCCTTCTTTTCTATTTTAATTCTACACTTTGCAGAAAGGTAGCATTCTCATTAAGTCTTCCTGTGCTGGGGCCATTTTTGCACTACAATAGGTCTGGCTCAGTATTGCTCTTGCTTTACAGTGTGAGTCCGCCCAATCCACATCATCACCGTATGACATGCAAATCAAGGGTATCAAACATCCAAATGCTTACAAAATAATGTTAAGCATAAAGTTATGCAATTTTATAGTATGATGTTTAAAAGTTTTAAAAAGTTTAAAGGTTACATAGTGAAAAACAATCAGTAATACTTATCATGGTGAAAAACAATCAGTAATACTTATCAGAGTGTTACTATGGATTGCATCAAGATGGAAGGTTAATGTGTTAATTGAATTTTCTTTTTTCCCTTTCTCGGTTTTCCAAAGCCTCTACATTGGGCATATGTCATATTTATAAACAAAAAAATCCACTTATTCATGTGACACACAGATATGAACACATTAGTGTGGATGTAAACCAACCTGTTCAGACTAGAACAAAACTCACTAGACCAACTACAGATCTGATAGGTCATGCTAAGTAAGTTATTTAAAAAGTCAGAGGTTGACTAGCTAATCTCTAATGATTATTTATAGTTTTAGCATCCTAGGAGCTTCTCCTTTTGAGTAGTGTGAAAAAGTATCTTTACGTGAGAGAGGTATCAATGACTCACTAAAAAAGAGGGTAGAATAACATATAATATGTAAGAGGAGCTCCACATGGGGGGCATGGGAAAGATTTGGGGAAAATTGATTAATCCTCACCAAAAGCCTAATATCTCTGTGATAGTGAGCTGTACTGCTAAGCAAGAATGGTATACCAAATAGAAAAATATTATCCATTTTTGTTTTAATAGGCTGCAAAAAAGTACTTTTTAGGCAAAAGCCAAGAGTTGTAATAGGATTAAATGTGAAAATATGTTGGAACTTAAAGTTTACGATATCATACTCTGCTTTTGATTTTACCTGGTTCTACTTGAAGTCCACTTTATGAAATACTTTGAAGCCCAGATAATTATCTAAGGCAGGTTCTGGCAAACTATGGCCCAGAGCCAAATCTGGCCTGCTGCCAGTTTTTGGAAATAAGGTTTTATTAGAACACAGCTATGTTAATTTTCTTACATATTTATTGTCTATGGCTGCTTTCATGCTCCAACAGCAGAATTGAGTAGTTGTGACAGAGACTGTGGCCCACAAAGCCTAAAATATTTACAAAAAAAGTTTGCCAATCTCTGATTTAACACACCGCAAAGCAGTTACTCATTACGTCTAAGGAAGCATGAAACTTACATGAGGAAAATTTTCACTCTGAGCCTTTGTCATCGGGGAATATATAGTTTACAAATGTTGACGGTAAATTGAGCAATTCTAACTAGCTTCCTCAATCATTGAAGTGTCTGTTTTCACTTTGAATTACAGGCTGTTTGGGTTATAAGTTTAGGTGATTTCCCCCCTTCAAATTTGTGAGAACAACTAAAAAGAGTGTAGTTCCAGAAAAATTTGTGTATTAGGCATCTTAACTGCTTACTCAGCTAGCACATGAATTGATTATTTTTTCGAGGGTAGAAACAGAATTCAAAATGGCTTTTGTAAATTATAGAAATTTAAATTTATGCAAAGTACAAAATGCAGTTAGTTATCTAGATTTTTTGTTCATTTGATTTAAAAGATCCAGATATTGAAATATTCTGATGATCAACTGTGAAATTAACACTTTGCATCTCTGTGCTTAGGCTCGTGAAACCCAGCTGTATCAACCAGTTCCAGCAAGGGCAAACAAATTATAGGTCATGTGTAGGAAAAAAAAAAAAAACACATGAAAAAGAAAGGTTGGATGATTGATACAGAACTAAGATTCCAGAGTAAGAGAAGTGAACCACTCAATGTTAGATTTAATGCCAACTTTTTTGAATAAGGTATGCCTTAAGAAGCAAAGTTCTCTACCACTAGCACTTTGGTATCAGTTATGATTCTGAAATCTTAATAATATATTTTCCTTTTCCTAATGAGAAACTACTGTTGTTTACCACTTTAAAGAAGGAATTAGTGTGAGTAATATATCGCCAATTTGAGCAGCAATTGAACAAGATGATATTTTGGATCTTTGTGGAATGAGAGTGAATTTCTTGACACTATTTATTACTTGAATTGCAAGTTAACAGGAGAAATGAAAAACCACGGCAGCCACATTTAAATCCTCAGGGTGGACTCATCAGCTAGTCCAGGGAGAAACATTTATCGGTAAAAAGGGTTTTACTAAAAATGTTTATTCCACCTCGCTTGTGGAAAATCTGTCATTATTGAAGCATTTGTGCTTAGAATATAGGGAATGTGATACCCAGGAACAGGAGAGTTCATTCTGTCTTTTCATATGTTTCAGATGTGTATAGACCCTTCCCTGTCAGTAGCGTTGGGTGATAAACCACCCCCGTTGTATCTCTGTGAAGAATGCAGCGAGAGGATTGCAGGGTAGGTATAAGAGTTCTTAAAGAAAAGGAAATAGGACAACAATAAGAAGATAAGAAAAATCATTTGGACTTAAATTAGTTACATTGCTAAAGTTTCTCTCTAGCCTCTCTGATTTTTAAAGGTTAATTATTCTGATACTTAACATATAGCAAACTTTCACTGGGAACATTACAGCTTTGAAAAGTTGCAATATTTCTCTTTATGTGACATGAGAAGAAGGCAATTCCATTTAATAAATCAGCTCCAATTTTGGAGTAACCCTGTTAAAAAGGCCACAGAGAAAAACAGATGTAAAAGAAAACTGTGGTTTCCAAACATGACATACAAATTATATGGGTTCTTTTTGCTTGTTTGTTTCACAGAATCACACTCAGCTTTGTACAGATCATGCAGTATTTTGGTTGGCTTAATTAGCATCTGGAAAGTATCATTTAAAGATAACTGAATATGATGAAGTGCCTATAATTTATAATTTAGCTGGAATGCATTAGACATTTTAAGAGTTTATTATGATAGTGCTCTTAATTATACTTCCTTTCTATTAAAAGCCTTTCAGCACTAGTGTGCAGCTTATAAACATTCATGTGGAAGGAGAACATTTCAATGAAGCTCAAAAATGAATTTTGTTTTTTTCAATAGGGACCACAGTGAGTGGCTGATTGATGTTCTTCTGCCACAAGGTATGGTTTACTTAGGAAAGGATGAATAATGAGTAATCATGACTAATGACATAGTTGCTTTATCTCCTTTTGTACTATTTTATTTTACAAAGACAGTCACCAAAGTATTGTATTGTATGAATATTCATTGATATGAAGCATAATATCAATGCCTTGCTTATAATGTACCCACACATTTAATAATGCGGGAAGTAGTATCATCCCTACCAAAATTAAGGGTAGATATTGGAATTAGGATTCCATACGACTAAAGCCCTGCCAAATTATGTCTTCAGGGATTTTCTGTATCTGTAACAGGTGTTGTCAGTGATAAGTTGCTGCACCAGGTCTTACTAAGGAGAAGAAAAAGAATAAGGAACACTAGCTGGGAGAGAAATGAATAATTGGCCTTTCCCCTGCTACTATTACTAGTACCATGTTGTGGGGGGGAAATCATTGAATGTCTCTGAGGCTCAGTTTCCTCATCAGTAAAATGGGGATAAAGTATATCTAACCCATCTCAATGGAAAGACAAGATTGCAATGCTTCTTGTAGTTTGTCAGAGTTGTCAAAGCTATGCCCTATAAGTTGGTAGGTCCCAGACAGAGCATTTCTCCACATATGGGAGAGGCAGCTATTCCAGCCATGTCATTGGAGGCTAAAATGACAAGGAAAAGTACTGACAAACACAGAGGAAAAATGAAAGGTGGAAAGAGCTGCAGGCATACTAAGTTTGAGTAGAGATCGGGGCACAGGAAGAACTCGATGGTATATGACTTCAGATGTAGAAAATAAATGGATTCCCATCCTAGCTAACATGGTGAAACCCCGTATAAAAAATTAGCCAGGCATGGTGGCACCTGCCTGTAATCCCAGCTACTCAGGAGGCTGAGGCAGGAGAATCACTTGTAAAATGGAGCAATAATATCAGCCTCTATATCCTTCAAAGGCACATTTTGAAAATTTACATAAAAATATCTGTAGGTCAGGTGCAATGGCTCATGCCTGTAATTCCAGTACTTTGGGAAGTGGAGGCGGGCTGATGGCTTGAGCCTAGGAGTTTGAGACCAACCTGGGCAACGTGGTGAAACTCTGTCTCTACTAAAAATACAAACAAACAAACAAAAAATTTAGGAGGGCAGGAGAGAAAAAACAATTTAGCCAGGCATGGTGGCACGTGCCTGTAGTCCCAGCTACTTGAGAGTCTGATGTGGGAGGATCATTTAAGCCCAGGAGGTTGAGGCTGCAGTGAGCCGTGATCATGCCACTGCACTCCAGCCTAGGCGACAGAGAAAGACCTTGTCTTAAAAAAAACAAAAACAGGCCGGGCGCGGTGGCTCACGCCTGTAATCCCAGCACTTTGGGAGGCCGAGGTGGGCGGATCACAAGGTCAGGAAATCAAGACCATCCTGGCTAACATGGTGAAACCCCGTCACTACTAAAAATACAAAAAATTAGCCGGGCGTGGCGGCGGGCACCTGTAGTCCCAGCTACTCGGGAGGCTGAGGCAGGAGAATGGCGTGAACCTTTGAGGCGGAGCTGGCAGTGAGCCGAGATCGCCCCACTGCACTCCAGCCTGGGCAACAGAGCGAGACTCCGTCTCAGAAAAAAAACAAAACAAACAAACCCCAAAACAACAACAACAAAAAACCTGTAAAAAGATTTGGGCTCATATGGGTAAATTTAACTTTTTTTCCTTTAAATTATGCTACTTAATTAGTGATCATCCAGTGCTCTGAGGTAAAAGCCATAGTCAAGTTATAAAATATAAGTTATAAAATCCTTTTTAAATATGTTGCTGAGTTCTGGTTGTCATCTCCAGTGATATTCATCTTTAGAGGAATATTGGCAATAACTTTTCATTACTTATACAGACATGTGACACTAACCTCAGATGATTTAAGATAAACTCTAGGATATCAAACTGTCAAGTAACCATTAATTATACAAAACCAGTTTTTAAACATGAGTTGTAAATTTTGTTGCTTTTTCATCCACTAGTTTAAGATTACCAGACAGGGTTTGGGAGACATTTACCTTTGATCTTTTAAATAAATTGTAACATAGACTATAAATAAGGTGTTAGTTCATTTTTTGAGTACATACTATTTCAGAGTACATATTAGCCAATTCTTGGAAAATTTATTTTCAAATGCTCTCCAGCATCAGTTTTCATGGAAATAATTGATGTGCCCACTGAAAAGAATTCTTATGCATTCATTATGTAGACAGTAATTTGACAGTCTTGCTCCAACTGGTCTACCCGTGGGTTTGAAAATTGCTTTCTCTTAAATAACCCTACAGCTGGTTTTACACACACACGTTAAGAGTGATATAAATTGATAATTTAAATCTAGGTAGTCCAAGTTAGTAATTTTGTCTACAGTTTTGATATTGCAAATAATCCGATGGTGATGCTGTAAATATATCACATTAACCCAGTGTCATAGTATAATGGGAAGAACAGTAAATGGGGAATTTGGAGACTTGAACTCAAGGTCTGCCCCTACCATTGATAGCTTGTGTGACCTTGAAGAATTTACCTAACCACAGTGGTTCTCAGTTTTGTCCTCTGTAAAATGGGGAAATAAGATTAAATTTGTTTGGCTTTAACAAGATTTGATTTCTAAGTCATGTCTGAAAAGATTAAATTATTTGTAAAAGTAGCAGTGTGCAGGTGTTTTTAACCTCACTAAACATACACTACTAGATGAAAAGAGATCTATTTCATGATTTCTGAGGAAACTAGAAGCCAATAAAAGTAGACGATAATTTATGAGCCAAGTGAAAATCTGTTTGGGCCAAGTCCAGAGGTCATATTACTAAGATTTAAAAGATTCCCCCTTCATGGCTGCCCTTATTTTAAATGGGCTCTAGACCTGGCATGGTGGCTTACACCTGTAATCCTAGCCTTTTGGAGGGAGGTCAAGGCAGGAGGGTTGCTTGTGGCCAGGAGTTGAAGAACAGCCTGAGAAACATAGTAAGACCCCATGTCTACAAAAAAAAAAAAAAAAAATTAGCTGGGCATGGAAGCCCACACCACTGCCTAGCTGCTTAGAAGGCGAGTCAGGAGGATCACTTGAGCCAAGGCGTTCAAGAGGCTGTGGTGGGCTATGATGGTGCCATTGCACTCCAGCCTGATTGACAGAGTGAGCCACTGTCTCAAAAAATAAATTAATTAATTAAATAAAAATTAGAGGGGCTCTCTTTCTTTGTTGATATTTTGTGTGCCTTCCCCTTACAGCTGAAATATCTGCTATATGTCAGAAAAAGGTAAGAGCAAACCATTTGTGTCGTTGGGGCATGATTTATTGTGTTTGTATGTAAATTCATTTATTGACATCTGCCTCATTTCTGCACCGTGGTTTCCAGTATATGCATGCCATTGTATTTGTGGAGGGGTAAAGGAAATAATTTAGCATGCAAGATTGCTACATCCAAATGGTCTCTATTTCCATTTCTGCTTTTGCTCACCCATCTTATGCACAATGCTTTTGTTCAGTAATTTGCAATAAAAGCCTATGTGTAATTCTGGGATAGGAGTCCAATTAGAAAAAGGTTTGAATTATACTGCAATTTATGGTACTTAACTTTAGTTAAGGATATATCTTGTATGCTAGAAATCTCAATTGTTTTGAAGTGGAGTGCAAATAGTCCAATTTGTATGTGTGAAAAACATACCCAGACTGACTGTATATGGAAAGTATTTATGTGTAAGTTGAACAATACATGTAGCTAAAGATTCTTCCTTTAATATTTCCTTTAGTTTTTTTTTAATAATAGTTTCTCTAAACCACCTCCATCTTCTCTTCTTGTTTTAATAATTGAAAAGAGTAAGAGGAGGCAGTATGATGTCATAAAAAAGAATTTTTGACTAGTTGGTTGAGATTCTTGGACTCTGGCCAGTTCTGTTCCCTCCTACCTATGTGGACCTTGCACACATCATTTAAACTTTTTGGGATGTTGATTGTGAGTAGGTATATTGGAGGGCTGTCTCAGTTATCTATGGATGCATAACAAACCATCTGAAAACATAGTGTCTCATATGGCAACCAATTATTTAATCACAATTCTGTGGATTGGCAATTTGTCCTATGCTCAGCTCAGCTAAGCAGTTCTTTTGATAAATTACTCTAGGCTCACTCATGTATTTGCAGTCAGTTGGTGGGTAAGCTGGAATTGGCTGGCCCCAGATGGTCTCACTCCCATATCTGGGGCTAAGCTGGGATGGCTGGAATGGTGAGATGGGTGGGGTGTCTGGGCCTCTCTTTCCACATGATGTCTCATCGTCCAGGGGCTAGGCTGGACTTGTTCACAGGTGGCAGTCTTCTGAGAGAGTGAGAGAGCCTCACTCACTCAAGGCCTCTCAGAAGTCACACAGCATCATTTCTGTAGCATTCAACAGGTCAAAGCAAGTTCCAAGGCCGGCCCAGATTCAAAGAGTGGAGAAATAGGATCTTTGTGGTTATTGAAGGATTGGCAAGAATTTTATGGTCACATTTAATCTACCACAATCTGTCCTTTGGACATAATTATTTACCTTCTTTCCATATGCAAAATATGCTCACCATTTTATATGACCTCCACAAGTCTTATTCATTTATGGCTTCAGGCTTAAAGTCTAGTATCTTGTGATCTGCATGTGATATGTCACTGATTAAACTTCTTGGTAACTGATTCTCTTGATTCAGAGTCCTGTGAACTAAGAAGGAAAGTTATCTTCCCTCTCTGCACCCAAGACACAATGTTGAGACAGGGACAGGATCATAGCAATAAGCTTCTGTTCAAAAAGAGGAAGGGAAAGCAGATAGCAGTCATTGGTCTATAGCAGCTCCAGCCATAAACACATCAACAGTTCCTCTGTCTCCAGGAATAGCATACATGCCTTGATTATGATCTGGTTTTGTTTCCTAGAAATAGTTCCCTAATCTGTTCTTGTCCTCCTGAGCTCTTGGCTCCACTCTCTGAGACATCTTTTCTTTTCAATAAGAAATGGTCCATGTTGCAGCTGAGTAACTTTCTCAATCTGCTTCGTGCATGTAGGAGTTAGGGTCCCATATATCTCTTTTCATTTAGAACTGCGTCTCTTTAGTTTTAGCTGGTGGTGCTTTTGCTAGTATGACTTTCTTAAAAACTTTGTGGATTTTTAGTGAATCTCATTGGGGTCCTGAGCCCCCAAAGCCACATCTATAATGATTTTTGAGGCAGTCCTTCCTATATTTTGGGCGTTTCAGTGTGCCCTTAAAATTATTAGAAGCCCTGTTATAGCTGAGAGCCTCAATTAGACATCGCCTTATAACTTTCTGAAGCCTTAACAAAGGATCTTAGAGTCATAGACCATATTCTTCCTTTGATCTTTATCCTGAGGCCATTCTTACTTTGAGAATCGTTTCTAAGCTTGTGGGACCAGGATTTCAAACAGTTCTATTTTCTAAATCAGCATGTTTTGGCTCTGGGGACATACGTAACATATTTGACACCCAGGGTAGATCATTTTTTAACACTTCCCTCTTTATATGACAAACTTATTTTTAGTAACAAGCTTCAAATTAGCACATTTTTATTGCTTATCCTTTAATAAACATTGTGTTTTACACAGACATTAATTTGGAGAATTTCCATTAAGTTCATAACAGTTCAGAATTGTATGAGCTTGCCCTGGGTAGTTTGTATTCTACCTCTTTGTACTGCATATTCCCTGAATGGTATATTTGAAATAAGCAATGATAGCATCGTGATTGGAAAGATGAAGAGACAGACCTTGATTATTTCAATTCTGTGATTTTGTGAGACCACTTGGAGTTATTTCTATGTGTTTAAAATTCAAAGCAGTGAAGCAAAGTGGTTGGAGTGAACATTTGAAAACATGTCCAGCTGAATCTCCATCTAAGGGAAGCCTCTCTAGTTTAGTTTGGAAATGAATGAGCTGAATCCACATGGGTTGAGGCCTTTCAAATATATTATCAAAACTTAGTAGGAATCCTAGCAATTATTTAGAACTTCGATCAACTGAAGATTATTTTTGGGGAAATGTATTTTATTGCTGACATTGTTTAGAATTGATGGCATGTGGTAATAAAGCAGGTTGACTTTTAGTCGGTATTCCAGATATTATCATATGCAGTGTATCCAGATACTCCATAAGAAATTGCTCAAAATTTACATCGTAAAACAGCAACATTTAGTTATGTTCATAGACTCTGTGGATCAGAGATTCGGACAGGGCATGATGGAGATAGCTTGTCTCTGTTTGATGATGTTTGGGGCTTCATCTGGGAAGACTTGAATGCTGAGGGTTTTAATTATCTAGAGGTTTCTAGATCATACGTTTGGGCTCTGGGATGGGGTGACTTGAAGACTAGGCTAAGCCAGCGCCATTGACTCAAGACTGAAACATGGTCTCTCCCTGTGGCTTGGCTGTCTCATGGCATCCTGGCAGAGATCTGGGAGGAGTATCTAATGAGGAAGTTTCTGAAGAGAGAACATCTCAAGGCAGCAAGTGGAAGCTGCGTGTCCTTTTATAAGCATCATTTCTGTCATGCTATATTGGTTGAAGCAGTTGCAAGCCCATCCAGATTCAAGGGGAGGGAAACTATCCTTGACTTCTTGATGGGAGGAGTGTGGAGAACCCGCCTCTGGTCACAGATTATTTACATTCTTTCCACTTGCAAAATCCTGACTGGAGGTCCAAGATCTTCTCATCAAAATCAAGTTCAGGTGTAGATGAGGCTTTTTGGGCTTGGCTCCTTAAGTATTCTTCCTTTTGCTTTGAATACTTGTGAATGAAAGAAATGTTATCTGCATCCTGCACAGCTAACATGCAATAGTGATACAGGGGTAGGATTACTGCAGTAGAGACTCATGTAAAAAGTGAGGAAATGAGAGGAAGGTAGTCATGTCCGAATCTCTGATCCACAGAGCCTATGAACATAATTAAATGTTGCTGTTTTATGCCGCTAAATTTTGAGTAATTTCTTATGGAGTATCTGGAGTCCTTAGAAATTCTGAAAGTCACAGGGCACATGTCACTTGTTCCTTAGTTAGGTGCGAGTCCTGCTTCCTGGGAGCTGGTCTCTTTGGCTCTAGGCCCCACCCTCTGGGAGATGCCCATCTTTTCCTTCTCATAAAAAGTAGCCTGTCATTTACAGCTAAGTAGTTTTATCAGCCTATTTTTTGCTTATAGAAGTTTGGAAATCCCAAAACATCTTCTTTTTTGGGCTGTCTCTGTCCCTTTCAATCTACAATGGTATAATTCCATTAAAAACATGGGCTCTTATGTCTCAATTTATAAACCTGCTTCATTAAACGTGAGTCAAATGCACAAACCTCTTTGGGATAAGTCCTTCTACACCTTATGCTCTCTATGAGGCTCCTGGGAATGATGACTTACGATTCTTAGAACCCTTATTGTTGAATGAAGTGGATGCTGAGGTATGCCCTTAAGATCCTTAGAAGGCACCCCCCACCCACCCCCGGCTTTTTTTTTTTTTTTTTTTTGTCTATCTAAAAGAGTCAATGGTGTACCATATTAAATTCTGAGTTCTTAACAAAGGGTTTTATATTCGAGCCCTTGCTATCATTTTTTTCCTACTGAGACCACATTTTCCTGATAGGGCCCTGGATTTGATGTTTGCCTTGAAACTTTTTCTTACCTTGAGAATCCTATGCTGGCTGGAAGGACTGTCCTGAGCTCAATATTTTCCCTTTAAATTCTAGGTGAAGACAGATTAATTCATTATTTTATCTCCCTCCTCTCACAAGCTCTGAGTTCATAAAGCCTTAGAGTCTAACGCCCCCTTGGGGGTGTTCACATCTTCACAAGCACTATTGAAAGAGACATTGACTATGTGGTGGTCGCATCTCTCATAGGCTTGGGGCACGTCTCCAATAGCTTCATGTGGGTGCTGCCTCACTCCTCTGCCTCCCGCCAGGGCAGCTTGAACAGTACCACCCCTGAACTTGGAAATGTCTTACGCTCCACCACTTTTCTCGTTCCCATCACTTCATTTGCGGTTCCCTTCCTGCGGTTGATGTCAATGCTGACTCTACGAAGGGTTCTGGCTGTGTATGTCCCTGTGGTCTTCACAGAGTGCCGGTGGGCATGGGAAGGCCTGGCTTGAGGCCATCACTTTGGCACAGCACAGTCTCTGTCTTTGAATGCAGCATCTACCTGTCCTTGAATGCGACAAGGACAGAGGAGCTGTAGCGGAAATCTACTCTTTCAGGTGGATAAAATAATTTTGAAAGAGTTTATTCCGGGAGTTAACATCATTTCTTTTCTTCCCTGATGTGCTGTGATGTTGCACTCTCTGATCCATGGTTCTGTTTTTTTCTTTATATTTCTGCTGAAAAACTCTTGGAATGTTAACTTGAAATAATCCAGAAAGTGTCCTCCTCCTCGCTCCCCCCATGGCTGAGGTAACTTTACACAGGGCTTCCCAACACAATGCCACTGATATTTAGAGCATTTCTACTACTCACAGGAATAGAAAACACTCCTCGCCTTTATTTTTTAACTATGACTGAAATCTAGGTAGTGGGAGAATAACCTGCGCTTTGGAAACTAGTGGCCCTTGAATGTGTTGTCACTTCGAGTGGCCCCTTAAGTTTTCATTTATTCTGATTCTTAGCCAAGTTTACCTCGGTGGTCAATTTTAATTGATTTCACTTTCTTGGCTTCTAGAACTGCAGTTCCCACGTTAGAAGAGCAGTTGTCACCTGCTTCTCAGCAGGGTGCTGTGGTCGTCACGGAAACAGGCCTGTTCGGTACTGCAAGAGGTGCCACTCAAATCATCACAGTAATGAAGTGGGGGCCGCTGCGGAGACTCACCTCTATCAGACCTCTCCTCCGCCCATCAACACGCGGGAATGCGGCGCTGAGGAGCTGGTCTGCGCCGTGGAAGCCGTGATCAGGTAACACGCAGTTTCTTAGTAGCTGCCTCTGACAACTCCACCTTGCTTTGAGCTAAGCTCCGCACACTGAGATGTGCATATTTAATGCAACCTCAAATGCCCTTAGCCCAGATGCTCACCTTCCCACAGTGTTGTAATGATGCTATTTTAATTCATGAATTCAATGAATATTTTTACGGATGCCAGTTATGTGCCACGCACTATGCTGGGCACATGGGAGGCAGGAGGGAATAAAATATAGTCTCTGCCCTTAAGTTACCCATGTAGGGACTAGAAAAACATAAGCACGTCATTGTGGTACGGTTTGGTGAGCTCAGTAATAGCATTGAGGAAAGGGCGTTAGGGGAACTAGGTGAAGGGGCCAATCAGAGTGAAGCGTGTGAATAGGCCTGGCTTGACTGACAGCAGCATTAACCAGTCAGGAGGCGGGGAAGGCAACAAGGGCGAATTACCTGCATAGGAAACAGGTGCGGGACAACTCCAAGTAATTCCATGCTGGGATAAACCACGACCCTGTGTAGTCAGACAGGGACAGCAGGGACAGGTCCTGCAGGCTACTGGGTTTTTCTTCTTCTATCACATGACCAAAAAAAAAAAAAAAAAAGCAATTGAAATAACTTCTACCCTTCCTCTCTTTTTGTCTGATACTCATAGAGGCAAGATTTTTTGTTTGCTTGTTTTTGTTTTATTTTGTTTTGTTTTGAGACAGAGTCTTGCTCTGTCGCCCAGGCTGGAGTGCAGTGGTACAATCTCGGCTCACTGCAACCTACGCCTCCTGGGTTCAAGCGATTCTCCTGCCTCAGCCTCCTGAGTAGCTGGGATTACAGGTGCGCACCCCCACGCCCGGCTAATTTTTGTATTTTTAGTAGAGACGGGGTTTCACCATGCTGGCCAGGCTGGTCTTGAACTCCTGACCTCAGATGATCCACCCGCCTGGGCCTCCCAAAGTGCTGGGATTACAGGCGTGAGCCACCGTGCCTGGCTCCAGGCAAGATTTTTTTTTTTAATTAAATAAATAATATGGCCGGGCGCAGTGGCTCGCGCCTGTAATCCCAGCACTTTGAGAGACCGAGGCGGGTGGATCACGGGGTCAGGATTTCGAGACCAGCCTGACCAACATGGTGAAACCCCGTCTCTATTAAAAATACAAAAATTAGCTGGGCGTGTTGGCGCCTGCCTGTAATCCCAGCTACTCAGGAGGCTGAGGCAGGATAATCGCTTGAACCTGGGAGGCGGAGGTTGCAGTGAGCTGAGATTGCGCCACTGCACTCCAGCCTGGGAGACAGAGCAAGACTCCGTCTCAAAAAAATAAATTAAAAAAATAATAATAATATTAGAATCTAAGTGTTAAAGGATAGAGGCCAAGTCTTTTCTGTTTCTCTTATCCCAGTGGCTGACACGTAGTAGAAATACAATTAATGTTTGTCAAATCGAATATTATGGAAAGTTTGAAAAGAAATAAAAACACTCAGCCATACTGATGATGATGTTATCACCATCATCATCAGTGTTGCTTATGTTCTAATTTTATTTAAATGTATGTTTCATTTCTATAACTGTAATCAGTGTATCCACAATTCTTTTTGAAATAACATTACACTATTAGCTCTTCTCCACGTCGTTGCATGGTTTCCATATTTATCATTTGTAGTGGATATAATATTAATCTAGCTATAACTTACTTTTCTCTATCGTTACATATTTAGACTGCTTCCAGTTTTTTACTTTTATAAGTAACGCTTTGAGAAATATTTTTGTACATAGTGCTGTACCTATATTTTTTATTTTCTTAGGGTAGATGACCAGATATCAAATACCTTGGTTCAAAGGGTATGAATATTTACATGGCTCTTAATACATTACCAAGTTGCTTTTCAAAGCATGTGTATAGATTTACAATGCCAACACCATGTATAAAACTTACCAATACTGAGTGTTGCTTTTTAAAATTGGAACTTGTTTAGCAAACGGAAAAAAGAATTTTCACTGTTTCACTTTCGTGTCTTTGAATATCAGATGGTGAATATTTTTCCATTTGGGCACAAGCTCCTCAACCTTTCCTTGTATCATGCATTTGCTGTCTGCACAGTTTCATGATAGATATAGAGGAAGCATTGACTTATAGTGGGATGGTTGGTGAACCAGAAGTCAGAAAGGATCAGTTCTGCTTGATGCTAATTGATTGGAGGAACTAGCCTCTTTGTGCCTCAGTTTGTTCATCTTTGAAATGGGAATGGAGTATAAAATAGTAAGAAAATAGAATGAGGCATCCTGGAGTAACTCAGGATGCACAGTACTCAGTAACTCAGTAACACAGTACTCAATTTAAAGAAGAGCAATCCAGGATGCTTGAGTACTCGTGAGGTACTTCCTCTGAATGGGTCATGATCTAGAATGTGTTTTTTCACAGTCTAACTTGAAATCACACTGCTCTTTGGCAGCTTGTTGAAAGAAGCCGAGTTCCATGCTGAGCAGCGAGAACATGAGCTGAACCGGCGGCGGCAGCTGGGCCTCTCCTCTTCCCACCATTCCCTGGATAATGCTGACTTTGATAACAAGGACGATGATAAACACGATCAGAGGCTGCTCAGTCAATTCGGAATATGGTTCTTAGTAAGAAAAAGAAGTTAACTATTCTCCACTTTCTTATTTCTCATTTCAAAATTGTACTGAAGAGGAATTTCTCCTGTTCTTTTAAAAGGAGTAAATAGTGAAAAATTAACCTTAGCAATGGGGCTGAAGCTATGGCAATAGCTGTCAATCCTGAGCTGCATGTTAGATTTAGCTAGGAAAGCTTTTAAAAACTAACAATGCCCAGATCGCATTCCAGAATCTTGGGAATTTTTTAAAAAGCTCTTGGCCATTGATTTTGATGAAGAGCCAGGTGTTAAACCTACAGTATCAGGATCTAGACTGGTACAAGTCGGGAAGTTGCTAGTATATATTGTCAAGTACTGGATTCAATAACATATACAGATAATTCACATCCCATCACCTATGTAGATGAAATTTTTCTTGAAAGTTCAGTCTCTGTGGAGCTTTTTGTGTGTTTATGATATGTCTATGTACACCAGAGACGTTATAGCCAAAGTAATGCAAGGAATATGATTGCTATTGACTGATTTAATTTCAACATCTATTCAGTAGAGATCAAACATACAGATCTAACGTCCCAAGCAAGCTGAATTTACCAATGCGGCAGAGAAGCAGGCTTTTGTTTTGCTCATTGGAGACATTAATTCAGTCTCCATAGTGATATATCTCTATTGTGCTTGCATATAGTTCCGTGAAAGAGTCTTTACCAAATTGGCATTTAATTGTTGATTTCACATATCTTGCTTCCTAGAAGTTAGTATTTAATGACACAATGGCTACTGCTGTGAACTCTTTGAAGGCAAGGACAATGTTTTATTTATTTTTTTTATTCCTGGACCCTGCCATAGTACTCAATAGAAGATTAGTTCATAGTAAATGAATGAATGATGTTTTAAAAAGTCTATTTATGGGCCGGGAGCGGTGGCTCACGCCTGTAATCCCAGCACTTTGGGAGGCCAAGACGGGCAGATCACGAGGTCGGGAGATCGAGACCATCCTGGCTAACACAGTGAAACCCTGTCTCGACTAAAAATACAAAATATTAGCTGGGTGTGGTGGCAAGCGCCTGTAGTCCCAGCTACTCGGGAGGCTGAGGCAGGAGAATGGCGTGAACCCGGGAGGCGGAGCTTGCAGTGAGCCGAGATCGCGCCACTGCACTCCAGCCTGGGCAACAGAGGGAGACTCCATCTCAAAAAAAAAAAAAAAAAAAAAAAAGTCTATTTATGATAGTGAATTGGGGGGACTCCAAGGTATCTGAATTATTACTAATACACAATTCTTAGCAAAATATGATCATTTTAGAACTGAAATGTATATACATTATTTTCATTGAGGATATTGATGAAATATCATTTTGTTGACCTAACTTTTTAGAAGCATTTATCTGGTGCAGATTATATAATAGATTCCTTGTAGGAGAAAATGCTTAATTGGAAGGTGAAATCTTGAGGGAAAATTGTTGTTGCAATCCATCTATCCCTGTAGAAAGGAACACAGTTTCTGGATAAGCGATCCCCATTTTTAAAACTGCCTATTTCAAACAGATTATCTGGGATATCTTTTTATTTTTATTTTTTGCCTCTTAATGCACCTATAATAATTTTGTAAAGATGGATGGAAGCCGAACAAGGTTCTAATCTACCTACTTCTAGGTGAGCCTCTGCACACCCAGTGAGAACACGCCTACAGAAAGCTTGGCCCGGCTGGTGGCCATGGTGTTTCAGTGGTTTCACTCCACTGCGTATATGATGGATGATGAAGTGGGAAGTCTGGTGGAAAAGCTGAAGCCTCAGTTTGTCACCAAATGGCTGAAGACCGTATGTGATGTTCGCTTCGATGTCATGGTCATGTGCCTTCTTCCTAAACCCATGGAATTTGCCAGGGTAAGTGGAGGCCTACAGCTCACACCTTGTTAGAGAGGAGGACTTGGGGAGAAGTGCTGCCTTAGCCATGTGGGTATTATCAGTGTCTGCAGAGGAGGAACATCTCTCCTTATTTTAATTAATATAGCTAAATGAATTTAGTAACTGTATCTTGGATGATGTGCTGCTTTGATGTTGATTTGGGATGAGGAAGAATGGCAAGATGCATTTGTGAGGTATCTTTAAGAATTTAAGGGACCATTCTTTCTCGACATTGCTGATTTTTTTTTTTTTTGAAATGGGATCTTGCTATGTCGCCCAGGCTGGCCGCCTTGAACTCCTGGGCTCAAGTGATCCTCCTGCCTCAGCCTCTGGAGTAGCCGGGAAGCTAAATATTTTTATTAAGAAACAACAACAAAAAAGCCTTTCTATGAGGTTACTAGAGCTCAGTCCCCTTTTGGCTTAGAATCTTTGGAAAGATTACCATTCAAATAGGGGAAATGTCTTTTTTTCTTTTTTTAATCATGTATATATATATATACAGGTTAATGGTAGAAGTCCCTGCCCTGCCATTTGAAATGCCAAAAAGGTTCAGGGTCAGACAAAATGCACCTATTCCTCTCACTTAAGAACAGATTTCTCTGTGCTGATCCTCTTGCTTCTGCCTCAGTGGATCACATCTGAGAAGAACCCATGTTTCTTTTTTCCTTTTTTTTTTTTTTGAGACAGGGTCTCACTTTGTCACCCAGGATGGACCGCAGTGGTGTAGTCATACTCACAGCAGCTTTGAACTCCTGGGCTCAAGAGATCCTCCCACCTCAGAGACTACAGGCATGCATCACCACATCCATCTAATTAAAAAAATTTTTTTGGTAGAGATGGGGTCTCTCTATGTTGCTCAGGCTGGTCTCAGACTCTTGGCCTCCAGCGATCTTTCTGCCTCAGCCTCCCAAAGTGCTGGGATTATACAGGCATGAGCTGCTGTGAGCAGCCCATATTTTTTGAATATGATGTAATTTGCATCTAACCCAGAAAGGTGGATGTCCAGAATCAGGTTTTGGCAGTAATATGTGAAATTTTTTTTCCAAGTGTTTTCTAAGTGTTATTTTTATTTGTGATTTTTTATTTCCTTTCAAAGAGATCTTGAGGCAGTTTTCAGTAGAAACCTGTGCTAAAGTAGGACATTTAAGGATAAAACAGCACAGACCATCTATAGGGGTAACTTTTATTGGATTTTCAGGACTCAGAGTGATCTGTGCATTTATGGAGATGTACTTCTTTCTTCTTTGGTGCCACCTACTGACTCACTTAGAAAATTGAATTTTTGCCTAAAGGAAATTTCCCATTTTCTGACATTCTTTGCCTGTGTTGATATATTTTCTATTATTATGTCTATTGGAATAGTGAAGGATTGATGTGACATGCTTCTGGAAAATGAGAAGAAATGATTATGTTGGGAGAAAAACTTTTCTTATTCCAACTTAGGTGCAGATGTTTTGGGGCCTGCAAATTAACTGATAACAGTTTAACTGGAGAGAAGACAAAGTTTATTTATGAGTACATGTGGGAGATCTCAAGGATAAATTACTTCCTGAATAGCCAGAAATAAAAGATTTATATATCAAACTTAACAAAAGGTTTACTTAAGGGCTTCAGTGAGAAGGTATGGAAGGTTCCATTGGGTTTTTTAATGCCATGGGAGCTGGGCAGGAACTGGGCTATCTCCACAGCAGCTGAATCCACAGGAAACTCCCTTTCGGGGGGGTTAACAGAAGGGTTTTCTCTGGAGACTCTGCTAGAGTCACATAACGGAAGTTCGGCTAAGATTTCTTTTTGCATCTTCTTTAGCTTAAATGTTTTCACTTTAAAATACTCTTTATACCAACTGTAGGGTTTTGGTGGATAACATTTCCCTCATCTGAAACTTCCCTTGAAGTTTCAACATACATGAAAGAAGCTAGGTTGATTTCTATAGAGGGAAGATTTAGGCTAGAAATTGTGAGGTAAGAGATCTGCAGAGGAGAACAAGAGCATAGAATGAGGAACCAGAAAAGCACAGATTAATGGTTGGGATAGATTATAAATCTAGGTTTTGAGTACGGAGGGCAGACAGTTGAGAAGATGTCTAGATGTTGGTCTTGAAGCATGTTTAGACGGTGGAGTGAGAACATCGGTGTCACAGTTATGGTTATTTTCCAGAGCAGAGCAGAGAAGAGGTGAGTGTTTGGTGAACTTCCTGAGTGGACCAAACTGTTGTAGCAATAAGTCCTTTGAATTTTATATCATATTGTCCCACTTCAGCTTTTAGGGCTTTGTAACAAGATAACCCAGAGTCTTAATAATGATCTAGGAAGTTAGGTTTTAGTTCTCAGTGGTGCCATGTCAGGTGGGTAGGAGAAAAGTTAGAAGTGTTAATTACTGGCAAAATGGGCAAGACAGAAGGATCTAGTTTACAAAGAGGTGAAAACTATCTCAAAGGTGATGAACAGGACTAGAATCTGATCACTCACAAGGGTGGGTTATAGTTTTTCATCAAAACATAAAATTTCTCTTTACAATCACCTGCATTTTGACCAAAAATAATCAAAGTAAGATTACTTTTGGTTACAAAATTAGTCTCTTTAAATTTGGTCTGATCATTTGCACAAGCACAGCAAGAATGGTAATTGACCACTTAGGGCTTTTTAAAGTTTGCATTGCCAGAACTCTTAAAAGGAATCTCAGATTGGACTTTTAGAGGTTTCTTGATGCTAGAAGTCAGGCCAAGAACTTGTCACCAGATTTCATCTGTAATACTTATAGATTTGGGTGAATTCCTTTCTCCTTGAGGTCTCCCAAATATTCTAAGTTTCCTAGGAAGTGACCTTTTTTACTCATCTGTAAGGCTGAGAATTCTGTAATGCAGGTATCGAATCTGTTTTTCCAAGAGGGCTTTGAAAACCCTGGCTCCATAAAGTCAATCTTAGTTCCTTAAAACTGTTTAGTCATATCAGATTCCATGCAATTCACAAATATGACATTCTGCAAAGACTTAGTAATATAACTGTAACTGCCTGATGGGTTCTTCCTGCCTGCTGCACAAACAACATCGATTCACGGAATTGAGTATAGAAAGAGTTTAATTGACATGAGGCCAGCCGTGCCACACGAGAGACTGAGTTATTGCTCAAATCAGTCTCATCAAAGGCTTGTAGGTTAGGGGTTTCTCAAAGTCAATTTGGAGGAAGGAGTAGGGGTGGCTAGGCAGTGGATGTTTGCTGCTGCTGATGGTTGGGTTGGAGATGAAATCATAGGGAGTTGAAGCTGTCCTCTTATGCTGAGTTGATTATGGGTGCGGACACAGGAGGACATGGCTCCAGGTGGAGCCATGGGTGTCAGACATGCAAAAAAACATGAAAAGCTATCTCAAAAGGCCAATCTTAGGTTCTATCATAGTGATGTTATCCGCAGGAATAATTGGAGAAGCTGCATATCTTGTGACCTCTGGAATAACAGCTGGCAACCATTTATGTCTACACCTTAGCTGAATTCAGGCTCCTTTCCTCCTCATAGCCTTGTGGTCTCTTTAGAAAGGCATTTGAATTTTGGAGAAGGGCTACTATCATTTAAACTATAAGCTAAATATCTCCCAAAGCTAGTTTGGCAGTTTAAATGCTAAAGGCAAGAGGGGGGTTGGCTAGATCCGATCTCCTCCACTGTCATTATTTTCTCACTGTCATAATTTTTGCAAAGGTGGTTTCATAACCAAGTTTCCCAATTATGTCCTGTTAAAAGCAGAACAGATTGTTATTCAACTTATGCAAATAGCTATAATGCTATGAAAATAGGAATATTCAATAAGAGCTTCTGAATTCTGGAGGAATCAAGTAGAGAGAAAAAAGATATATTTCATGTTTGTTTACAAAGGTATAAATCTACCAAATTATTGTGAGTTATAGATAGCTTAGGAGAAAAGAGAAAGGGGTTCCTTGTATCTGAAAAACAGAACATTGATTGAAAAACTAGCAATGTTCTAAACAAAAAACGATACAAATTATAATCATTTATCATTCAGTCCTATGTAATTCAGTCTTGTTCTGCTTGATTGAGTTAGCAGTTAATGAACCCATTAGCTGCTCCACTAGAGTTCTGGCAATCCTTACTCATTCCAGTGGTATGATCTCAATTATTTAAGCAATGCCACCAGAAGCCTGTACCCCAGGGTACCTGTCATAGTCCTTTCCATGGATCTCAGAGACAATCTGTTTATGTTGAAAATAAGCATTTTTGCTAGTAGCTGATTGCAAGAGTTTTCAGAGAAACATCAGATAACAATTACTATCTGAATGACAAAAGGCTTAAAATAGTCATAGTTAAAGATCTGCTGAAAGTTCACTGTGACACAGTTGACAAGGCAGTTTTGTTGTTTCTGTAGCATGAAACATTAAAATAATAACAAAATGATAACTGATAATATTTTGTCATTGTTGTCTACCATCAGACAAAGAAGCATAAAGATGTATCATGCCAGCAAGGGCATTGACAAATTTCTAGGAACTTTATATAATTCCCGAAATATTTGTATTCATAACATTTACCTATACAAATGTAACCTAAGGACAGTTAAACATCTCTTTTTATTTGACAACGCTTTCCATAGACTTCAACTTATCAAATAAACCTAATTAGTTTAATGTATCTTTTTATAGGTAAGAACAAATCCTTTGAGATTTTCAAGCGTCCCTCTGGGAAATTTCAGGTCAGTTCAAGACCAGGATTTTATTTAGGATTTGGCTTTGGAAAGGCAAAATATCAAAAGTTATCAGAAATGTCAAAAGATTTGAGTACTTGATTAACCAACATTACAGGTCACTGTGAAACAATTCTTAGTTATTTATTTAACCTATATGACACTAAGAGATTTCAAAAGTAAATATAGGGAGCAACACAATTGTAAGAAACAAAAAGAGAAACAAAACTTAGCTCTTTTAATATTTAGAAGACTTGGTTCTCTTAAATAGTCTAGGACATGATAAAGACAAAAAGCACAGGAAGGCCAGGAGTAGTGGCTCATGCCTGTAATCCCAGCACTTTGGGAGACCGAGGTTGGAGAATCACTTGAGCCCAAGAGTTTGAGATCAGCCTGGGCAACCTAGGGAGACCTTGTCTCTACAAAAAATAAAAAAAAAATTATCCTGGCATGTTGGCTCGCACCTGTAGTCCCAGATACTTGGGAGGCTGAGGTGAGAGGATCACTGGGAGGTTGAGACTGCAGTGAGCCATGATCACGCACTTGCACTCCAGCCTGGGTGACAGAGTGAGACCCTGTCTCAAAAAAACAAACAACAAAAAATCAAAAACAAAAACAAAAACAAAAAAAACACAGGAAATTATTCTGATAAGACACAGAGTCTTTGTTTCTGTCTTAGTTTCTTCAGTTTGTTTGGGCTGCAAAAAAATACCATAGACTGGGTAGCTTATAAACAACAAATTTCTCACAGTTGTGGAGGCTGGAAAGTCCCAGATCAAGGCAGATTTAGTGTCTGGTGAGGGCCTACGTTCTGGTTCATAGATAGTGCTTTCTGGCAGTGTCCTTATGTGGTGGAAGGGGCAAGGTAGCTCTCTGAGGTCCCTTTTACAAGGGCGTTCATTCATAAAGGCTCTGTTCTCATGATCTAGTCACCTCCCAATAGGCCCCACCTTCTAACATCATCACATTGGTGATTAGGTTTCACCCTAAGAACTTTGCGGGGACACAAATATTCAGACTGTGGTAGTTTCCTAGGCAGATTTTTCAAAAGGTAAAGAAAAACCTTTTACAACCTCTTATTAAGAACAGAAATAAGATAATCTAAAAAATGTTGTTTTTTTAAGAGAGAGAAAATGAAACTCTGGTTTTGCATCAGTACACTGTTAATATTAAAGCTCATTTAAAAACCTCACAGTAAATCTACTCAATCTTAGCCAACATGACCACACAAGATAAAATTCTCTTTCTCTGTCTTCCCCATACTTCCCTTTCAGGTTTTGGTCCTTTCCTCTTCCTCATTCAGGAATAATGAGTAAACAGCTCCTTTAGGAAAGAATTGCTCTTTTTCCTGTAACAAAACCACATTCTACATTACTTGAATACTTTGCACACAGAGGTTTTTCCTTCATCCTGATTATGTCTAGTAGTTCAATTTACATATGATTGATTATAATTTTCAACTCTTATTATCCTTTATTTTCCAGAGAAAACTATTAGACAACTGTGAATTGCCTATTGTATATCAGCATTTTTTGGCATTTTAGCAAATTTTGTGAATATACAATCTCACAATTTCTAGATGCAAATTCTTCTTAGTATGATTCCCCAATGTGGCAAAAAGAACATCCTTTTTAACAAACCCAAATGTCTTTAGCATTTGTAAAAAATAAGAAGCTAAAAGCAGATAAACTTATGATCAGCAATTAATGTGTTAATATTTTATCCTACTTAGAAGTGATCTAGATTTTCAGTGAATACCTGCCATTTAATTTAACTTAGTATACCGTTAAGGTTTCAAGTTACCAAAAAGATTCTGAAAACTACATCTAAGCAGAAACATTATAAAACACAATTACTGTTGCTATAAACTTTGTCAGAATAATGATTCTGTTTAATTAAAATCAAATCTGTATATTCTATAATTTTAAACATTGGTAAATATATTAGTTTATTTGAGTAGTAAGCCCAGGTAGAAGCAAAACGTGTGCTCAGCATGGTACTCAATGCTGATAACTCTGAAAACACAGCTGTTTTTATTAAACCAACAATATTATACTTGTCTCATTTACAGATTTACTGAAATCACGTACACCTGAAAGCATTTGGGTTAGTTCCTATATTTCTGAGAGTTTTAGGAATATTTAATTTATATATGTTAAAATAAAAACCTTAGACAAATTATATTTAACAGAGATTAATTGAGCAAAGAACAACTCACAAGTCAGGCAGCCTCTGAACCAGAATAGATTCAGAAAGGCTCCAGCATAGCCATGTGGTGGAAAAAAAAGACAGGAAAAGAAATGTACAGGAAATGGAAATGAGGTACAGAAACAGCCAGATTGGTTACATCCTGATGTTTGCCTTATTAACAGTTGGCTGCCTTTGATTGGCCAAAAGTCAGTGATTGGCACAAGAGTAGGTTACAATCTGTTTATACATGCAGCTAGGTTACAGTTCACTATGTATATGTAGAAACTGTTGGGCCAAACTTAGAATATGTAAGAAGACAGCTTTAGGCTAGACTTAATTTAACATGTAAGTGTATATGTTTTGCAACTGTCAATCTGAATTAATCAAAAGGATCAGAAACCAGTTTTAAAGCATGTATTTAAGCAAAAAGCTGGAAATGGCCATTCAGCAAACATGGACTTCAGAGAAACGGGGTCAGTGCTCTGCAGTTAAAAGTGAAGGCCTTGCTTATATAGGCAGAAAACAAAGAAATTTAGCAGGATTATAACATTTTCTACACAAGGTTGGTTTATAAATTGCAACAATTTAGTTAGTTACAGTTTGTTTTCATTTCCATACAGCTAGTTTTCGTTGCCTTTCCAATTTAAAAGAGTATGTTTAACATTTCATCCTAGACAATATGATAGTCATGAAGTCTCTGTGAGAGAGGAAAGAGGGAAGTTCTAGCCTGGCCAACATGGTGAAACCTCGTCTCTACTAAAAATACAAAAATTAGCTGGGCATGGTGGCATGTGCCTGTAATCTCAGCTACTTGGGAGGCTGAGGCAGGAGAATTGCTTGAACTCGGGAGGCGGAGGTTGCAGTGAGCCAAGATCGCGGCTCTGCACTCCAGCCTGGGAGACAGAGCAAGACTCCGTATCAAAAAAAAAAAAAAAAAAAAAAAAAAAGAGGAAGGAGTCTTCCCTGGCTCAATTTAGTCATTTACTACATTTTACAAAATAATGTAAGTAAGAAAAAAGGCTAATCTGTAATTAGAAAAACAAGGTTACAGTTGCCTAGGTTGCAGCTGCCTGTTTACATGACTCAGGTCCCATAATCACATTCCCTTAAATATAAAGTTCCAACAGCTTCAATTTTGAGTTACTTGTTTCACAAAACCCATTTAGAATAGAGGTCTCTCAAGGAATTTTATAAAGCAATTTGGCAATATTTTCTGGAGATAAGAAGATACCACATACACATAATGTATATACATATGTTACAGACCACAGGCTCCTTGGCTCTCCATGTAATGGAAATTAATATGGGGCCAAGAGGACTTCCTAGATAAGGCTTTATTTTCAGGACTTGTTCTCAAGTGCAAGGCAGACAGTGGAGGCACAAGAATCCCCGAGCTGGTTCCCCAAAAAGAGCTGGTAGGATTTATTTTTTATTTTATTATTTATTTATTTATTTATTTTATTTTTTTAAATCGAGACGGAGTCTCGCTCTGTAGCCCAGGCTGGAGTGCAGTGGCGCAATCTCGGCTCACTGCAAGCTCCGCCTCCCGGGTTCATGCCATTCTCCTGCCTCAACCTCCCGAGTAGCTGGGACTACAGGCGCCCGTCACTAAGCCCGGCTAATCTTCTGTATTTTTAGTAGAGACGGGGTTTCACCGTGTTAGCCAGGATGGTCTCAATCTCCTGACCTCATGATCTGCCCGCCTCGGCCTCCCAAAGTGCTGGGATTACAGGCGTAAGCCACCGTGCCCGGCCAGGATTTATTTTTTTAAGGCAAAGCATGGGAATTGACATCGGCGGTAGAGTATACAGGCTGGGTTGGGCAGTGCATGTTAGAGGTAGGGTATGCAGGTCAGCAAAGCTGGTTGTGATGGTTGTCTTGAGTTATGGGTCACCTGCTGGTCTGGCCAGTGGCAACAAGGCTGTAAATCAGTTGTTCAGCATTCCTTCCCGAGATGGGAGACTCAGGAACCTTAGTTTAATTTTGGATCTCCTAAGGCCAGTGTCTGGAATTGTTTAAGTAAGAGGCATGGTTAAACATATAAAAGCACAGAAGAACAATACAGAATGGCTGTTTTCTTTGTATGACTATTAATGGATACGCATTGGTGAGGTAGTGGTGTGGGTTTTGAGATCAGTGGGAATGTATGAAAGAATGCTCTAGTGGGTGTGAGCTGAAGCCAAGCCCCACCCTTACTGTCTCATTCCCCTCTGAGATATTTCACTCTCTTTATTCTTAAGGAAAAAGGGCTGAAGATCTCATCTTCTGAAGCTATACTGAACAGCTATGCTGAACAGGGTTGTTGTCCCTGTCTAACCTCAGAGGAACATAGAAATCTCTCACTGACTGTTCTAGAGACCTGTAGGGACTAGAATCCTTCTGGGATGGTATGGGTTGGAATCCTTGGGCCATCATTAGCTTGACTTAGAACTGTTGAAGCCTGGAAGGCATAAACTTTAACCATCTGTACGCCTGTTGAATATAACAAATAATTATTTTAAAAATCAAATAGCACCCAGTGATAATTAATAAAATGCCTAAGTCCAGTTTAATAATGCTATGAGAAGAAATCAGCTGCCATTTGGAATTTAAGTGAATAGGCTGGAGAATGAGTCTCCTGGTGTGTGAAATATAAGGCAAACATACTTTTAATAAGAGACATTTCTATGGAAACAAAAGAAAAACAACTGTTAATGGTGGGCATAATCTACCCAGTTATTAGGCTCAAAGCATCTTTAGTTATGGAGGAGGGTGGTGGCAATTTTTCATGTTTTTTTGCTTGTATTATAAAGAATAAGCCTTAGTTTGCAGGGCCTTAGGAAAAAGGTAGTAGCAATTTCATTAAGTCAGAAAAGTGGAAGAAAATTTTTAAAATGTTAGTTTGGAGACTTGCAGCTCAGAAAATAATATTAAAAAGCTCAAAAACAACAGATAAGACTAGAACCTACAACAGGTATATTATACTCTTTTTCTCTCCAGTCTCTCATTTTTATCAAAGACAAATTATTGTAGGATTGATGTGTTTGCAAATTAAACTTTAGTTTCATTATACTTGTTTTGATTATTTGCGTGAAGTGCAGCAAGAATAATTATTTGCCATATAAACTTTTTTTTTTAATTGGCTTTGCTGGAACTTTGTTTTGTAAGGATTCTCAGATTAGACTTTTTAAAGCTGTGAGCCTAGCTATGGATTCATCTGTGCCTGCAAACACTTGTATGAATTGGGTGAATTCCTCCCCTCTTGAAGTCCAAAGATAACTTGGGGCTCCTGGACCTGTTAGAAAGTGACAGTCTTTACTTACCATAGGTCAGGAACCCTGTACAAGGACTGCATAGACAGGATATGAGGGCAGTTTTTCCAATGGGGTTTTATCGGCTTTAGAAGTCAACCTCAATTTTTAGAAAAGCAGTATGAAAGCATGTCATTCTCATAAAGCCTTGATAAAATAACCAGTTTCCCCAGTTGTGTCCTGTTACAAAAGAAAACAGATTCTTATTGCATGTATGCAAACAACTATATTGCCATAAGTTAAGAATACTCACATATAGTTTCCAAATTCTGCAGAAATCAGGTAGAGAGAAAGAAACATGCTCAAAATTTTGCTTATAGGTTGTAGTTTACTCAATTGTTAAAAGTTGTAAATGGTTTAAAAGGGAAAAAAGTTTTCTTGACTCTGAAAAACAAAACAAAAAGGGTCAGCAGCATTTCTGGAAGAAAAGGTCATAAACAGATTATTTCAATCTCCTATTTGTTTAGTCCATGAAATTAACTCCTGTTCTGCTTGATATTTATGGACACATTAGATCTCCAAGAGGGTCTTACAAGTTTTTCCCTCTATTCTAATGGCTCAGTCTCCAGGTTGTCAGAGACCTGCATCCAAGAGTATCCATGAGAGTCCTTTAGCTGATTATAAATCTTCTTTTGGAATAGATTAAAACAAGACAATTGTCTGTGGATGACAAGAGTCTTAGGACAGCCACAGTTAAAGATGCAATCAACAGGGAAATCTGGTCATTTCTGTGGCACACAATTTAATGTAACAATCTTAATTGTTATTGATAGCAGATACTTAGGCATATCAGAATCATAGGAATCTCATATAACTATGGAATACATATTAATCACACATTTATGTGACTATAATCTAAAAAAAGCTAAACACCATTTTAAATGTGATAGTGTTTCCTGTATGGTTTTGATACACCAAATAAGCTGCATATGTCTCTTTTGGACCTCAGAGGACCTACTACACAAAATGGTTAATTAGGTCAAAAAAGGCTTAATTCAGGATTTTATTTTGGAAAGCTTGTCAAATATCAAAATTTAAAACACTTGACATCACAAAATAGGACCACAGTTTATTTATTTAACCAACATGATTAACTCAAAGATTTCTAAACAGCAAAAATCCTTTAGTCTTTCACAGAGAGAGGACTCAGCTTTCTAAATAACCAGACCCAGTAAAGACAGCATGGCTGGGCATGGTGGGTTATGCCTGTAATCCCAGCACTTTGGGAGGCCGAGTGGGCAGATCACGAGGTCAGGAATTTGAGACCAGCCTGGCCAACACAGTGTAACCCCATCTCCACTAAAAATACAAAAATTAGCTGTGTGTGGTGGCACATGCCTGCAGTCCCAGCTACTCGGGAGGCTGAGGCAGGAGAGTCACTTGAACCCAGGAGGCGGAGGTTGCAGTGAGTTGAGACCATGCCATTGTACTCCAGCCTGGGTGACTGGCTGAAGCAAGACTCTGTCTCAAAAAAAAAAAAAAAAAAATTCTGTCTCTCTCTTTTTCCTGTAGGCGAATGAAAATCTTGCTCAAAAGGGAAAATGAAATTTTACCTTTGCATTAGTATATTAATACTAAAGCTAATTTCAATAACATTTGATGAAGCTATCTAATTTTAACCAGTTTGACCATAAGGTAAGATTTTTATAACCCTTTGCAAATTTTTTGTTTAAGAGCAGATAAATGCTCCAGGAAAACCCTATTATTCTGACACATGAGCCCAGATTCTGGCCCTGTGTTAGCAAGCTTTTATTTTAATATTTAATTTATGGAAAAACTAAATAATACCCTTTTAGCCAACTAGCTCATACACAGAATTTCTGTTTCAAGATTAATCTTTCACAAACCATCTCTAACTGGCTTAAACTTTCAGTTATATTCTATCTTTCTTTTAACCCAAAACAATCCTTAAACAACCTCTAAATTAGGCAAAATAGTTTGTCTTTTAAAAACTACATTCCCATGCCTTTTTCTTAAAAACACCTAATTTTAATTTTTAGTGTATGCAACTTTAATTCTGTACCAAGTGCAGAGCCTGGGAACTACAGGTAATATGTGACTCTTTTCCAGTATAGCTAGGGAGTGTGTCTAATTCTATATATCCCCAGGCCTTACCTAGAATCTAATGGCCCCAAAGCAGGCAAGTCAAACAGTTATCAAAAGTCATAGAAGCAGTTTATAATCTTAAAGCATCTAGCAAGGGCAGTTCCTGACCTGCCTAATTTAGACTGAATGCCTAAATTTTAAAGACATTTAATTTTATTTCATTAATAGTCTTTAAAACTGTCTTTATTTACCAAAGATTACTAAAGCCATGTGAACTAAAGTGTTTATTTTTCTGATAAAATATTTTATTTAAGCATTTATTTTTCTTTAAGCCAATTCATTGGATGTCTTTTACATATCTTGGTAGTAAGACATCACATACATACATGACACATATAAATACACAGACAGAGAAGCAGATCTGGTAGAGTTATAAGATTCTTCATTTGCCAGTTTTTAAGATTTTCTTCCTTTTTTTTAAATTAATTTTTGAGATGGAGTCTCTCTCTGTCACCCAGGCTGGAGAGCAGTGGTGTGATCTTGGCTCACTGCAACCTCTGCTTCCTGGGTTCAGGTGATTATCCTGCCTCAGCCTCCCAAGTAGCTGGGACTACAGGTGCACGCCACCATGCCCGGCTAATTTTTGTATTTTTAGTAGAAATGGGGTTTCACCATGTTGACCAGACTGGTCTCAAATTCCTGGCTTAAAGTGACCCACCTGCCTCAGGCCCCCAAAGTGCTGGGATTACAGGTGTGAACCACCACACCTGGCCAAGATTTCTTTCTCATTTTATTTTAGATAAAGCATCAATCTTTTGATTATCTGTTCTCTGCCCTAAATAATTATCAGTGAGGTAACTCTGATTTTGCATTTTAAAAGGGACAATTCTTAGGTGAAATAAGATAGATAATTTATATTTTACTTAAACCAAGGGAGAAATGGTGTGAGTAAAAGTTTAGGTGAGACAGCCAGGGAAAACAGATACCCTTACATGTGGAGATTTCTTTAAAGATGTAAGTTTTTAAATTGGGTTCAGGGTGGAGCCTTTTAAAGAACAAGGCCAGGAAAGCATGCAGTTTTTAGGGCCTAGTAGGTGGGCACAGCTGGAAGGCAGAACAGATCTCCCAAAATCAAGGATCCCATTTCCACACCAAATACTGGGTCCCCGCAAAGAGGCAAGTGCTATGAGACAAGACAGTGCAATGCTTTCACAGCATGTTTTATTGTAAGGACATTTCCCCAAGGCTGCTGGACAACCCAACATCAACTAGTCTGCTCTGTAATCAGCCCATCCCCCATTTCATACCTTCTAGTTGCCCAAGAGCATGGCTTTTTATGTATGTAAACACAAAAAAAAAGGAGTATCACCCTGTGGTAATAGCCACTCACTGTAAGCAACTGCTATTGGACATTTAAAAAAATATGCCTCTTATTTAGCTATTGCACATTAAGATTCAACATTTCTAAGTAATGCAAAATAATTTCTGATGCCCCCAAAAGTCAAAAAGATCAGGTAACATAATGCAAAACAGAACAGAGCCTCAGATTTTGGGAAGTATCAGTCTGCGTGTAATTCTTTGGGTTCTACTTGGAAAACAGAGGTTTCTCCCAAAACAGGAGTCTGTGGTGCCTCTTCTGTTTCTCTCAAGGAGTTCCAGGCTGTCAGAAATTACCTTAAGTCCTCTCATGCAGGGCAGTGAGGGCGTGTGTGCCAGAGGACAGAGTAAATGGAGAAACAATTCAATTGACTGAGAAAAAAAAAAAACCCAAAAACCTTTTTTTCAAAAAAACAAGATCCAAGAAGAGAAAAAAGCCTAATGGCCTTTTAAATGTATGTATAGCTTGGCTATCCCCTTTTAATTAATATCATTTACCATAGAGCTCTTTAAAAAAAACTCTTTTAAATCTTTAATTTCCAGACCATTGCCTGGCTGTTAGGGACAAACAGCCAATGCCTCTGGCATTTAAGCCTTTTATTCTCCCAAAGGGATTTTCCCAAGTGCAACTGTTACCAGTAAAAGGGGTCTTGATACAGACCCCAAGAGAGGGTTCTTGGATCTCATGCAGGAGGGAATTCAAGGTGAGTGGCAGAGTGCAGTGAGAAGAGAGAGTTTATTGAAAGCTACTCCATTACAGAGAAGGACATCCTTAAGTTTTTCTTGTATAGGGGTCATCTCTATATAAAAGCTAAGCTAAGCCATGTCTATGTAAGTGTGAGCAGAGAGTGTGACAAAATTTATATTCTATTGATTTAAAGAAAACTATCCTTGATGTTTTAGTGTGTGAATACATCAAACCATAACTATAACAATCTTGAAGCCATATTTTGTTATGGGTATTGGGACATCTGGACTTTCTGCTGTTGTGGGAGTGTCTTTGCCGGTATCTTAGGCTGTTTCCTCAACTGTAAATATCTCATGACTGTGGGTAGTGACCAACAAGGAATATGCCCAGTTAATCTGAAGATGGAGCTGAACTTAAAATGGGGTTACTCTGGCTCTCCTAGGCTCCTGCTTCCCTAACAAATCCAATAAGCCTTAATGAAGGTTATGATTTAACCATAGCTGCACAAAGTATCAACAAAGAGATTGCAAGCAGTTTTTACAAGATGTAGAATCGCCTCCTAGATAGCTCAGAGAAAGGAAAATTCTAGACAGAAAATCACAAGCTGCCTGACATAACCTAAACATTTCCGCCCTCTGAATGGTAGAGATGGAGAGAGAGTACCCCCATATGGTCACAAAGACAATGGAGGGAAAAAGAATAAATAAATGGCAAAGGTCAGATAAATATCAAACCAGAAGGGACTCATTCCCTAAGATGGGAATTGAACCCATGCCACCATCATGAATGGGCAAAGCCTTAGCCACAGAGCTACAGTATTGTTCTTCCCAGAAGTAATCTAGAGCAGACAGTTTCAAGTTTGCAAAGGATTTTAACTGCTTAAGAGAATCCTTAAGGCTAGCCATGACATTATCATGTGTCCTTTCAGACTGGCTGCCTTACATGAACCTGAAAATTTCCACCCTGTGGATGGCAGAGACTGAGAGAGAATACCCCCACATGGTCAAAAAGTCAAGCTTTCAAGGACATAAAACAAGACAAGAGGGAAACTACATTTGGTTTTTGTTTCAGGGACCCATAGCGAAGTTTGTAGCTGACCAATCTGCAGGGCTGGCTCAAACAGCAGACTTATAGGGGTCCTACACCCACATTCTATTCTGTGGCAACCCCTCCATGACAGAACAACGCAGAACAACAAATTCATATCACAGTACAGCAGATTCGCTACAACCTAAGACTAGTTTCCCACATCTTTTTTCTCATTAATCAAAACCTTGCAGGCTGGGCGCGGTGGCTCACGCCTGTAATCCCAGCACTTTGGGAGGCTGAGGCGGGCAGATCATGAGGTCAGGAGATCGAGACCATCCTGGCTAACACGGTGAAACCCCGTCTCTACTAAAAATACAAAAAATTAGCCCGGTGCGGTGGCGGGTGCCTGTAGTCCCAGCTACTCAGGAGGCTGAGGCAGGAGAATGGCGTGAACCCCGGAGGCGGAGCTTGCATTGAGCCGAGATCGCGCCACTGCACTCCAGCCTGGGGGACAGAGCAAGACTCCATTTAAAAAAAAAAAAAAATCTTGTAGAGGAGAGAAACAGGGATTTTTTTTTTTTTTTTTTTTTTTTTTTTTTTTTTTTTTTTTTTTACCATTTACTTAACTGGTTTGCACAGAGAGCGAGAGGCCGGGGCCCTGGCTGGTAAGAAATTCTTACCCTTTTGCCTGCATGCCAGGGTTTTGGTTTCCCTGTCTCTGCAGCTTCCATAAGAGCAGAGCAGCTTTTGATGACCCTGTTCGCTGTGCCATAACTGTGGAGGCCAAGCTGCGTTATAATAGAAAATCTTCCTTTTCTGTTTCATGGAACCTTAGACAGAAGCTTCTCATTTTTCCAAGATGCCACCCAGTGGGCCGCATGGGGGAATAAGATGTCAAATTAAACACAAAAAAAGGAAAAATGGATCAGGATGTGAGTGATACAGACTCTGGACCCATGTGCTGCCAATTCTCTCCTCTCAAAGACAGCACTGATAAAAGAAAAACTTCAGCTGAATTAAATTTAAAAGAGCTTAATGAGCAATGAACAATTTGTGAATTGGGCAGCCCCCAGAATCACAGCTGATTCACAGAGACTCCAGCACAACAGCTATGTGTGCTGTGCTGGAGTATAAAGATTTATAAACAAAAACAGGGAAGTGACCTACAGAAATTGGCAGTGAGGTGCAGAAACAGCTGGATTGGTTACAGGTTGGCGCTTGCCTTATCTGAACACAGTTTGAACACTTAGCAGTCTATATGAGTGGTTGAGGTATGGCCGCTTCAACGGCCAAGACTCAGTTATTGGCACATACTACTAAGTTAGGTTTTTAATCTTTTCTGACTACTAAGCTAGTGGAGGAAATTTTCATGCACGTCTGTGTGAAAAGACCACCAAACAGGCTTTGTGTGAGCACTAAAGCTTTTTAATCACCTGGGTGCAGGTGGGCTGAGTCCAAAAAGAGAGTCAGCAAAGGGAGATAGGGGTGGGGCCATTTTATAGGATTTGGGTAGGTAGTGGAAAATTACAGTCAAAGGGGTTGTTCTCTGGCTGGCAGGGGTGGGGGTCACAAGGTGCTCAATGGGGGAGCTTTTGAGCCAGGATGAGCCAGGAGAAGGAATTTCACAAGGTAATGTCATCAGTTAAGGCAGGGACTGGCCATTTTCACTTCTTTTGTGGTGGAATGTCATCAGTTAAGGCAGGAACCGACCATTTTCACTTCTTTTGTGATTCTTCACTTTCTTCGGGCCATCTGGACATATCTGTGCAGGTCACAGGGGATACGATGGCTTAGCTTGGGCTCAGAGGCCTGACATTCCTGTTTTCTTATATTAATAAGAAAAATAACATAAAATAGTGTTGAAGTGTTGGGACAGGGAAAATTTTTTGGGGGGTGGCATGGAGAGATAATGGGCGATGTTTCTCAGGGGTGCTTCAAGCGGGATTAGGGGCGGCTTGGGAACCTAGAGTAGGAGAGGTCAAGTTGAAGGAGGATTTTGTGGTAAGGGGTGATATTGTGGGATTGTTAGAAGGAGCATTTGTCGTATAGAATGATTGGTGATGGCCTGGATACGGTTTTGGATTAATTGAGAAACTAAACGGAAGGTACAAGGTTTGAATAAAAGAAAGAAAAAAATAGGTATTAAAGGACTAAGAATTGGGAGGACCCAGGACATCCAATTAGAGAGTGCCCAAGGGGGTTCAGCGTAATTACTTGCTTGGTTGGTGAGTTTTGGGGCTCTATCCTTGAGTTTTTTTATGTTGTCATGTACCAGGCCAGATCGATTTAGGTAAAAACAACAATCTTCATTTAAAAATATACAGAGTCCTCCTTTTTCAGCAGTGAGTAAGTCAAGGCCTCGGCAGTTTTGGAGGACAACTGCAGCTTAAAGAGTCAACTTGGGCCTGAAGGACTGATAAAGTTTGTGATATCTCTGTGATGCTAGCAGAGAAGTCATTAGAGAGGCTACGGAAGGTCGTGATAGAGGTTGAAATGCCTGCCATTCTAGTATCGAGAGCAATAGTGGAGGCAGAAAGTCGTAAACTGACAAGCAAGGATATTAGTGGAATAACTCTTTTTTGTCATCTCAGTGTCATGAGGGGAACAGGGAGCTCTTCGGTCCCATTCGCAAATTGAATTTTGGGAGTAAGGAAAACTAGTGTGCATGTGCCTGTCCAATTAGCAGGTAGCCACATGTAGGTAGAGGATCCACAGAGGAAGAAGAGAGCTTGTGCCAGGCAAAACTGGAAATGCAAAGTAAAAAGATGAGAAGGAATGCTGAAAGGGGTGTCTTGTACCCAGACTCCTAGGGATCCAGCTAGGGCGGCAGCCGTCAGAGGTTGTAATGGGGACTGATGGGGTAACTGCATAGAGGGAGAGGCTCGATTTTCATGGTGTATGAGAAAACGTTGAGTGCCCACGAGCAACCTTTCACTGTTATTTATGGGGCTGGGTATAAGTAAACAAGAAGAGGGCCTGGGAGGAGAGTCTGAAGAGCAAGGGGAAGGTAGCCAAGGATGGAGGGAAATACAGGGTGTCTTCCTAAGCAATAATTACTGCTAATGTTTTTAAGTTTGCCAGTATTGATAGAAGGCTTATCTGTAATATGGAGCTGTAAGGCTCCAATTGTTTCAGTGATGTATGTAGTTGGGCTTTGGAGATGAAGAGTGAAGGAACATCAAGAAGGGGAATTCCAGTGGGTCTTTGCTGAGAGATACATAAAGGAGCAGCCACAGGAAAAGTAGTTTTTGTTGTGAGGGGTCCAAATATGGGGGGAGTAGAGTTGATATAAGGAGAAAGGTTTTTAAAGTAAGTGTGGAGGAGGGCAGCAGCTTGCTGATGTGAAATGTCTGGGGAGGTCTTGCTGGACCTGTCTAGAAAGTAAAGAAGTTCTTCAGGAGGGTAAAGGTGAGGGCTATTAAAGGAAGTTTGGAGGTGTAGGGAGACAGGAGATGTTTCCCAGCCTGTATATAAGACGGGGGCAGCTGTGTAGGCGCAGGAGGAAAGGGAAATGCAAAGCAAGCAATTGCTCGCTAAGGAGGGATTAGAAATGGCTAGGAGAGAGTGAGTAAGATTGATAGTGTGGTGGAGATAGCTGGGGAGAGGTAGAGGGTGGCATAAGAATGGGAATGAGAATAAGATTGAGTATAAAAATAAAGAATAGAACTTCATCAGGGTGAAAGTATTGGAGGGTGCCCTGCCAGCAAAGATCATCTATCCACTCTAAGAGGGAGTTAAGAGTGGCGGTTTGGGGATAGCACCAGGAGATATCAGCTGCGATGGCTTGGAGAAACAGTGTAAACTGGCAGTATAAACAAGAGTAGGGCATTTATGAGTAGTTGAGAACGGTGAATAGGAGTGTGACTAGACAGAAGACAGCAGGGATGACCAGTTTTTGGGGCGCAGTCCAAGTAGTGGGGGTGACTGCATAAAGCCCTGTTGCAAAAAGTAGGGTAAGGACGAATAGACCTAATAGAATGAAGGGATGTATTAGGCTCATAAGGGTTATTACTGTTCTTCAGAAATGCAAGTGAGTTTAAGGGAAGTAGTGGGGAGTACTTGCGACTTCCAGGAGGAAGAAGAGAGATTAGGCTGGCTGTCCAATGGACACAGCTTTATTCTGGAACGGTGAACCCAGTGGGGAGGATCCTGCAGGTGGATGGCAGTTGGGGTACTATAGATGACTAAGTAGGGTCTGGTCCATCAAGGTTGTAGAATTTGAGGGGTCAGATTCTTAACAAGAACTGATTGTCCAGGTAGGGTGTCTTCATATGGCTGAGAATCTGGAGTAGGCAAGAGAAGATTAGCAGCCTGGCAAATTTCCTGTCTATCCTGCCGGAGGACTGGAAGATAGTTGCCTAGAGGACTGCTGTCTGGGACGAGGTTGGGGCTGAGCAAGAAAGTGCGTCCACATAAAAGTTCAAATGGGCTGTACCCTGTAGCATCTCAAGGACAGGCTCTAATTCTGAGAAGGGCAAGAGGTAAAAGTACTGTCCAGTCCTTTTTAAGTTGGAGGCTGAGCTTGGTGAGGTGTGTTTTTAAAAGACCATTAGTCTGTTCTACCTTTCCTGAAGATTGAGGACGGTAAGAGATATGAAGGTTCCACTGAATACCAAGAGCCTGAGAAACTGCTTGGGTGATTTGACTAGTAAAGGCCGGTCCATTATCGGACTCTATAGAGGTGGGAAGGCCAAACCGAGGAATTATGTCTGACAGAAGGGAAGAAGTGACTGCGGTGGCCTTCTCAGACCCTGTGGGAAAGGCCTCTACCCATCCAGTGAAAGTGTCTACCCAGACCAAGAGGTATTTTAGTTTCCTGACTCGGGGCATGTGAGTAAAGTCAATTTGCCAGTCCTGGGCAGGGGCAAATCCCCGAGCTTGATGTGAAGGGAAGGGAGGGGGTCTGAACAATCCCTGAGGGGTAGTAGAATAGCAGATGGAACACTGGGAAGTGATTTCCTTGAGGATAGATTTCCACTATGGAAAGGAAATGAGAGGTTCTAAGAGACGGGCTAGCGGCTTGTAACCTACATGGAAGAGGTTATGAAATGATGACAGAATACAATGGGTCTGTGAGGCTGGAAGGAGATATTTTCCTTGGTCTAAGAACCATTTGCCTTGTGTGGGAAGAGATTGATAGGTGGAAGTTTCAAAGGGGGAGTAGGTGGGAGTGACCAATGAGAAGGAGAAAAACTGCCATGAGGGACAGAAGTTGGAAAGCTAGCTGCTTCTTTAGCTACCTTATCAGCAGAAGTGTTGCCCAGAGCAATGGGATCTGATGCCTTTTGATGGCCCTTGCAGTGAATGACTCCAGCTTCCTTTGGAAGTAAAGTGGTCTTGAGAAGAGTTTTTATTAAGGAGACACTAATGATGGAGGACCCTTGTACAGTGAGGAAACCTTTCTCAGCCTATATAACAGCATGGTGGTACAGGATATGGAAGGCATATTTAGAGTCAGTATAAATATTGATGCGTAGTCCCTTTGCAATAGTGAGGGCCTGAGTTAAGGCAGTGAGTTCGGCTTGCTGAGAGGTAGTGCAGCGGGGGCAGAGCAGTAGCCTCAATGATAGATGTGGAAGATACTACTACAGCATAGCCTGCTTTTGCTGGTGAGTGGCGATTAGGCCTGGTGGAACTGCCATCAATAAACCAAATGTGATCAGGGTGAGGAACAGGAAAGAAGGAAATATGGGGAAATGGGGTGAATGTCAGGTAGATCAGAGAGATATAGTCATGGGGGTCAGGTGTAGTATCCAGAATAATGTGGGAGCCCGGATTGAAGTCTGGGCCAGGAACAATGGTAATTGTGGGAGACTCAACAAAGAGTGAGTATAGCTGAAGGAGCCAGGGAGCAGAAAGTATATGCATCAGGTGTGAGGAAGAAAATGAAGAAAATAGATTTTGGAAGTTATGAGAGCTGTAGAGAGTGAGTTGAGCATAGTTCATGATTTTGAGGGCCTCTGAAAGTATTAGGGCAGTGGCAGCCACTGCACGGAGGCATGATGGCCAGCCTAAAACAGTAAGGTCAAGTTGTTTGGACAAAAAGGCTACAGGGTGCATTCCCAGTCCTTGTGTAAGAATTCTGACTGCACAGCCCTGCACTTCGGCTGTGTGCAATGAAAAGGGTTGGGATGAGTCAGGGAGAGCTAGGGTGGGAGCAGTCTCTAAAGCTGTCTTCAAGCAACGGAAAGAGGAGTGGGGAAAGGATTTAGGATCTATGGGGTCAGCTAGGTTTCCATTTGTGAGTTTATATAATGGTTTTGTTAGGATGGCAAAACCAGGTATCCAAAGGCAAAAGTATCCAACCATGCCTAGGAAGGAAAGGAGTTGTTGTTTTGTAGAAGGTGTTGGCATTTGAGAGATCAGTTGGACATGATCGGCAGGGAGAGCACGTGTGTTACCTATTGAGGTAGGTAACGGATGGAGAAGAAATTTGAGCTTTGGATGGGGATACCCGATATCCTTTGGAGAATAAACGTTGAAGGAGCAGGAGGACAGGGGATTGATCTCCCAAGGGAGGTCCCCCAATCTGAGTCACGGCACCGAATTTCACACGCGTCCATGTGAAGAGACCACCAAACAGGCTTTGTGTGAGCAATAAAGCTTTTTAATCACCTGGGTGCAGGCGGGCTGAGTCTGGAAAGAGAGTCAGCGAAGGGAGATAGGGGTGGGGCCGTTTTATAGGATTTGGGTAGGTAGTGGAAAATTACAGTCAAAGGAGGTTGTTCTCTGGCTGGCAGGGGTGGGGGTCACAAGGTGCTCAGTGGGGGAGCTTTTGAGCCAGGATGAGCCAGGAGAAGGAATTTCACAAGGTAATGTCATCAGTTAAGGCAGGAGCCGGCCATTTTCACTTCTTTTTTAATTTCCAATTACTTCAGGCCATCTGGATGTACACGTGCAGGTCACAGGGGTTACGATGGCTTAGCTTAGGCTCAGAGGCTTGACAGAAATGTGCTCCCCCAAATTATAAGAGGCGTGCCTACGGGTCCAAACCCAAAGAATGGGCTAAGAGACCAGAAGTACAGCGAAAGTGAAACTTGACTGTCAGTCTTGCAAGATCAGGTGTCCATTGAGCAGGCACATCTGGTACAGTTACAGCAATCAATTTATCCCCTAGTGCGCAAGTCCCTCCCCCGGTTCCTGTAGGCTGAGCACTGTGGGGTTACAATCTTCCTGGACGTAGTCACCTAAGTTTCTTTTCTTGTTTTTTATTGGTCGTTGGGTTGGGGCTTTTGGTACTTTCTTCAGGGTCTTCTTGCTGCATTTTGTTGCAGCCCTTAATGCATTGTAATTGTAGTCAGCTCTGGGACTCTTCAAGTATTTGACCTATGACCCAGGGGGTTAAGCGAGCTGTTAGGAATAGACAAGGTGAGCTATTTTTGCAAGCTAGTAAACTTCCATTCTAAGCTAAATCCTCTGGTTTGGGTGAGGGTAACTAAAGGGTCCCAATAAGCAGGCACTGGCTATTAAAGCAGGGCCCTAGGGTATCCTGTTCTTCTATAGCTTACAGGTCGAAGTGTATTCAAGGTATTTTGTCTTGAAAATGGACCACCATATATGTTGTTTTCTACAGCTAGGTTACATCCACAGGGACTCAAATATAGAAGTATGGAGTTCTTCTCAGGCCGTATTTAGTTTGCTTTAACAGCAAACTAACAGTCAGTAGCTTCACACTGAAACAGACAGACGACAGGGAAGTCCACAGGCTTCCCTTCCCCACAAGGTGTGGCAAAGGGAGGGAGAATACTTAGAAGACTTAAAGAAGATTACAGAGTTCAAAGCCAGGGCACTAAACAGAGTTTTCTAAACTGATCAGCTGTTTCAATCCATCCTGCATGGGTGACTATTCAGGCTGAGCCAAGCCACCATTTCAACATGTCCTGTGTGGGTATCTATTCGGTTGGAGCTGATGAAGTTAGTGAAAACCAAAAGAAAGGAAGGAGGGAGGAAGAAGAAGGAAAAATAAAAACACAACAAATAGGGGACAGGAGAGGAGGGAAAGCATAGCTTAGAGGGGTGGCAAGGAGTCTTGGGGAGGCTGGAGGAAAACTCCCAGTTGCAGCAATACTAAACCGAAGTTTCAGACAGCTGCCCATCAGCTGCAGAGGGGTCCGGCCATCATGCTGGCTCACAAGCCTCCCGCTTGGGAGAGAAAAATGTTCCCCATGTCCTGTGGACCTGCATTGGTTGCCGGAGAATCTCTTATAAACCAGACTCTTTGGCTCCCCATGTAATGGAAATTGACATGGGGCCAAGTGGATTTCCTAGACAAGGGTTTTATTTCAGGGCTTGTGCTCAAGAGCAAGGGAGACAGTGGAAGTGCAAGAATCCTCCCACTGGTTTTCTAAAAAGCATTGGTAGGGATTGTTTTATTAGGCAAAGAGCGGGAATTGACATCAGGGGTAAGGTGTGCAGGCTGGGCTGGGCAGAGCATGTTAAAGGTAAGGTACACAGGTCAGCATAGCCGGTTGTGATGGTTACCTTGAGTAACAGGCCACCTGGTGGTCTGGCCCGCGGCAACAATGCTGTAAATCAATAGTTCAGCATTCCTTCTTGAGTAGGGACACTCCACAACCTTGGTTCGATTTTGGATACCCTTAGGCCAGTTTCTGGAATTTTTTTTTTTTTTTTTGAGACGGAATCTTGCTCTGTTGCCAGGCAGGAGTGCAGTGGCATGATCTCGGCTCACTGCAACCTCTGCCTCCCGGGTTCAAGCGATTCTCCTGCCTCAGCCTCCTGAGTAGCTGCGACTACAGGCACACACCACCATGTCCAGTAGAGATGGTATTTCACCATGTTGGCAAGGATGGTCTTGATCTCCTGACCTCGTGATCTGCCCACCTTGGCCTCCCAAAGTGCTGGGATTACAGGCTTGAGCCACCACGCTCGGCCTGGAATTCTTTAAGTAAAAGACATGGTTAAACATGAAAGCCCAAAAGAATAATATAGTGTTAAATCAAGTTTAACCTAAAACTGCCTCCTTACATCCTTTGGCCTAAAACATACTTTAAGTTTGGCCTAAAAGTTTCTCTGTACATCGTGATCTGTAACAAGTGGAGGTTATGAATGGACCATAGCCTACACTGTGCCAATCACCGAGTTTTGGCCAGTCAAATGTAGCCAACTGTTGGAACCATGTTCACAAAAGGCAAATGCCAACCTATACCCAATCCAGCTATTTCTGTACTCACTTTTCTTTCTTTCTGTTGTATTTTTTTGAGACGGAATTTCATTCTTGTTGCCCAGGCTGGAGTGTAGTGGCGCAATCTCGGCTCAGTGCAACCTCCGCCTCCCAGGTTCAAGCGATTCTCCTGCCTTGGCTTCCCAAGTAGCTGGGATTACAGGTGCCCACCACCATGCCTGGCCAATTTTTTGTATTTTTAGTAGTGATGGGGTTTCCCCATGTTGGGCAGGCTGGTCTCGAACACCTGACCTCAGGTGATCCACCCATCTTGGCCTCCCAAAGTGCTGGGATTACCGGTGTGAGCCACCATGCCCGGCCTCACTTTTCTTTTCTGTCCGTCACTTTCCTTTTTCTGTCCATAAATCTTCTTCCACCACGTGGCTATGCTGGAGTCTCTGAGCCTACTCTGGCTCAGAAAGCTGCCCAATTTGTGAATTGTTTATTGCTCAATTAAACTCCTTTGCATTTAATTCGGCTGAAGTTTTTCTTTTATCAGTAGAATGACTACTTTCTTTTGTGAACCCCGAATATCTGAGATGGTCTCAGTTAGTTTAGAAAGTTTATTTTGCCAAGGTTGAGGATGTGCACCTGTGACACAGCCTCAGGAAAGACATGTGCCCAAGGTGCTCGGGCACAGCTTGGTTTTATACATTTTAGGGAGACATGAGACATCAATCAATATATGTAAGAAATACATTGGTTCTGTCCAGAAAGGCGGGGACAACTCGAAACAGGGAGGGAGCTTCCAGATCACAGGTAGGTGAGAGACAAATGGTTGCATTCTTTTTGAGTTTCTGATTAGCCTTTCCAAAGGAGGCAGTCAGATATGCACCTATCTCAGTGTGGCAGAGGGAAGACTTTGAATAGAATGGGAGGCAGATTTGCCCTGAGCAGTTCCCAGCTTGACATTTCCCTTTAGCTTAGTAATTTTGGTGCCCAAGGTTTTCCTTTCACACTTTGTATGACTATTAATGGGTCTTAATATAACTATTAATGGGTATGGTGTCAGTGAGGTAGCATAGTGTTGTTTTGTGATCAGTGGGAATGCGTGAAAGAATGCTCTACTGGGGGAGAGCTGAGCCAAGCTCCATCCTTACTCTGTCTCACATAGACATACACAAACATACAGACACAAATAGAGACCTTATAACTTTCAAAAAGTGATATAAAACTTACTAGTTTAGGCCAGGTGTGGGGGCTCACACCTGTAATCCCAGCAGTTTGGGAGGCCGAGGAGCATGGATCACCTGAGGTCAGGAGTTCAAGACCAGCCTGGCCAATGTGGTGAAACCCCATCTGTACTAAAAATACAAAAATTAGCTGGGTGTGGTGGCGGGTGGCTGTAATCCCAGCTTGGGAGGCTGAGGCAGGAGAATCACTTGAATCTGGGAGGTGGAGGCTGCAGTGAGCCCAGATCACACCATTGCACTCCAGCCTGGGTAACAGGAGCGAAACTCCGTCTCAAAAAAATAAAATAAATAAAAAACAAAAAACAAAAACAAACAAACAAAAAAACTTACTAGTTTATATAAGAGCTCTTTTTCATCTTTGCCTCACTTTTATTTAAATTGTGTTTCTGGCAGATGGAACAAGTTTTTACCTATTCATTATAAGGGCTAATGCTTTTTATTGATATTTGTGGGGGAAACCTTTAAGATCTTTTTAGTTGCCCTGATATATAATCTCATAGAGGCTGTGGCTCAGCCTCAGGTTGTTGCTTTAGTCAATGGCAAAGCTACTTTTTAAAGTGGGCCGAGCTAAGGAAAAAGGCATTGGAGTTTTCTTAGGAGACTGGGGTTTTAATTAGTATTTATCAGGAGGGGAAGTAAATTTCTTGAATTTTGTGATAAGAAGCAGTACTACAAGTAAAAGTGAGGAGCCTCAATTCTGGGGTCTAAAGCAGAATTACTTCCTTGGATGTTTGCATTTTAAAGAGATGGCTCTTGGCTGGGTGTGGTGGCTCACGCCTGTAATCCCAGCACTTTGGGAGGCCAAGGCGGGCAGACTGCCTCAGGTCAGGAGATGGAGACCATCCTGGCCAACATGGTGAAACCCCGTCTCTACTAAAAATACAAAAATTAGCCAGGTGTGGTGGCACACGACTGTAGTCCCATGCAACTCGGGAGGCTGAGGCAGGATAACTGCTTGAACTGGGGAGGCAGAGGTTGCAGTGAACTGAAATCGCGCCATTGCACTCCAGCCTGGGTGACAGAGCCAGACTCCATCTCCAAAAAAAATAAAAAATAAAAAATAAGAGATTGCTGTCAGGTTCTTGAGAATTTAGTTCTGGATGGTAGAAGATTTACATCTGAAAAGGGGAGAGGAATTATGCAGACTTTTAAAGTAACTGGTCTTAGAGGATTTCCAGGGACATATTTGCCTATTGTCAGGTTTTGGTCTGTGACAAACAGGAAATTCTCCCAGCAGTGTTGAGCTTTAACATGTAGGTGCTTAAGGGAGGATGGGGGAATGGACAATTATTTGTCTGGAGAGTCTGCAGTGTTTACATGTCCAGGCTGAGGCCCAGGAAAATTACTATTTAAGTTCTCCTTCTTAAGGGCAGGACAGTCCATTTTCCAGTGTCCTGGCATTTTATAGTATCTGCAAGCATCTTTTGGAGGGGAGGTTTTGGGATTGGTAAGAAGGATGGATGGAGCTTTAGGTTATTCCTAAAGCCACATTTCTGTTTTTGTAAAGACTCAGTAAAGCCAGAACATTTATTTATTTTTAAAAAATATTTATTTATTTGTTTGTTAGATATGGGGTCTCACTCTGTGGCCCAGGCTGGAGTATAGTAGCACAACCATAGCTCACTGCAGCCTCAAACTTCTGGGCTCAGTCGATCCTCCCACTTCAGCCTCCCAAGTAAATGGAACTACAGGTGCATACCACCATGCCTGGCTAATTTAAAAAAATTTTGTTTAGATACAGGGTCTCACTGTGCTGCTCAGGCTGGTCTTGAACTCCTGGCCTCAGGCGATCTTTTTGCCTCAGCCTAGAACAGTTATTTTTTTAATACCTCAAAGAATTGGGTGGTGACATCAACAATAGCATTCACGGATTGGCCTGCCCATCCAACTGCCCTATTTTGAAATTGTCCCCTTAGGTCGGAGAGAAAATTTCTAACTGACATGGAAACCAAAAGATTCCTGTGTTCCAGGGCTTCTGAATTTAGAGCTGTGTGCCTTTGGAATGTTTTTATAAATCTTTTAACAGAGCCTTTAGGATAAATTCCTGCCCTCTGAGCATATCATTCCACTTCAGCCCATTGACCTGTAAAGGGAAGTCTTCCATAATATCTCCTATCAGACTGGACTATCAGCCTTCCCCTGGGCCATGTGCAGGAGGAAGGTGGTGAAGGGGAGTTTATGGTGGGTGTAGATTTAAATTTTTGTTCTAAATCTGATTTCTGTTATTTAATTTTATTAAGGGAGCGTTTTAGGCTAGCTGTGATACTTTTTGTGTCCTTCTTTCCATTTCATCCTCCCCTATGGGTAATTAGGACATTTGCTTAGGGTAAGTGCTCTCTAAAAATCCTTTTAAATATGAAAGCTCTTCCAACCCAAAGGATCTGTCTTCTGGCCACTGACAATTTAGGGTTTCCAAAAGCGTACTTGTTCCAACGTACTATTCAAAACCAATAAGCCTTATTATGTGGCTTGACCATAAACTACATAGCCAAAAAACTTCAGTAATGATATATTTCAGGATCTCAGTGTTATTAGTGCTGGCTCTTTTCTGTCTGTACCTGTAACTAACAACAACACAACAGAAATTATAGAAATATAGTCATTTCTTGAAAATATTTAGTCAATTGTCTTGTCTAGGATTTTGGTCAATATGGCACCAAATAGATATTGGAGCTTTAAAATAGAATTGATTGATTTTTTGGAATAATCTGGAATTCTAGATGTAATAAACATTTAAAATTGAATTCATTTAAATTAAGGTAGTTTCTCACACATCTTGTGTTATTTAGTAAAGACTCAGGACCAGTTTAACCTTTGTTACGTTGATACTTAGAATATACGATCTCTAACATCAGGATTATAAACAACCTAAGTTTGTAAATTCGTGATTTTAACTTTTTCCTGCTCTTAAAAATTGATATACTATCTTAATTAGTTTAAAAAGCCAGTCCTTTTTATTCACAGATTCAACTACCTTTAGAACATTCTTAGGAAAAAAATTGTGGCAGGGTACGCAGCATAGGGTAAAAAGAGCACTGTGTACTACCGTATTTCCTGTAATGAAAAATCTGCAATACAAAGCATGCAGTAGTAGAAAACCGTGTTCCTCTGAAGCACAGGTATAACGTGCATGTTGTAATGGATTTATCAGACTTGAGGAATAAGAATGCTCTAATAGTATGCTCATCCTGTTGGGAATAAATCTTTGGAATTTTAATTCACATGTGATTTGGAAAATCAACAGTAGCATCATTAAAAATTCCATCTGTAATCAATATTTGAGCCTATTCGTAACTATGTTTTCCTTTCTGTAACTGATGGATCCTGGTGGTTTGCCGTCTTACGAATCAATCTCACACTGAAGATTCTTGGCCTAGGACTCAGACATGATGGATTGTGGCCTTTCTCTGTACCCATTGCCTTAGGAAGTCCTTGAGTATAATTGTAACCAGTGTGTTTCATTCTTTTCCCCTGTGGCTATGGAAACCTCTTCAGGTTGGTGGCTACTGGGATAAGTCCTGTAGCACAGTGACTCAGCTGAAGGAAGGTCTCAACCGAATCCTCTGCCTGATCCCCTATAATGTGATCAATCAATCTGTCTGGGAGTGTATTATGCCGGAATGGCTGGAAGCCATCAGAACAGAAGTCCCAGATAATCAGTTAAAAGAATTCAGGGAAGTATTAAGGTGGGTAAGTAGTTTAATGAAGTCACTGTAATTATAATCATATCTAACGTTTGGTGAGCATGTACTGTATGCCGGTCACCCTACTAAGCGTTTTATATAATCTCATTTATTTTTTAACCACCCTGTGGAGAAACTTGAAGCCCCAACATGAAATAGCTGCAATACCTCAACCTAAGATGATTTGGCATTGTCCAGAAAAGATTTTGTTCTTGTGGAATAGTAAATAGATAAAAACAGATGTTTACTTATTTTGAAATTTTCAAATATAATTATAATTGGTGGGATGTGGTGGAAAAGTGCAAAGGGAAACTGTTTTAGATGCTAGGGAGCAATGCTAATGCCTTAGAAATGCAATTCCTTCTGTTAAACCTAATATGAGGAAGAACAGTAATGTTATTAACAACCATATGAATTATTTATAAGATCTCTATTTCAATGACATAAACTTCTCTTACAGTAAAGTGAAATATGCTGATAACAGTTCAGAATACAAACTAATCTAAAAGGCTTGGCTCTCCAAATAGGGAATAGTTAGAAAGACGGTGGTGGTATTAGTAGAACCCAATCTATGCCCATTGGTCATTTACTTTTGTTGCTCTGCTTTCCAGCAAAATGTTTGACATTGAACTCTGTCCTCTGCCTTTCTCAATGGAGGAGATGTTTGGTTTTATTAGTTGTCGGTTTACAGGATACCCCTCCTCTGTGCAGGAGCAAGCTTTACTGTGGCTTCATGTAAGTGAATAATACTTTCGATCATTTTAGGAAATAGTTCTTAGCTTATAAGCTTTAGATCCCTGGATCGAGAGAGTGGGAGTTATAGCAAAGACTTCGTAAGTCCCCATGTTTGCCAAGAAAGTGTATCTCCTATGCATAGATAAATGAGTAAATTTCAAATATATGTTGCTCTAGTTGTGGTTAATAACATATAAATATATAAATTGTGCAATAATATTACTGAATTCTTAGTAGCTTTAGGTCCTTTTGTATTTTTCCATCAATAGCTATTAAAAGTACAATAGCTGTCTTGTGGGATTCTGATAAATCTTTGATATTAAACAGGTCCTTTACTTGGAAAGATGGGGAAGGATTTAGTGAGTAGTTCATGCTGTTCCCTCAGCCTGGAATGACTTCCTTTCCTGTCTCTATTTGTGAACTCCAACCTATCTTTTAAAGTCCATCTCAAAAATTATCCCCTATGTGAACTTTCCTGCTACTTCAAACCCTCATCTTCCCAGGTTCTCTGTGTGAATTTGGTTCTATTTCTGTCTCACAGTTTTTGTCTGTCTCGCCACCTGATTTCAAGCTCTTGAGTACAGGGGCCAGGTCTTACTCATTTCTGTATTTATAACCCTCTTCATCCTCTCCTCCTAGAATATGGCACACGCTTGTATTTAAAAGTGGATGTTCAATTAAAGTTTATTAAATTAACTTGAATACCTGATATGAGTTTGGGCAGTTTTAGAAAATGAGGACAGAATCAATGTTTAGATTAACTACAGATACAGGTACATTTCTGTGTCATGCAAGGATAGGATCCCATAAGCTCTTCAAGTTGTAAAGACACCTTTTCGAAACTAAAGAGCAATATTCTTCGCATTTGACAAAGAGTAAAGGGACCATTTTTTAAAAAGTCAAAATTTGGACCAGCTCGGTAGCTCACACCTGTAATCCCAGAACTTTGGGAGGCAAAGGTGGGCAGATCACTTGCTCAGGAGTTCAAGACCAGCCTGGCCAACATGGCCAAAGCCCGTCTCTACAAAAAATACAAAAATTAGCTGGTCGTGGTGACGCACGCCTGTAGTCCCAGCTACTTGGGAGGCCGAGCCGGGAGAATCTCTTGAGCCCAGGAGATCGAGGCTGCAGTGAGCTATGATCAAGCCACTGCACTCTAGCCTGGGCAATAGAGTGAGACCCTGTCTCAAAAAACAAACAAACAAACAAACAGTCAACTTTGGGATTTAGAATTTAAACCATTTATTCCCAAATGGATTTCAGTAAGGTAATTCTCCTTTTAAGAAAGCCAGTCTTCCTACAGATGGCTGGATGTTGCCTCAGTTACCCCGTTGCACAGCCCTTACACTGTGCTCTTTGGGGATAAGCCCATACAGCTTTGTCCCCCCCTATAGCTACAGTGGCAACATTTACACGTTTTATGAACTGGGCTTTCATCCAGCCTTGGTTTATAAGACAGAGTGCTGCAGCTGAAGAAGGTTTTCCAGCCTTGGTCTATTTGGAGGATAGAGTGGACACTAAAGTGGTTAGAGTTGACTCATTTATAATTAATTCTGGAAGCACGTACAAGAGCTCCCATGTGCCAGGCACTGAAATAGGCACTGGAATAAAAAATGGGACCGGAAATAGTCCTTTCTGCGTACTTCCTTTCTTTAAGCAGCTCACAGTGGGAGGGATAGGATTAGATAATTAAACAGAAGAAAAAGTAATAATTGCTCTAATAAAGATATGTATAAAGGTTAAGAAAGCAGAAAACAGGGATGGATTAATTCTGTCTGAAGGAAGAAGGCATTTTTTTCCAGAAAATTAATGACAGAGAAAGTGACTTGATTTGGGCCCAGATTGACATGAAGTTGTACCAGACAGCAGGATCGGATGGGTCATTGAGATCAGAGTGGGGATGGACTGGAGAAGCAGTGCTAGTCCAGGAGAAAGGTGGGGATCTAAGGCACTAGTGGTGGGTATGGAGAGTGGGGGACAGCATCAAAAGAAACTGAGAAGTGTTAATAGAAAGAACATGGTGACCTATTGGATGCTGGGGGTGAGGAAAGGAGAAAGTTCAGTGATAACTTTGATTTTCTTAGTATGAAAATTGGAGGATGACTGTGTTGATAGAATACGTGTAAGGCTAATTATCCTTATGTTCAATAATTTGCTTTGGAAAAAGAAGGTTAAATATAGCTTTTTTGAGTTTTAAAATTTACATGTGTTTTTTGGGGGATATATGCCTTTTTTCCCTAGGTATTATCGGAGTTAGATATCATGGTTCCACTTCAACTACTAATAAGTATGTTTTCTGATGGAGTTAATTCAGTCAAAGAGCTGGCAAATCAAAGAAAATCAAGAGTCAGTGAACTGGCAGGGAACCTTGCATCTCGAAGGGTAATTATTGCCACATTTGTTCTTGTCTTGCTTTTAAAAATCTTGAAAACCCTTGTCAGTTATCCTACGCCTGAAAGTACTGTCATAAGAAACCAAAAATGTGTTTTCAGCCCATCTCGCTGTGTTCATCTTTTAAGTGCATTAAATAGTCACATTTGTTTGGTATAGTTTATAATCAGTAAGTTATTGAGTTTTCATTTTATTTTTAATTTCTTTGAATTTTAGCTTTCTCCCTTGATGAAAAAGAGTAGCTTTTTGGTAACATTCCATTTTTATGAGTCTCCTGGTGAATAAGAATTTTTTACCATCTCCTAGGCAGATCAGTGCTTCACTTTGGGGGTGAGGAGTCTGGGAGGAGTTTGGATGATTGTTTTTTTTTCCTTGTCTTTTGGGAAGATATGATCAACTACTGGTGACTGTGAGGGATGCTGTCACTGTGAACCAACTGAGCCCATTTTATTGACCCCTTTGCATCATTGTAGATGAGAAAAGTCAAGATAGTCTGGTCTAAAGTGTATACAAACTGCTGGACAGCTTTGGTTATTTTTCTATGGAGGCCTGATAGAGTCTCTGCTGATGTGCTGCTGTTCTCAGGCCGTGAGCAGCTGTGGAAAGGTTGACTCTTATTGGATGGTTGGCAGAAAATGTCCTCCACTCTTTCCTTGTCAAGCCTCTCTACAAAATTTCCCCCACTGTATGCCACAGGCCTCCAGCCATCCCACCTGACATCTAGGGATTAAAACATGGAACATGATTATGGGTTTGCATTCAGTGTTTTAAAGAATATCCTTACTTATTTTGTCATCTTCCTGATAGGAGCCAGCTGCTAACCATCTGTACTTTCTTTCTTTCTTCTGTAACCTTTAAGATGACATTCCTTTGTGTAGCACTTTATTCTGTGCAATGTGTTCACAGCAAACAATATCACAGAATTGTGTGAGGCAGCCAGGGAAGAACTCATTATCTTCATTTTACAACTACCTAACCTGATGTTCAGTGAAGTGAAGTGATTTCCTACAGAAACACCGTGAATACCTGGGTATTCTGATTCTTAATGGGGTAATCTTCCTTTTTACCTTAAAAATGGTGTTTGAAGAGCTTTGTGGTTACCACAAAGATTTTTAAGACAGAAAAATACCTAGGTGATAGGTTCAATCATACCCCAAACCTCAGCATCATGCAATATAACTTTGTAACAAACCTGCACATGTGTTCCCCCGATTCTAAAATAAAAATTGAAAAAGAAAAAAAAGAGAGAGAAATATGATTTGAGAGTGAAGTACAGATGTGTTAGTCAGGGTCCTGATTCAGAATTTATCCCAGATAGTTTAAATGACAGACTTTAATGGAGATTCTTCCTATAGTATTATGGGAAAGCTTAAAGGAGCTAAAGGAGCAATATGGGTGGACAAGACACCTAGAGTCCAGGTACAGTCCAGTAGAAAGTCCTTACACTCCCAGGGCTGAAGGAACAAGGGAAAGAGTTCCTGGGGCACCAAACGGGAGCTGAAACTGTAAGAAAGGGCTGGTTGGAGAAGTTACGGAGTGCTGGAGATGCTCCCAGAGATGTAGCACCCAAGTGGGCAGGGAGAGGGGAGAAATACTCCTGCCTCTCTCTCCTCCAGGTCTCAGGAATTCTGCTGGTACCTCCCATTGACTGAACCCAGTCAGGCTTGGTGGCTTATGCCTCTAATCCCAGCACTTCAGGAGGCTGAAGTGGGAGGATTGCTTGAGTCCAGGAGTTAGAGACCAGCCTGGGCCACATAATGAGACCTTGTCTCTACAAAAAAATTTTCAAAAACTTAGCTGGGCCTGGTGGAGACCTTGTCTCTACAAAAAAATTTTCAAAAACTTAGCTGGGCCTGGTGGTGCATGCCTTTTGTCCCAGCTACTTGGGAGGCTGAGGTGGGAGGATTGCTTGAGAGTGAGAGGTCAAGCCTGCAGAGAGCCGTGATCATGCCACTGCACTCCAGCTTGGGCAACAGAGCAAGACTGTCCCAAAACAAAACAACAACAAAATAATCCAAAAAAAACCATTGACTTAACCCAACTGGAAGCTAGGCAGCAAAGGAGCCAGAGGAGACTCAGTCCACGACTTCTTGGGCATAGAGTAGGGCCAAGGAGGTAGTAAGAGTCTGAGTGGGGGTTGGGTGGACAAATGGAGAATAACCAGTACAAAAGGTTTGTCATATATTGTTGTCTCATAATAGTTTAATAATTGTAATCCCCAGAGACCATCTTTTAACCAATCAGGTCAACCTGAGATTCTGTGCTTCTGATTCTAAACATTATCTTGCAATATTTTACTTTTGTAAGTTCTCATTTTTCGGGGTACAATTTTCAGTAGACTCAAACAATCCGGTCTAATTGGACATGTTTGATGGGTTGAAAAATGTAATGGCAGATGCCTTCATTCTTCAGGGTGTTGATGTCACTTCCTGACAACTAGGAAGTTTGAGTGGTTTTATTTCTTGTTTTTATATATTGAGAGAATCCTTAGTATTTGGAGGTACTAATGCCATTGGTTAAGGAAAGAAATAAGTGTGACAGCTGGAAATACCTTCCATAGAGTCCCCGAATATTTTACACAGCAATTTGAGCTTCTGTGAGTTCATTTCTATGTGTTGCCATTCTTTCTTGTAGGTGAGTGTTGCCTCTGATCCTGGCCGACGAGTTCAGCACAATATGCTTAGTCCATTTCATAGTCCTTTCCAGAGTCCGTTTCGGAGTCCTTTGCGTAGTCCGTTTCGTAGCCCTTTCAAGAATTTTGGACACCCAGGAGGAAGGACTATTGACTTTGATTGTGAAGATGATGAAATGAATCTAAATTGTTTCATCCTCATGTTTGATCTTCTCCTGAAGCAGGTAGCTGAAGCATGAGCTTCCTTTAGTTCAGAGGTGAAGAATGAGAGAAAGCGTTGTACAGCAATTCTTTCCATGTGTTGGGCATCTCCACACTTATCAAAATGATTCAGCATCACCCAAGACCTTTTGCAAACTCCTTTGGAGATTTTCTAAAAAGTCTGAAAACTACTTATGTGAATATCTGCAGTGATGTTGACATATGAGAATGGATTGAATTTTAGAAACACCCTAGTGTCATTAGAATTGATTCTGTTAAATAAATTGCATTAACAAAAAGGATGATACTATTGTTGGGAAGGGCAAGGTACAACTCTATAGTGATGAAGCTAATTTTAATATATTTTATACATTGATTTTTAAAATTAATTTAAAAAGAGAAGTTAAAAAGGTTTTGATGAGAACATTTCTTTTTAACCTTTTATTTTGAAATAATTTCAGATTTGCAGAAAAGTTACAAGAATACTATAAAGAATTCCCAAATACTCCTCCCCACAATTCTCCAGATGTTAACATTTACCACATCTGCTTCTCTTTCTCTGCATGTGTATGCGTTAATTTTTAATAGATCATTTGAGACTAAATTGCAGACATGATGTCCTTTTATCCCTAAACACTTCAGAGTGTATTTTCTAAAAAAAAGGACATTCTCTTACATAAACACAGTACAGTTATCAAAATCAGGAAATTAATAGTGTTATAGTACTACTACATAACTTGCAGAAATTATTAATTTTGAAAATTGATATAATAATAGTAATGTCATCTTTATAGCAAGAGAAAAAAGCCTGGCTTTGATTAAGGAACAATCTAGAAGCACTCATTGCAATTACAGATACTGTTTCCTTTGTCTTCTTTAATCTAGGACAGTTCCTCAGTCTTTATCTTTCATGTCCTTGACTTTTTTTTAAAATTATTTTTAATTTTTGTGGGTACCTCGTAGGTGTCTATACTTATGGGGCCTTGACATTTTTGAAGAGTATAGTCCAGTTATTTTGTGGACTGTCCCTCAATTTGAGTTTGCCTGATGCTTCCTTATGAATTAATTTGGGTCATGCATTTTTTTGGCAGGAAGACCACAGATGTGATGTTATGTCCTTTGTAATGCATCATGTCAGCAGGCGTAAGATATAATAATGTCCCATTACTGTGATGATAACTTTGGTCACCTTAACCAAGAGACCAAAATCTGCCACATTTTTCTGTGATAAAGTCACTATTTTCCCTTTTGTAACTAATAAGTAATTTGTAACTACCTTATGGATTTCCTGTTTATGATCAGGCTTTCATCCACTAGTGTTAGCATCAATGGATGACTCATCAATTATTACTATCATGACAGTCGAGTGATAATTTTCCAATTCCATCATTTCTTCTAAATGTATTCACTGGTATTCTACTGATGGAATACTTTCTCCTTCTTTCCCATTTATGTGTTTATTTATTTATCTACTCATCCCGCAGTGCCCATGGATTTTTATGTTATTTGGTGGGTTATAATCTGTTACTATGATTCTGTATTTTGATGCTCGTATTGTTCCGCATTTGGCCAGTGGGAATCTTTTCAAGCTGGCTCCTGTGTTCTTTTGGCACATCCACATCATTCTATGAACTCTTCCTTGATTTCTGGTGTGACAAGATGTTCCAGGCTCATCTTATATTTTCCTAGCCCCAGCCCTGGAATTCAGCCATTTCTCCAAGGAGCCCTGGTTCCTTTTAGCAGCTCATGGTATTTAGAAACCAAGATCTGGACTCTAGGTGAGGAGCAGCATTTTTTAAATGTGTAAAATCTCACAAACCGATTAGCCAAAAGCAACAACTCTCTTTTAAATCTCCTACATGATTTTTAAAATAATTCCAATTGCTTCATCTTGTGTTTATATTCCTTCTAGAAAAACCCACGGACAGCAATGTATATTCATGGTCTTGAAGCCTATATTGTCTTTAAATAATTCAATATTTCTGTCAGTTAGTGAAAATCATCCCCAAGTAGTGTGCCAATGGAATATTGGACAAATGGACCAAACTCCTTCTTCTTCTTTTTTTTTTGTGTGTGTGTGCGTGTGTCCTTTTTTTGATGTCTTTCAGATGGAGTTACAAGATGATGGAATCACGATGGGTTTAGAGCACAGCTTATCAAAGGACATTATTTCTATTATAAACAATGTCTTCCAAGCCCCCTGGGGGGGATCCCACACCTGCCAGAAGGACGAAAAAGCAATCGAGTGCAACTTATGTCAGTCTAGTATCCTCTGCTATCAGCTTGCTTGTGAACTCCTGGAGAGACTAGCTCCTAAAGAAGAAAGCCGGCTGGTGGTAAGCAGTTGAAGAAACGAGATGACCCATGTATAATAGCATTAAAGACTGCAGTAGCTGATGTAATGGAGTCTTCCTCCAGCAGCATCTTATACTCCATGCTGGGTTATACGTGAGACTGTGTTAAAAGAAACTTTTCCCATTGCTTCTGCCAACTCAGGCTCTTGGAAAGGGATACAAACTGAAGCCACGCTATACGGAATTCTATTAAGTGGCTTGAGTGAGGGTTGTAGCACCTCCATTCATATGGTTCCATGCATTAGTAGTATTCTTAAAAGAACTTTTATCACAAAGTTATATTACAAAGTTTAAGTGACAATGGATACTGTAAAATGTATTTTTTTTTTGAGACGGTGCCTTACTCTGTCTCCTATGCTGGAGTGCAGTAGCTTGATCATGGCTCACTGAAACCTCTGCCTCCCAGGCTCAGGTGATTCTCCCACTTCAGCCTCCCAAGAAGCTGGGACTACAGGTGCCCACCACCATGCCTGGCTAATTTTTAAATTATTTTTTGTGGAGACGGGGTTTTGCCATGTTGCCCAGGCTGGTCTTGAACTCCTGAGCTCAAGTGGTCTACCCTCCTCAACCTCCCAAAGTGCTGGGATTACAGGCATGAGCCACCATGCCTGGCCAAATGTATGCATTTTTAAATTGTTTCTCCATCTAGCTGTTGACAGACACTTGGGTTGCCATACCTTGCTGTCTGTAACTCACATGTTATAGCAGTTTTTCACTCCTAAAAATTTGACTACCCTGGACAACCAGTATTTGTGTCTTTAAATTTTTTTAAAAAAATTATTTATTATTATTATTGTTATTTTTAGAGATAGGGTCTTGCTCTGTCACCCAGGAGGGCAGTGGTGTGATCATGAATAGCTGCAGCCTTGAACTCCTGGACTTAAGAATCCTCCTACCTCAGCCTCCTCGGTAACTGGACACAGGCATGCCACCATGCCTGGATAATTTTAAACATTCTTTTAGAGATGAGGTCTCACTATGTTGCCCAGGCTGGTCTCAAATCCTGCCCTCAAGTGATCCTCCTTGCCTCACCCTCCCAAAGCACTGGGATTACAGGCATGAACCACCACACCTGGCCAGTATTTGCATCTTTTTTTTTTTTTTTTTTTTTTTTTTTGAGACAGAGTCTCACTCTGTCGCCCAGGCTGGAGTACTGTGGTATGATCTCGGCTCACTGCAACCTCTGCCTCCCAGGTTCAAGCGATTCTCCTGCCTCAGCCTCCCTAGCAGCTGGGATTACAGGCATGTGCCACCACGCCCAGCTAATTTTTGTATTTTTAGTAGAGACGGGGTTTCACCATGTTGGTCAGGCTGGTCTCGAATTCCCGACCTCGTGATCCGCCCACCTCGGCCTCCCAAAGTGCTGGGATTATAGGCATGAGCCACCATGCCCGGCCATTTGCATCTTAATATAGCTTTGTGAACCCGTTATTATTCCTTCCTAATCAAGTCCTGTTATTGAATAAAATGTACATGGGTGAGAATGACTTGATGAGTGGGACACTGATCTTGGAGACTAATGCAGAGGTGAGAAAGCAGGCCTAGGAAGATTTAATGATGTTTTTGATCTTCTTCTATATATATTTGAAGTGAAAGAAAATGTTTCAGCAATAGCGGATAGAGATTTCTTTTCACTGTTCCAGCAATAAGCTCCAGGGTCTTCTGGGGTGTGGTGCCTTGGCCTCTGGCCTCAGCAGCATGGGACCCGAGACACAGCAGGTGTGCAGTCCAGCTTTGCTGAGCTGAGCAAACCGTTCCTGACACCCCTCCAGGGCTGCTTACCTGGCTGCCTGTCCTGTTTATTTCAGGAGCCCACAGACAGCCTGGAGGATAGCCTCCTTTCTTCCAGACCAGAGTTTATCATAGGCCCTGAAGGGGAGGAGGAGGAGAATCCTGCAAGCAAGCATGGGGAGAACCCAGGCAACTGCACCGAGCCCGTGGAACATGCTGGTAGGTGTGCACTGACTGCCGGGGAATGCGCCACGTGCACATGGCCTGATGCTCAAATCACCGGGTTCTTGGTTTAATATCGACTTGGGCAAATTCAGACGTGGTTTCCTTAGTATAGACTCGTGCAGAGGAACATCTCCCAGCGGATTATAAAATGAACAGATCCGTTACAGTTCCCATAGAACCCAGTTCCCTGAGCATCTTTCTGGCAGCGGGCACCGGTTTTCAATAAAAACTCATCGCCTCCCTACTTACAATGCGAGGTATTCTCTGTGGACCAAGGCTGGGTGCTGACAATCTTGACAGCCACTCAGGGCATTTGGCTAAAGCAGAGTGTTTCTGAATAGAAGCAGTGGGGCTCTGGCGGTTGGGCTGTGCAGGCTGAGCTCGAAGGCTACTTTGCTGGCTCTTAGCTGGGACTGGGGAGCAGCCACTTTTTCATTTGTCTCAAAGCTCTTGGGTGGACGCAATGGGGGCAGTGAGATGGCAGATAGGCTCAGGAATCGTACTCTAGCTCCTCTCACATGAGGACGTTTAGGGATTTCAGGATGTGACCCCACGTGCCTCTGGGAAAGCCTGATTTCTAGCTCTGGGTGGTGGCACTCTGGGGATCTATATGAGACCTGGGGCAAATTTGGGCAGCTTTTCAATCTTCCTGCATCCATGATCCGGAAGAGTTAGAATAGCTTGCTCCTGGTCAGGCGCGGTGGCTCATACCTGTAATCCCAGTACTTTGGGAGGCCAAGGTGGGCGGATCACCTGAGGTCGGGAGTTCAAGACCAGCCTGGCCAACTTGGAGAAACCCTGTCTCTACTAAAAATACAAAATTAGCCAAGTGTGGTGGCTCATGCCTGTAATCCCAGCTACTAGGGAGATTGAGGCAGGAGAATCGCTTGAACTGGGCAGGCAGAGGTGGTGAGCCGAGATCGCACCATTGCACTCCAGCCTGGGCAACAAGAGTGAAACTCTGCTCAAAAAAAAAAAAAATAATAAATAAATAAAGAATAGCTTGCTCCTGGGAGCCCACTCCAGTATCAGGAGGCATGGGCTTGGCATCATTTCTTCAGTGAGCAGCAGATATTATTAGGGGACTGTTTTCTGGGGTTCATTGCAACTGTGGAGGTGTCTTATTCAAACGAAGGTAACCCTACTAAATCTTCGGTCAGAACTAACTGCTTCTCCATGGATCATATGAACAGTGAATTGTGTATGAATATCTCAGCTCACACTATTTCATGTCATAAACTTTAGAATTTGAAGGAATACCTGAGGTGAGCTGGTTCACTGGTTTTCGGTGTGCACTTCTTGAAGCTGTAAGGGCTCAGTGTGATTTCTTTTGGAACATCCTCAATTGGGGCAACCCCTGGGGGGAAGAGGAGGGCAAAATATAAAGACCCAGGCTCCCCACCTTGCTTCTGCCAGATTGCTCCAACTTACTCTCTTTCATATGTTGGAGGTCTTTTTTTTTTTTTTTTTTTAAGATAAGGGTCCTGCTCTGTCATCCAGGCTGGAGTGCAGGAGCCCGATCACGGCTCACTCCAGCCTTGACCACCTGGGCTCAAGCAGTCCTCCCACCTCAGCCTCCAGAGTAGCTGGGACCACAGACATGCTCCACCATGCCCGGCTAGTTTTTTAAACTTTTTGTAGAGATGGGTTTTCGCCATGTTGCTCAGGCTGTTCTCGAACTCCTAGACTCAAGTGATCCACCCGTCTCGGCCTCCCAAAGAGCTAGGATTACAGCATGAGCCACCACACCCGGCCATATGTTGGAATTCTAAGATTTTCTGCAAACAGAATATTCTGCAGAAAAGAAGTTTACAATCTGCTGATCCAGTTTAGCCTTTGTACTTGGCAGATGAGGAAAATAAATCCCAGATGGGTTAAACAACTTGCCCCTGGTCATGTCACTCCTACTATTCATTCACAATTTATACTTCATATTTCACATGATTCCAGAGCTGTAACGGAACATCGGAATCCCTGAGAAGCAGAAACACAAACAAAAGCTCCACTCCCCAGCTTCAAGTCTGGGTATCCCTGGGATGGGGACCTGGGAATGGGAAACAACTAATTAGTGGCAGGGTTGGGACTAGAACCCAGGTCTTCTACTTTAATTTAGGATTAATTAACTTGTTGTAGGTGCTGCAGCAGCCAGGGCCCAGGCCTACAGTTGTGTTTCTGTCAGGCATTCATGCCTATGGGAAGCTGGGACTTCACTCATGATCCAATAGCCTGTACTCTTTCTATGCAAATATATTTTTTAAACCTAAGCTAGCACACAGATCAATTAACTGCTGCTTTTATCTCTGCGTAATATTTTATTGGAGCAATGGTTAAAATTAAGCAATTTCTTTTTTCTTTTCTTTTTTTGAGACAGGGTCTTACTGTGTTGCCCAGGCTGGAGTGCAGTGGTGTGATCTCGGCTCACTGCAACCTCCACCTCCCAGGTTCAAGCAATTCTCATTTCTTAGCTTCCTGACTAGCTGGGACTACAGGCACCCACCACCACTCTGGCTAAGTTTTTTTTTTTTTTTAAGAGATGGGGTTTTGCCATGTTAGCTAGGCCGGTCTCGAACTCCTGACCTCAAGTGATCCACCTGCCTCAGCCTCCCAAAGTGCTAGGATTACAGGCGTGAGCCACTGCGCCTGGCCAGCAATTTATTTTTAAATGTTTTTCTTTTCCTTGCTGTATTGTTATACAGTCCACTTATTAAAACACATGCTTTGTTCTCCCCTGCATGCTCCTCCAGGCTCCTGTGGCAGCTTTAGCCTCTTTTCCTGCTCAGACTCTCCGCTGTCTTGCAGGATGCAGTTATAAATTGTCTCTGCAGGAGAGTCCCTCTTCTCTTTCTTCCAAGACCAGGGTTCCCTGCTGTTCAGAGCCTCTCTCCTGCTTCTGCTCTGCAGGCCTTAAGACCAGGGTTCCCTCAGAGCCTCTCTCCTGCTTCTGCTCTGCGGGCCTTCAGGCAGTGATCTGGAGCTCTTCTGTCCTAGAATTCAGGGGTGCTCTGTCGACACGTGTTCAGAGACTTCCCCTCCCTTCTAGTGTGTTTCCCTTTTTCCCATCTTGAGGCCTGGCCCTATTTCTTATCATGGTCAGATATGTCCACCACCAAAAATATATTTAAAACTTTCACATCAAACAAAACAGTCAAGTACTTATGACAAGCATTTAAAATACATTCAGGCGGAAGATTCCCAATGGACTTTTCAGTATCTAGATCAAGAGAATTTGACTGCCGTTGCCTCTGATCCTAGGGATTGCCAAAACGTGTAATGGTGATTTTAACACATTCTGCACTAGTTTCTGCATCTGGTTAACTTGTGAATTCTTTTCTCTAGCATGCCTCATGTATAATACATTGATGCCCCCAGTATGGGGGCAAAAGTTTTAGAGATCCTCCCGAGAGGGTGAAAATAATGAGTAGTTGTTCTCATCTGAATATGTTCAACTGTTTCAAAATCTACCTCTTTTTGTGAGAATCCATGGGATAAACCTCTTCAGTTGCTAGTACAAATTGAACACCTCTCTCTCTCTCTTTTTTTTTTTTTTTTGAGACTGAGTCTTGCTCTATTGCCCAGGCTGGAGTACAGTGGCTCAATATCAGCTCACTGCAACCTCCACCCTCCCAGGTTCAAGTGATTCTCTTGCCGCAGCCCCCAAGTAGCTGTGATTACAGATGCCCACCATCATGCCTGGCTAATTTTTGTATTTTCAGTAGAGATGGGGTTTCACCATGTTGGCCATGCTGGTCTTGAACTCTGACCTCAAGTGATCTACCCGCCTTGGCCTCCCAAAGTGCTGGGATTACAGGCATGAGCCACCGCGCCCATCCAAACACCTCTCTTTAATACCTGCATATCTCCCTTCCAATTAGGAAGGCATAGCTAGCCAGGTTCCAGGTCCCTTCAGGGAGCAGCAGAACTAACAGAACTAGCAGCACTGTGCAATCAATCATGTATTCAGTTGTCTTTGGGTAGGGTTAGCTCCAGGGAGCCAAAGACATCTGAATACATGATGGACTGCGCAGTGGAAAATGGAAACTGAGAATCCTCAATTCAGAAGATTTCCTGCACTTGTATCATAGCAGGGATATATGCTAATGTGGAGAGCAGATAAAAAGTTTTCTCAAACAATTTTGCATATATGTCAATTTTTTACTCTTCTTGGTTTTTATGATCTTGATAAATTGATGAATGATGGGGGAGAGGAAGAGTTAGCCTAATTTTTGTGTAATTATTTCTTCACAGCAGTAAAGAATGATACCGAAAGAAAATTTTGCTACCAACAGCTTCCGGTAACATTGAGACTAATATATACCATTTTCCAGGTATATTTTCTGATGTCTTTGAATACTTGGCTTGGTAGCATTACTGTTTTGGATAACTTAGTAACCATGTGGTTTTTTGTATAGGAAATGGCTAAGTTTGAAGAGCCAGACATTCTTTTTAATATGCTCAATTGCCTGAAGATTCTCTGTCTGCATGGAGAATGTTTATACATTGCCAGAAAAGATCACCCTCAATTTTTAGCCTACATTCAGGACCACATGTTGATTGCAAGGTACGTCTTCCTAATGGTTTGTTTTGATTGTTTATACATTAGGCTTTAGTTGTGAAAATTAAAGTTAGATTAAGATTTACTGGCTTGTTTGGGTTATTTTTTGAGCCAGGACAGCTCGATTGCCTATGATAACTACTTTTATTTTTCTTTTTTAGTCTAATTTAAAAGTACGTTAATACAAGGAATGGTAATTTCCATTTGCCTGATACTGAATAAATAGAAAAGTTAAAGTAAAAATTATTGTATGCCTTTCACTTGTTAGATGGCTTAAGAATATAGAAAATATAGAAAAATGCCAAAAAATACGTTAATATTTACCTAGTATAATTAAGTAAGGACTTACCTACCTTCTTACTTAAAATAGAACTGCTAATAGATGTCTAAATCTCTCCATATACTATCTGATAAGTTATTTTTTAGAGACTGGTGAGACATTTTGAAAATTATAATAAAACGTTACCCTAGATTTACAGCGTTTTTCCTCCTGAAAACCTTAAAATAACTTTTGCAATCTTCCTGGAAATAAATCAGAAACATCCTTATTTTATATGTATGAGAATGAGTCAGTAAAAAAGGAAAAGATTGGTTCAGGTTAACTTGATGACAAACCACATTGAGGCTCTATCTTTCTTTACTCATTTTGTTTATTTATTATTCATTCAACAAATATGAGGGCTTACTGTATACATTCTTGTTCTGGGTACTTAGGGAATTTGCAATCTAGTTTGGAAGGGGGTGAATCCTATATAGAGAAAAGGTGACCATATAATTTAGTATTCAAATTTGTGTACGTTTGAGAGTGAAGAGAGGTGGTCTTCATAATAACCCCAAGAGGATGAATATAAACTCGACAGTCTTGGTTAAACTAAGATTCATGGTCATGTATATGTAAGTCACTGTCAATCCAAGGGAATGTGATAAATGACTGCTTTATACAGCTCAGAGGTGGGAGAGAGCATTTCTGGATGAATGATGAATGATGAAAGGCTCTGGAGACAATACCACTTGAATGGGCATTGAGATAACGATAGAATTTTCATTGGTAGAGATTTGAGATGGGTGGGACATGTTGTAAAACCTGGGAATGTCAGGAGGAAACAGATAGCAGAGTTGGAAAGAAGGGACCAGAAATAAGCAGGGCATACTTGGGGGATACTGAAGCTTTATTTATTTATTTATTTATTTATTTTGCCGGATGGTGTGGATGTAAGGGAGTAATGGAAAATGAGGCTGGAGAAGTAGGTTGGGACCCAAGTATGAAGGGCCTTGAAGATAGGGATTTTATTTAATGATGTTTGGAGATCCATGGAAGACCTTAAAATAGAGTCAGAGGTGTGCTTTACTAGAATGAGTATGGAGAAAAGAGAGATTTTTGGAAAGCACCCAAATTTAAGAGAGTGCTAAGAGCACATTACAAAGCTTACTGAATATAAACACACAATGCAGAACTTTTTTCTGAAAGGTTTGTTAGAAGAGGAAAGGAAACATCAGATACTTAGAGAGAAAAGGGAGTAGACATTAAGGATTTTTAGGATAAAGAAAATCTGAACGGCCAGGTGCGATGGCTCATACCTGTAATCCCAGCACTTTGGGAGGCCGAGGCCGGCGGATCACGAGGTCAGGAGATCGAGACCATCCTGGCTAACACAGTGAAACCCTGTCTTTACTAAAAATACAGAAAAATTAGCTGGGCGTGGTGGTGGGCACCTTTAGTCCCAGCTACTCGGGAGGCTGAAGCAGGAGAATGACGTGAACCCGGGAGGTGGAGCTTGCAGTGAGCCGAGATCGTGCCACTACACTCCAGCCTGGGAGACAGAGGGAGACTCCGTCTCAAAAAAAAAAAAAAAAAAAAAAAAAAGAGAGAGAAAATCCGAACATATTTATGGTCAGTGGGAAAGGGCCAGAGAAAGAAAACAGTTAGTGGGTGCAAGTTCTGGAAGGCAGGAGAGTGTGCGATCAAGAACAAAAGGTAGGGTGGAAAACAGGAAGAATACCCTTTCCTTTGAAAGAAGATAAATTTTGAGGCAAAGAGAAAGTGTTAAGGGGAGTTTATAACGGCTGACTTAAGCCTTAAGAATATTAGGTGTTGATGTCTTCTCCTGAGAGATGATGACAGACATTGTGTTGGGAACTTCAGGAACATGGAAAAGAGTATGGGACAGCCTGCACGAGGAAAGCAGCAGGAAGTAAACAAGAAATAACCAAAGAATCACCAGCTTTAGGGTTCGGCTGAGGTTAGCTAGCACCAGTTTGCAGTGGACCAACTTAGTAGGGGTTTGGGTTTCTTTTTCTCCGGCGCTCAGGGGCTTAGGAGTGGACGAGAGCAAATGGGCAAAGGGTTTACTGGGGACCGGGGACTGGTGATATGGTTATGATGGAAGCTCAGAGGGATGAGGATTCCAGAGTGATGAAACGGTTGTCTCTGGGATCCATTCTACGATTGAAAGCAGATGAAGCCAGAAAAATTGATATTTGGGAGAAGAGTATGGAAAAGAGGGCAGAGGAGTCTCAGTCAGTATGGGCTGGGGGATGGGGGGGAAGTTGGGTGTTCTCAGCCTTATAGAGGGGAGGTCAGCATCTCATCCAGCAGAGTAAAGACAGAGGCCACTGGGGATGAGGAGGTGTGAATGAGACCAGGGCTTGATCCACTGATGGCATCTGCAGAGGCCCGCCTGAGGAGCAAGACTGAACTAGGTGCCTAATGGACCAAAGAATTGGGAGAGGACCCTGTGCATCAATGTCATGGGTTTCAAAAGAAAGAGGCTGCTAAGAGGAGGCCTGGAGGAAGTCTTGGGAAGCAAGGGTCATTTGGCCTGGTGAAGATGGGAGTCCAGACTCATTGAGACTCTAGACTCTCAAGAGAAAATCTTAAGGCCAGGCACAGTGGCTCATCCCTGTAATTCCAGCATGTCGGAAAATAGAGGTGGGAGGATCACTTAAGGCCAGGAGTTTTAGACCAGCTTGGGCAACATAGCAAGACCCCATCTCTGCTAAAACAAAATATTAGCCAAGTATGGTGGTGCAAGCCTTTAGTCCCAGCTACTGAGAGGCTGAGGTGGGAGGATTGCTTGATTTGAGGAGACTTTCTTCCATCTCTCCTGGGTTCTCATGGCTGCTGGCAATTGTTGGAATGTCTTGGCTATAGCTGCCTCACTCCAATCTTTGCCACATGGTCTTCTTCCCTGTGTGTCCCTGAGTGCCCCTTCCTCTTATTAGGGCACTAGTCATTCATTATATTTAGGACCCGCTCTATCCAGTAGGAACTCATCTTAACTGATGAAATCTAAATAAGGCCCCATCTTGAGGTTCTGATTGCACATGAATTTTCGGGGAGCACTCTTCAGCCCACTAGAGAAGCATACCATGAGAAAGGTGGAGGATCTATAGAAGTTTCTTCCCAAGAAAACAGGGATTCTACAGCTGCAGTGGGAGGAAGAAGCTGGGGAAAGGGAAAGGGCAGACATGGCTGACCTGGAGTGGGGAAGAGTAGGAATGACCCGGAGGGAACAGTGTGAAGTTCGAGACCATCAGCAGATCTGGACGAAAGGAGTGAGGGAAAAGGGTCGAGAGTTAGGCAGACGCTCCATGAATTCAACATGGGAATACGAGATGGGCATTATTTTTTATTGTGAAAGCAACCCCCCAGAATGTACACTTGCCAAATGGACTGTTAGTGCCATGGGACTACCCACTCGGCCTTTAGGGTCCATAGCCCAGGCTTTCTCCTTAAAGGGCCAGGTTTTCTCCGCAAAGTGCCACCATGACACAAAAACCATGATGGACAATGAAAGGACTTGTGGAAGAGATGCTCTGCCCCTTTCCAAACAAGTCTGCCCTCGAGAGCTGGGAAAGGCGAATGGGACTGGCCGAATCTTGGGCTTTGTCATGGAAATGGTTTTCTAGCTGGGCTGCCTGGTTTGCATTCTTCAACTACACCGGAAGTTCCATGAAGGCACAAATTATATCTTCTTTTTCCTTTGCACTCTTCCTAGGGCCTATTGTGCTCTGGAAGCATCATCGTCCTTGTAATCATGATGGTGGTAGCAGCTTCAGGTTTCTGCATACCTACTAAGTGCCATGCTCTCTGCACATCTTGTTTAAAGCCCACACTGGGAGGACACAAAGGTTTAGAGAATTTGCACATTGTTACACAGCTTATGAATGGCAGGGTTGGGATGAGGTCCCTGTTTGTCTGACTTCCACTTATTTAGATTAAGCATATGGCATTTAAAAAATCACTCCTTTTCATTCTATAGCTCTAGTATGCCTTCTGAAAAACAGCCAACTGGAGTGGCTCGTACCTCCATATGCTCTCTGTAAAATGGAGATGGCACGTGTCACTCTTCCCTTCTCTTACCGGTGCAGCATGAGCTATGTAAAGTCACAAATACAGGTGATCCTTGAACAATGGGGAGGTACAAATGTGCTGACCCCTGTGCAGTTGAAAATCCTTGTCTAACTTTTCTCTTCCCCAAAACTTAACCTCTAATAGCTTACTGTTGACCAGAAGCCTTATGATAACATAAAGAGCTGATTGACACATATTTTGTATGTTTTATGCATTATTTATTGTATTCTTACAATAAAGTAAGCCAGAGAAAAGAAAATGTTATTGAGAAAATCATAAGGAAAATGCATTTGCAGTACCGTACTGTGTTTATCAATACCGTAAGTTTATGCCATCTGTTTACAAGATGAATTGTCTGTTTGAAATGGTGAGCAGCTGCAGCTGCAGACCTCAAGCTATGGTACATGTCAAGCAATTCAACTTTTCCTAGCAACGTCGTGACTTTTGTCTGCTTTCTGGGAGCACTTCCAGCGTCACTAGTGGCACTTCGTATGGGACCCATGGTGCTATTCATGGTTTACGGTATTGCACTAAACACAATGAAAAAGACGCGAGAACTGCGAGGGATCACTTTTTACTGTGATTTGCAATTTACTGGAGAGAGGAACTGCTCACACAGACAGACAACACTTGAGCTCACCTGAATAGCAACAGGAGATGGCTACAAAATTATTGCTGTAGTACAGTGTGTACCACAGTTGGTTTTATGCAGTTATGATTTCATACTGCGTCTTTACATTTGCTTAACATTCCTCTCCACTGTGAGTGGCGCCACGTATGGTCTGTAAATGTTTGTGTGTGTAAGCTTTCATAAATTTTAACTTTTTATAATAGATTCGTGTATAATTTATGGTAGTAAATGTTAAAATAGACTAGTAACTACATATATTTTATACATTCATTACATAACTTTTCCTTTTTTTTTTTTTTTTTTTTGAGACTGAGTCTCGCTCTGTCGCCCAGGCTGGAGTGCAGTGGCTCAATCTCGGTTCACTGCAAGCTCTGCCTCCCGGGTTCACGCCATTCTCCTGCCTCAGCCCCCTGAGTAGGTGGGACTACAGGCGCCCACCACCACGCCCGGCTAATTTTTTGTATTTTTAGTAGAGACGGAGTTTCACTGTGTTAGCCAGGATGGTCTCGATCTCCTGACCTTGTGATCCACCTGCCTCAGCCTCCCAAAGTGCTGGGATTACAGGCGTGAGCCACTGCGCCTGGCCGACATAACTTTTCCTTAAATTTTTTCACTAGTTTTAGGCTACATGGTTCATCTGTGAACTTTTTAAAATTGTTGCAAATCTCCTAAAAAATTCAATATATTTATTGAAAACAATCCATGTATAAGTGGACCTGTACAGTTCAAACCTGTGTTGTTCAAGGGTCAACTGTAGTTTTGATTCTGATATTGACTCTGGAGTCAAATAGAAAACAAAACAAAACAAAACAACAACAAAAACAACCAAAAGGCATACTTTAAATAATTGAAAAAAATGGAAACAATAATGTATTATTACTAAAATATATTATATTCAGAATTATTCCTGTAGAACTTGATAGGAACTTAGCTGAAACTTGCTGAGGTGCAGGATGTTATCAGGGATCTCTTTCTCTGTCTTCTCCTCCTCCCCTTTCTCACTCCCTCCCCATCTCATAGCCCAACTGTGGCTTGGCTTCTTAAATGGAACTAAGTGTTGGCTTCTCCGTTAAGCACAGGCTGTCCCTGTGAGATGGGAAGGAGGGTCATTGGCAGTTGCAGGCTGACATCACCCTTCATTCCTGAGATTTCAGAAGGAGAGAGAGCCTCTTTCTCCCAGAGTGCATAACAGTCCCTGAAATAAGAGTTCTGTTATTCCCATGCTTGGGTCATACGCCTTCTCCTAGCTAATCACTTTATTCAGGTTGTTGACGTTCTTTGATCAGCCTGTTTGTGTTCCCCCTTATGATAGAGAAGGTTGGGGAGCTTGATTGATGACCTGTCTGTTCTTGGAGAGGCTGTTATTAAGAGAAAAAGAGTTGTTCTTTGACATCATAAGAGGCTGGGCAGGCCAAACCAACCAAACTTGCCAGATGCTCACTGTAAGAAAATTTTTAAAAATCACGTATTACTCCATCATCCTAACGTACCTAATTTTGACTTTGTATATTACTGAAGCCATTTATTTATATTGCTGAATTTACATTATGCAGATTTTTAAGTTATAAAATGTAATGTTAAGTAAAAGTGCTTTTCTGCAGTGTCACGTTAAGAGGACAGAGCATAGGAAACGTCTGTCAGAGGATTATCCTCTCGTGGATGAGTGTCATTTCACCAAAAGCACCCCTACCCACCGTCTTGTAACTACTCTTGCCATAAATTAAGAGGACAGGATCTTTTTCTGGAAAAGTTGTGATAACTGTCACCACTTTGCTTCTCCTTGATTCCCTAGCCTGTGGAGGGTCGTCAAATCCGAGTTCTCTCAGCTGTCTTCCCTGGCAGTCCCTCTTCTCCTCCATGCCCTGTCACTTCCTCATGGTGCTGACATCTTCTGGACAATCATAAATGGCAATTTCAACAGCAAAGACTGGAAGATGAGGTTTGAAGCAGGTACCTCTGTGTTAGCTTAAAACTCATTCTGGGTCACACAGTACACGGGTGTCTGGTCACGGCATCTTTTTTGGCACCTCCTTTCTTGTCCCTTCTTTTTAAAAGGCATTCTCCTGCTGGCTGGTGTCCTTTGGGGGTTCTGCTTTGAGCTTCCTCTCTAAAATAACAGCATTTTGCAGAGTGGTCCTTAGGGAGGGTGGTCCTGTCCAGGTTTGCATAGGACAGACCCAGCTTATGCCTGTTACCCAAGTGTAGCGATTAACTGCACCCATGTTTACTCCCAAACAGACACTGGCTTGGATTCAGTCAACCTATGAGTTTACTTGCATCGGTTACTGGGAATGTTTGTTAAAATGCACATTATCTGGCCACATCCTAGAGCTACCGAATCAGAATCTCAGTGGGAGGTGGGGGTGATGCCAGAAATTGAGGTTTTTTGTGTTTTTTTTTGAGACAGAGTCTTGCTGTGTTGTCCAGGCTGAAGTGCAGTGGCATGATCTCGGCTCACTGCAACCTCTGCCTCCTGAGTTCAAGTATTTCTTGTGCCTCAGCCTCCCAAGTAGCTGGGGCTACAGGTGCATGCTACTACACCAGGCTAATTTTTGTATTTTTAGTAGAGACAAGGTTTCAGTATGTTGATCAGGCTGGTCTTGAACTCCTGACCTCAGGTGATCTGCCCACCTTGGCCTCCCAAAGTGTTGGGATTACAGGCATGAGCCACTGTGCTGGGGCAGAAACTGAGATTTTTAATAAGAGGTTCAAGAATCTCTGCTGTATACCCTTGCCACTGAGGGATCAGGGACCAAGTCTGGTGCAGCTTGGGTATAATTTCCTAGTAAATAGAACAGCAGGTTCTCAGAGTAATGTGGTAAGGAAGGAACCTGGGAGGGTTCTCTTAGCCTCATGTCTGCTGGCCCACTCTCACTCCAATCTGCTAGTAGTTCCATTCTCGGGGTAGCAGGCGGGGTCGGCATGCCACAGTGTGGCTTCTCAGAACAGTTCTGTAGGTTTGTGTCTCAAAAGTTTGGCACAGAAATGGAAGTTTCATCAGTGAGGTAACTATTATACCTTTAGTTCAGTTCCTTAATATATGGCCACTTCAAAACGTTCTTGCTTTTTAATGCCCACAGGAATCTCAGGGGCTAGTTAGTATATATATATGACAGCACATCATGTTGTGGAGGGTTAGGATTAATCTTCTGAATCTCGGCTCTGGTTATGTTACTTCTCTTTCTTTCCTTTTTTTTTTTTCTGTTTGTTTGTTTGTTTTGAGATGGAGTCTTGCTCTATTGCACAAGCTGGAGTGCAGTGGAGTGATCTCGGCTCACTGCAACCTCTGCCTCCCGGGTTTAAGCGATTCTGTTGCCTCAGCCTCCTGAGCAGCTGGGACTACGGGCACCTGCCACCACACCCGGCTAATTTTTGTATTTTTACTAGAGATGGGGTTTCGCCATGTTGGCCAGGCTGGTCTTGAACTCCTGACCCCAGATGATCCACCCACCTCGACCTCCTAAAATGCTGAGATTACAGGCATGAGCCACCGTACCCGGCCAAGGTCATGTTACTTTTCTATTCAAGAAATTTTAATGGGGTTTTTTTGAATGCCTAGAGAATAAAGTTCAGACTCCTTAAACTGCCATTCAGATGGTCTGACTGCAACTGCAGGCAGCCTCATTTCCTGCGCTTCTTTCTACACACACCCTTGCTGTGTTCCCATTGCTTCCTGCCTCCCTTCATCCACGCGGGGGCCATTCTGGGCTCTCCACCTTTCATCCTCTTTCCTTTAAGGCCCTACACAAATGCCACCTCCACATGATCCACCTTCAAATGCCGCCATTGAGGTCCACCTTCTAGGTCCCCCCTGTGGAGAGTGGTTTATGTATCCCCGGATCTCCCATAGCATTTTATTTATACCACACTAGAGGCATTTACAGCTTTTTCAAAGTCATATTTCAGCTATAGTTGTACGTGTCTTATCTATTTTAGTCAATTTAACTTTGAGGTCAAGAGTTATGAATGATTCCTCTTTCCATTTACTTCTATCTCCTCCCAAGTGCCTAAGATAGTTTCTTAGTGGTATACATATGTGTGCTTAATATATATATATTTTAAAATAAGCGAATCAGTGAATTTATTGAATAAATTAGATATGTGCTAGGTGCTATGGGAGCAATAGAAAGAAGTGTAAGAGCAGATTGCTGTCCTCAGGAGGCTTCCGGTTTAATTGATGAGATCAAATATAAGCATGTAAGAGGTTGACAAATTATAAAAGGCATAAATATAATCAAGACCACAAAATAAAATATGTCATATAATGAGCACATATTGTGTTCATAGCTCATATTCTGAGCACACAAATGCAATATGTAAATTAATGATATGCAAATGAGTAGTACTTTTACAGGAGTTCATGGGATGGAAAGGCCACTCTAGGAGATCAGAGAAGACTTTACAAAACAGAATTTCAGCAGAGATTCTCTAAGGATGGTAGAATGTCAATAGGAAGAATACTGTAGGCTGGGTGCAGTGGCTCATGCCTGTAATCCCAGCACTTTGGGAGGCCAAAGCAGGCAGATCTCTTGAGGTCAGGAGTTCGAGACCAGCCTGGCCAACATGGTGAAACCCTGTCTCTACTAAAAATACTAAAGTTAGCTGGGCATGGTGGTGCCTGCCTGTAATCCCAGCTACTTGGGAGGCTGAGGCATGAGAATCACTTGAACCCGGGAGATGGAGGTTGCAGTGAGCTGAAATCGTGCCACTGCACTCCAGCCTGGGCAACAGAGTGAGACTCCATCTCAAAAAAACAAAACAAAACCAACAAACAAAAGAATATTCTAGGCTGTTGCAATAGCTTAAGCAAAATACTGAAACGTCTTAATTTGCATTGCACTATATTGCTTTGCTAGCTGTTGTAACTTTTTATAAAGCCATGCTTTAAGTGTGGATGGAATTGTTTAACATTGATTTGCAGAATAATTAGAAATCTATCAAGTAAGCGTATATTTATAGCATGGAAGAAATACCTGGCTTCGATAGCCCCAGGAAATGTCTATTTGGTCTGCCATTTCACACCACGACCTACTAAGAGTAGAGCAGGGGACCAGAACCCAGAGCCAGTACTGGTGGGCACCTCCTACCTCTCTGTTATCTGCAGAGCTTCTATGGAATGGCCACAGAAAGAAGCATAGAGGCATTTGGAATATTTTGAAATATAGCTGAAAGTTAAACAAAGAGAAAGACCATGAAAAAATTGTAAAAGACAACCCAGAGTTAGATCAAGGCTGCGTGGGAAAAAAAAGTTCTGCTCTGAGTAGAAAGAGTCTCTGCTGCACAGATGAAATGGAACACTCGAGATGGTGGTATTAGACTTTCCTGTTGGGATTTAAAGTAAACCATGCGGGAGACCCAGAGTTAACTTTTTGTCTGTGAGTTCAGTTCTCAGACTGGCTAAATAAATGTGTATGCGTGTGCCTGTAGGTGTGTGTGTATTTACGTATTTTGCCTTCTCTTTTACATTGCAGTGGAAAAAGTTGCTGTAATTTGTAGATTTCTGGATATTCACTCAGTAACCAAAAACCACCTGCTGAAGTACTCCCTGGCACATGCCTTCTGCTGCTTCCTGACAGCAGTGGAGGATGTCAACCCCGCAGTGGCTACCAGAGCTGGTCTCCTGCTTGACACCATAAAGAGGCCAGCATTGCAGGTGACATGTGATTTGTGTTATCTGCTCCGAAGGTGGTTTGTGTCAGCACTACTAAATCATTGCGTTGTTTGTCACGTCCTAGTCTGTTTGACCTGCTATAACAGAATACCATAAACTGGGTAGTTTATAAACAACAGAAATTTATTTCGCAGATTGTCTGCCGAGGGCCTGCTGTCTAGTTCATAGATGGGGCCTTTGCTGTGTCTGGGGCCTCTTTCATAAGGGCACTAGTTCCATTCATTAGGGCCCTGCCCTTATGACCTAATCATCTCTCAAAGCCCCACCTCCTAATACTATCATATTGGTGATTTAGTTTCAACAGGAATTTGGGGGTGAGGCCCTTGCACACATTTTCAGACCATAACATCACATATAATATTGACGATGATGATGGAGATTTTTTAACTGGAAGAAATATACCAGAACCACATCTTGCTAAAAGATCCCTTGTTGTTATTTGTTGATGCCACTTTTTTTTTAAGACACAGTCTTACTCTGTTGCCCAGGCTGATCATAACTCTCTGCAGCCTGAAACTCCTGGGCTCAAGTGATCCTCCTTCCTCAGCCTCCTGAATAGCTAGGACAACAGGTATACATCACCACACCCACCTAATTTTTAACTTTTTTTTTTGTAGAGACAGGATCTTGCTATATTGCCCAGGCTCGTCTTGAACTCCTGGCCTCCAGCAATCCTCCCGCTTTGGCCTCCCAGAGTGCTGGGATTATAAGCATGAGCTGTACTGCCTGGCCCATTTGTTGATACTTTCTTTTCAGTCTTTGTTCATATGCTGATATTACTTTGGACAGATGTAATTATTGCATAACGTGTGTGTGTGTGTGTGTGTGTGTGTGTGTGTGTGTGTGTGTGTGGCAGATTTTAAAACTAGGTTGGTTTATCTTACACCACTTAGCTAGCTCCTGGGCTGGAGGCCTCTGTTGTTAGAGCCTTGATGCTAACAGAAATCAGATAAATTATAGTTTTTTGCTTTGTTTTGTTTTGAGATAGAGTCTCATTTTCTTGCCCAGGCTGGAGTGCAGTGGTGTGATCTCGGCTCACTGCAACCTCCGCCTCCCGGGTTCAAGTGATTCTCATGCCTTAGTCTCCCGAATAGCTGGGACTACAGGCTTACGCCGCCACGCCTGGCTAATTTTTGTATTTTTAGTAAAGACAGGGTTTTGCTATGTTGGCCAGGCTGGTCTCGAACCCCTGGCTTCAAGTGATTCGCCTGCCTCGGCCTCCCAAAGTGCTGGGATTAGAGGCCTGAGCCACCACTGCGCCTGGCCTGAATTATAGTTTTAATCAAAGTAAAACATGAGAAGGTAAATATGCTACCATAACAAAACTTCACAAATTAAAGCCAAAGAGACAAGAAATATGAGACCTGGAGAGAGTGGTATATTTATCTTGTTTGGAACCTTTATTTTTTAGTGGAGACACCAAGTCTCAGAGAGATAATGTGACTTATCAAAGGACACAAAGTGATTTAATGAGAAAATCAAGATTAGAGCCTCCAAAGTTCTGATCTACTGTTTCTCCATGTTGCATCTGATTTATTATTTTGTTGTTATTATTCAACTAATGATAGCAAGAGCTGACATTCCTCAGATAGCTACTGTGTTTCCAGGGCAGTGTGTTAAAAGTGTCCTGTTATGCATTATCTTATTTAATCCTCACAGTTACCTTTTGTGTGTTCTCATTTTATGGATAGAGATGCTGAGAGTTAGAAAGGTTAAGCCACCTTTTCAGAGTCACATAGCTAGTTATCTGCAGAGGAAATTCAGCACTGATTTATAATACAGTCCACATACTTAAGTGTGTGTGTGTGTGTGTGTGTGTGTGTGTGTATGTGTGCATACACTGTCTCCCAATCCAGTGTAAACTTCTTCCTGCATTTTAAGACCAAGAAGCAAGGGCAAGCTTGCACGACCTGAAAGACTGAAGGGTTATGCTGCCTGTGGCACATTCTTTTTTTTGTAAAATCTCCAGTTGACTTCTGAATAGTTCTTCTCTGTTGATCTTACCAGGTACTTCTATGTCCTACCCCTGCTTAGGGCCTGGAACATAGGAGGCACTCATTAGATGACAGCTGAATTAATGAATGGGATGTTTGGATGAATTGCAATTTTTAAATCTCATTCTGTTAAAAAGAGGGGGAATGGTAAACTCAGACACTAGAGGAACAGGTTCTCAATCCATTCCAACTTTGATTAACATTCTATGTTCCACTCACATTCCAAGAAAACCAGGTGACTTTGCTTTTTTCGGAATCATGAAATTTTGGATTGAAAGTAGATTTCTAGACCATCTTTCTGTGTATTCTAAAATGTAACTTTGAAAGTACGCTTCTCTTAATGACTACAGGCATTAAAACCAGATGCAGCTGGGCGTGGTGGCTCGCGCCTGTAATCCCAGCACTTTGGGAGGCCAAGGAGGGCAGATCACGAGGTCAGGAGATCGAGACCATCCGGCTAACACAGTGAAACCTCGTCTCTACTAAAAATACAAAAAATTAGCCGGGCGTGGTGGCGGGCGCCTGTAGTCCCAGCTACTTGGGAGGCTGAGGCAGGAGAATTGCTTGAACCCGGGAGGCGGAGGTTGCAGTGAGCTGAGATCCCATCACTGCACTCCAGCCTGGGCGACAGAGTGAGACTTCATCTCAAAAAACAAACAAAGAAACAAACAAACAACAACAACAACAAAAAACCCAGATGCATTGACTTGAGGGTATTTGGATTAAGTGGTTATTATTTAACACATTAGAAAACCAATAGCATGCATTTAGTTCAGATTTCTGAATCAAAATTCAAGAGATATTCTACAAGGAAGATAAATTCCTCTTCTACATTTTTCTTTCCTACCAAAACTTCGAATCAAAAAAGATTCCAGTGGGATCATTCTACATTATAAGTTTGAATTGAGTAGGCTGCCTTGTTTCATTGACTTTGCCTAGTATATCGGCTTTGAAGTAACTTAGATGTTTATATCTGACTTTCTTCTTTTCTTTTTTTTTTTCCTCCTCTTTCCCAGGGTCTATGTCTTTGTCTTGACTTCCAGTTTGATACTGTGGTTAAAGACAGACCCACAATTTTGAGCAAGCTTTTACTCTTGCACTTTCTTAAGCAGGATATTCCTGCTCTGAGCTGGGAGTTCTTTGTCAATAGATTTGAGACGCTTTCTTTGGAAGCCCAGCTACATTTGGATTGTAACAAGGAATTTCCTTTTCCTACAAGTAAGTAAAATGAAGAACTTGCTGTAAACCGTTGCAGTTCCCATTGTGCTTGCCTAGACAAACAGAAGACATTGGCATGTCGTTTAATTCCTCTACAGAGGATGCCTTGACCTCATGCACTCAATTCATTAAATGATTATTGAATAGCTGCTGTAGTAATCCATAGATTTAAGCATATCCTGGCATTCCAAAATCAGAATTCTTTTCATTTCCTTGACCTATGATAACCATTTATGACTGTGTGTTCCCTAAATATGATTCAGTCATTATGTTTATAACATTTGTGAGCAATTTTAGGAAGCATATTTGCACCTTGCAAACTCACTCTTGCATACTTTCTAAATTTCAATAGTTTTGGGGACATAGGTGGGTTTTGGTTACATGGATAAGTTCTTTAGTGGTAATTTCTGAGATTTTGGTGCACCCGTCACCTGAGCATTGTACATTGTACCCAATGTGTAGTCTTTTATCCCTCACCCCCCTTCCACCCTTCCCCCCAAAGTCCCCAAATTCCGTTCTGTCATTCTTATGTCTTTGCATCCTCATAGCTTAGCTCCCACTTACAAGTGAGAACATACGATATTTGGTTTTCCACTTCTGCATTACTTCACTTAAAATAATGTTCTCCAACTCCATCCAGATTGCTGTGAATGCCATTATTTCATTCTTTTAAATGGCCAAGTAGTATTCCATGGTACATATGTATACCACATTTCCTTTATCCACTTGTTGATTAATGGTCATTTAGGCTGGTTCCATATTTTTGCAATTGTGAATTGTGCTGCTATAAACATGCATGTGCAAATGTCTTTTCCTATAATGACTTCCTTCCTTCTGGGTAGAGACCCAGTAGTGGGATTGCTGGATCAAATGGTAGTTCCACTTTTAGTTCTTTAAGGAATCTCCATACTGTTTTCCAAAGTGATTGTACCAATTTACACTCCTACCAACAGTGTAAAAGTGTTCCCTTTTTACCACATCCCCACCAATATCTGTTATTTTTGGATTTTTAAATTACGGCATTCTTGCAGGAGTAAGGTGGTATCTCATTGTGGTTTTAATTTGCATTTCCCTGATAATTAGTGATGTTGAGCATTTTTTCATATGTTTGTTGGCCGTTTGTATATCTTCTTTTGAGAATTTTCTATTCATGTCCTTTGCCTACTTTTTGATGGGATTATTATTATTATTTTGCTGATTTGTTTGAGTTCCTTATAGATTCTGGATATTGGTCCTCTGTCAGATGCATAGTTTGCAAATATTTTTCCCCATTCAGTGGGTTGTCTGTTTACTCTGCGGATTATTTTGTTTGCTGTGCAGAAACTTTTTAGTTTAATTAGGCTCCATCTGTTTATTTTTGTTTTTGTTGCATTTGCTTTTGAGTACTTGGTCATGAACTCTTTGCCTAAGTCAATGTCTAGAAGAGTTTTTCTGATGTTGTCTTCTAGAATTTTTACGGTTTCAGATCTTAGATTTAGCCTTTGATCCATCTTGAGTTGATTTTTGTATAAGGTGAGATACGAGTATCCAGTTTCATTCTTCTAGATGTGGCTTGCCAATTATCCCAGCACCATTTATTGAATACAGTGTCCTCTCCCCACTTTATGTTTTTATTTGCTTTGTTGAAGATCAGTTGGCTGTAAGTATTTAGCTTTGTTTTTGGGTTCTCTATTCCGTTCCATTGGTCTACAAGCCTATTTTAATACAAGTACCATGCTGTTTTGGTAACTATAGCCTTGTAGTATAGTTTAAACTCCAGGAATGCGATGCCTCCAGATGCATTCTTTTTGCTTAGTCTTGCTTTGGCTATGTGGGCTCTTTTTTTGGTTCCGTAGGAATTTTAGAGTTGGTTTTCTAGCTCTGTGAAGAATGATGATGGTACTTTGATGGGAATTGCATTGAATCTGCTGCCCAGGCTGATGTGTAGTGGTGTCATCATAGCTCACTGCAACCTCCAACTCTTGGGCTCAAGCAGTCCTCCCAGCTAATCTTCCTGAGTAGCTAGGACTATGGGGGTGAGCCACCATACCTGGCTAATTTTTCCTTTTTTGTAGAGATGGGGGTCTTGCTATATTGCCCAGGCTGGTCTCAAACTCCTGGCCTCAAGGGATCCTCCCACCATGGCCTCCCAAAGTGCTAGGATTACAGGCATGAGCCACCACACCTGGCCTCTTGCTTAGTTATTAATCAGTTACCTACAGCTCTGAATAGGTGGAGAAAAGACTTTTGTCACTCAACTATCCAATGATAACAAAATTAGATAATTTAATCTTGTGGTCTAAGCAGAAAAAAAATCATGATAGGCAATAGTTATTTTTGTATGTAGGACTCATCATAGAGGGAGATGTATATCCATGAAAAATGTATTTTAATATTGAAACTCTACACAGATGGATTGTTTTAGACTAGGTGGATTACAAAGCCCTGTGTAAAGGAGAGTGATAGTCTCTTTAATTCCTTTTGCAAAGCCATCACTGCTGTGAGGACCAATGTTGCTAACCTCAGCGATGCAGCCTTATGGAAGATCAAGAGAGCTCGCTTTGCAAGAAACCGCCAGAAGAGTGTACGTTCCCTGAGGGACAGCGTGAAAGGGCCTGTGGAATCCAAGAGGGCGCTCTCCCTCCCTGAGACCCTGACCTCCAAAATTCGTTGAGTATCTTCTTTCATCCTTCCGTTAAATCTGTTTAATGTCTTTCTGAGGCTGACTTGTCTTGTTGAATGTTCACAGAGAGTATAGCATGTTTAGCAAACTGAGTTTGTTCAATAAGTTTGGCTTTCAGATTCCCTAGAGAATCACTTCAGGGGTATAAATGCCTAGGGTTGCTTTTCCTAGTTTGCTGGGGTAGCAAAGCCCTGATCCAACAGTAGATGTTTTTGAAATGTAAAAGGCAGCAAATGCATTGATGCTTGGCATGCAACTTAGAAGAAACATTTGCTCCTAAGTCCTAGGACACCAAAGTTTGCACCACCAGCCTTGTATCCTAAGAGCTTTCTGAATAAGACTTAGACAATAAGACCTATCATGGCTAAGGAGGGACAGTTGAAATTTGGAATGTATTTTTTTTTTCATGTCTGATAGAAGCAGCCACACAAGCCCCCTAAGACAAACCAATAATAATGATTGCTTTTGAAATAGAGAAATCGGGCTGAGAAATTGAATTTCTGCTCATCTTCACCAGATAATTTATAAATAAAAATAAGCTTCATTGCCAATATTTTAAAAAAGACCATATATACTTGCTCTATAAAAGGTCTTTCTTTATATTATAGTTTTAAAGAGAATAAAATTTTCCTTAAATTACCAAATGACTAGATAAACTCTAATGATTAGTAATGACTCATGAAGGACAAATAATTAAAAATTCATTACTAAATCACCATACTAATGAATATGTTTAAATATATTACTAACTTGTAAAATTTATTAAATGATTTAATCTTCAAATAATCACTGTGAAGTAAATAAAATAATGACCCAAAACCTATTTCTTATCCTGTCAGAAGTTGAAAGGTCTGTTTTTCATTGGCATTTATTAGAATACAGCCTTATATAACATAACCATTTATAATCATAAATATGATTTGATTTTATTCATTACATTTTCTCTATTTTATGACAAGCTATGGAAATGTGTTCTTTTAAACTTTGAGAGAGTTAAGTATGAATGAAAGTTCTTTAAGTAATCAATAACACAGTTTTTCAGGGAGCAAAGATAATCACAGGTGATCATTTAAGAATAGCCAGTGGTAGTGCTAGGCCCCAGGTGAAACTGTTTAAATCCTAGAAACCAATACCTAGATTAAATAAATAACAAATTTTATATGAGTTTCCCAGCTCTATTTATATCCTAACTGATAAGTTTAGAATATAAAGTATATTTATTGTTATTTCTTGTTCATTAATTCACATGACAATTTTGAAGATGAAGTAACATTGAAGGATGTTCTTATGATTCAGATAAAAACTGCAAAACGTTTGTTACATAAACAACTTTTATGTGATGTTAATTCAAATAGAAAAATGAAACCTGCCCCTACTATCCCATAAAGTTAGCACTGAGTATATTTTCTAGGCTCCAGTTGTCTGTAATGCTTATTTAAATAGAGTTGTTGTTGATTTTTAAGCTATGAGGTTGACCAGGCATGAGCAGTCTGCTCCAGCTCTCGGTGGGACACCCGAACAGACGCCAGGTGGGTACTTCTGACATTGAAGGGCCATGTACAAGTGTCTATCACAGGTGGACAAGGTAGAGAATGCGGTGTCTCTAACTGGACCAGGGTGATATACCTAGGATTTGCAAGCTCAGAAGGGTCTTACCCCAGATGTTCAAGTGTTTGAACCCCTGATATGGCAATTCTTTCCATTTTGATATTAACAGATGACTTTTGATTCTATTAACTTTTGGTCCAGTAAGAAGCATCATATCACCTGAGTCTGTACCTTTCCCCAGAGAGCCAGTATGACTAGAGCTATCCATAGTATTTATATTTGTATGTGTCTTTACACATAGAAATATTTTGTTCATACATATCTGCTATAGGAAAACCATACATTTCATTTACATTTTAAAAGGTTATACATTTGAACCACTGTCATCCGCTCATCCCCTTAGCCATTCCTGATTCTTTGCAACTGTACATGCATTTCTGTTTCTCAGAGAAAGGAGAATTTCCTCTGTTTGGAGGACCATAGCATGATACAGTTTAATGATCATTTGATGTTCTGTGATATATTACAATTTATCATGAAGTAGCCTAAGAGGGCATTGGCAAGGAGATTCCACATGAATGGTGCCGTGACTCACTGGGAAGATTGTGAAGGTTCCGAATACCTGCTTATTAGTCAAAAACAAATTTGGTAACTCCCACCTATGTATCATGCTATAGAACATTTGAGTTTTCATCTAAGACTACTAGTTTTAAGGTAAATGTTTCAGAATGGTACAGACATTCTCAGAAGGAAAATTTCAAGTAAGGAGACTTTAAAGATCATTGTGTTTTATAAAAAGGACGTTTGAAAGAGAGGGAGTCCGAAGTGGGAGGGGAGAGAGAAAATCCCAGAGATCAACCAGGCAGACAGCAGATGGTGGCCAAAGTCTTTTCTCTTTTAAAATTGATGAGAAAAAAGGAATAGCAAACATTTGGTAGAGCCCCTCTACCTTGCCTTACACATCGCTCATGTACGCTACTGTGCTGTGATTTTTTTTAAAAGAATAAAAATAAGAACTTCTGATTCAAAGCTTCATTAGAAATATGAAATCCATGCAGTTCCCCTTCAGTGAGGCATTTTTGAGATTGTTCTTAGTCAGTTTCATAAATTATCTTTATTTTACTCTAGCTTGTCTCTTTGTCTTAAAGCTTAGCTGAGAAGCTAGTCTTTCATGATAATTATCCATTTTAACAATCCAACCCAAGAAGTCCCCTCACATTTCTGTGGGAAAACATGTACATGTGTTTCTTGCAGTTAAAAAAAGCCTTCAGGCATCTAATTATTCCACCAAAAGTGGCCAGATGGAAAAGAGGCAGATAACAGCATTGTTTAAATTAAATATGAAGCTAAAGCTTCAGGAAAGGTAATTTACATGACACCATCATAAGCAAAACTTGCTTAGATATGGAAATAGCTGGCTCAGTTTATAAGGCAATTTCAAACTACTGTAGGGTTCCATTTTTGCATTATTATTTACTGGACCCTGACTGTTTCTAACTTGGAAGCAAGGACATGCCAGATTTATCGTAAGATTGTGGAGAATGGTTTAAGACAGTAATTAAATGGAAACTGAAGAACTTGCTACTTAACGAACATACTTTTTTTGGTCCAAGTAATGAGCTCCTCTTTGCGGACCTCTTATTGATTAGACTTGAAATAAAGCAGATTCCCCTTTATACAACAAGATTTAAATTTAATTGCTGTTTAGGTTGAACTTTTTGGCAGTGGATTTACAATTTATGACTCTCTGATCTTAACCTTTACATAATACCCACAGAAAATGGAATAGAAAATTCTGTTTTCTATAGAAAGTATACTCTGCAAGGTTTGCAGAGAGTCACATTTCTCTATGACTTTTCAAATCAAAGGCTTTGTGCATCTAAATAAAATTCATAGAATCTTATAGCTGAAACATTAGTGATGTGTTAACAATCTCATTTTATAGAGGAAGAAACTGATTCTCACAAAAGAACAAGCTTGTTGGTGACTGTTCTGGGTCTCAAGCCCAGAGGTCCTGAGCTCTGTAACAAGGCAAGTAACTGCCCGTAGGAATTCAGCACCTTCATTTCATCCTAATTGATGGGATACACAATCTTTTTAACTGCTACTACAATTTGTATGATTAGACGTAAGGAGTACTTTCACTGGTGCTGTAAGAACCAGGAAATTTTGTCTTCATATATTTAGAATACTGATGAAGATTAATTGAATAGAATGCAGCAGTTATTATGTTATATAAGCACAATACTGAACTAATGGTATCAATCCCATGTGAACATAGGGTGCTTAATTATATCATGTTCCTCATCGCCTGGAACGCATAATTAAACAATAATAGGTATGTAATAATGATAATCCTTCCTGTATATATAGTATCTCTTTACTTACAGGAAAACTAATGTAGTGAGGGATTAAGTGATTCTGCTTTGGTGATTGCTTAAGGTCACATATGACTAACTAGTTAGGATCAGAACTGATGCTGGCATCCAAGGGATTTGGCTTTCTTTCTTTCTACCACAACTACCTCTTGATGAACTGGTCTTAGGGTATTTCTGCCCTGTGGGACGTGAGGACACCAGTCTGGTTATGGAGTTGGCCTGGGCTTTCAGGCCTGCTACAGAGTGGCTTAAGGCCATGAGTGTCCAGACCAAAAGACTTTGCCAGTTAGGACCCCAGATTGGTCCAGAGCTATCCCCATCTCTCGTGGGACTCGCGTACTCCAAGTTCTGCCTCAGCCTGCAGAGAAACCTGGAGATCTCTTGGCCTGCATTTGTATCCATAAGAGAAGGTGCCCAGTACTAGTTAGGATCAATAAAGCACTCTTGCATTGACCTTTCCTGTCTCCTTAGTGTCCCAGCCTAGAATTCCAAATAGCTTTTCTTTGGGCTCTTTCTTTCTACAGATGGTTTATGATTCACTTCTTCACTAACTTGCAAAATGCCTATTGACCATTAAGATCCAGTAAGTCAGAGTACAGTTGTTTTTATAGGAATACTCTTGTTTGAAGATATGTTTTTTGGAAGTGACAATTTTTGTTCAACAAATATTACAAATACTTTTTTTGAGATGGGGTCTTGCTATGTGGCTCAGGCTGGTCTTGAGCTTCTGGGCTCAAGGGATCCTCTCACCTCAGCCTCCCGAGTAGCTTGGATCAGAGGTGTGTGCCACAAATGCTTGTTCAACAAATATTTATTTTTCACCTGCTGGACTAGGAAATACGAAGAATACAAAGATGCTTTGGAAATTTTTATACTCTTAACTTGCTTACGGCCAAGTAAGGGATATTAAGTATGAACATCAGTAAACTCTCATCTTGAGTGAAAGTGACAGTACGTAGGATGAGTCATGTCAAATGCAAAGGGAGGGGAGCTTTCTACCAGCTGGAGACATCAGGGAAGGTCTCATGGACAGGTGGCTTTTCAGCCAGGCTTGATTGGTGGATGAGACATAAACACATGATAATAGGATGTGGAATAGGAAGGAGAAAAGGCAGGGATGGGGATCATAGGAGGATATGAAGTTAGCCACTGCCCCAGCTTTCCAGCCCTGCTGTGGATATGTGCACACACAAGGGAAAACTGAGGTAAGGAAGCAGGGAGATGAGCGAGGCAGTGTAGTGAGAGCTGCCTGTGGAATGGAACCTCATTTATAGTGCTTACTCATTGGCTGCCCTGGACCAAGTGCAGAGTAAGCTCATGGAGGGATCCTTTCTTCCTCTACCTAATTGTCACTTGTTGGTTTGGCAGAGGGGTCAGTGAGTCAGTTCACATAGAGAAACGTTCCAATATTCCTGCTGCTTTGGGACTTTATCAATTTTTCTCTTATACAGAATGTAAGCTCTGACATATTTATTTGAGTTTAGTGCACTTTGACAGACATTTATGTATAATAAGTATCTACTATATGTCAGACATTGGCCCCTATTCTGTGAGGGATATAAAGATGGATAAAATATGTCATTTGCCTTCAAGAAGCCTATGTTCTTATTGGAGTATTAAGGCAAATGAATACACAAAATGTTCTGCCTTGCATAATTGTCATTGGCCACATGGGAGTTAGGAAAATGCTGAAGGAAATTTTCCTCCATTCTTTTTTTCTCTCCTGTCCTCCCTCCTTTCTTGTCCTTAGAAATTTAAAGAATTTAGGGATCACATCCAATTGCTGAGAGGAATATTGGGTATATCTAATAAGAATGGCTTTTGGGGACCAGTTTATAGCACAAAATTGTTGGGGGAGGGTAGAGAACCACCTTGCAAGGTGAAGAGAGCACCATGAGCAAAGGTGCAAAGAGGGAAAAACGGCTCCATTCTGAGATCCACGAGTAGCCCAGCTTGTAAGAACGTTGACCATTTCGGGTGAAATAATAGGAGATAAGTCTGGAAAAGCAGATCCTGATCCTGCCTGGTTTCAAATCATCTGAATAAATAATGCTGTATTACACTTTGGAGTTTCAATCAGTTACACAGCTCTGTGGGCAGATTGTCATGGAATCAGTCCACATTAAAGGTATGGTAGGAATAGCTCTGCCTCCATAATTATAATTATAAATATATTTTCTCTTTATAGAAAATATAACGTCAGACCCTTTAACATGTTAAATCTCTATGGTTAGGACAGATATAGGAATTTCACAGACTAGAATTCAATACTATTAAGTGTTTTGTTTTCTTAGAGAAAATGCTTGTAGGCATTTAGTTTTGAAATGGAAATTTCATACCTTTTCTAGGTTAAAACATTAATATTGTCTTTATCGATGGAGAACATTTCAGCTTATCCACAACTCATTTTTCTTAGGGATTTGATTAAGGTAACTTGTCTTTATGAAGAGTGCACCAGTCACAAGCTTACTCTATTTCAAAGAGAGGCAATAAACGAAGTGCAGATTTGCAAAGCCCACTCTGGAGGGGTAAATTATTAGAATAAAAGGAGATTAACATTTTTTTATGCAAAAGTTTCCATAAACATCCTTTTTTCAGTACATTTGTTAAAGATTACTCATTACTTGCTATTCAGGGAAAGCAGCAAACTTAAGATCAGTGAAAATGATCAGTGAGATGGGCATGTATGAAATGACAGTCATCAGGAAAATATGATGTGATGGGAAAACTCAGGGTTGCACATTGTTTAGAAACATGCCCACTTGTAATGAGAAGAAGGGTTTTTAAATATTTAAGCTGAAGTCTGATGGTCTATTTTCTAGACTTGAATTGGGATGGAAGGAAATGGGCAGGGTCCTAGCTGGGCCTTGCTGGGAGCTCCCTTTCTTCTGTATTGAGGTCCCTTGATTCTCAGCACTATAAAACAAAGGAGCAACTTCCTCTCATACACTCTTCAGTTCCAATTTTTAACTTTGGGACTTTGGAGTTGAGCCAGTGTGAACATGAGGTGGCTGAGCAGGACTGAGTGATACATGTTCTCTTCAACCTTGCACCCCAGAGCTAAAAGGAGTTGAAGATTGAAGCTATATTGTAACAGCCATTACTTGCTGCCACAATAACTTTGAACCCTGCAGGGAACCCTGTCATATTCTTGGCCCAAACATGTCCAAAGCAATAATGGCCTTCTAGTTGTAAAGTAATACTCTAGTGGAAAAACAAATCTAGAGTAAATATTTTTCTTTTCTTTTCTTTCTTTCTTTTTTTTTTTTTGAGACAAGGTCTTGCTTTGTTGCCCAGGCTGGAGTAGAGTGGCATGATCACAGCTCACTGCAGCTTCAACTTCCCAAGCTCATGTGATCCTCCTGCCTCAGCCTCCCGAGTAGCTGGGACTACAGGTGTGCACCACCATGTCCAGCTAATTTTTGTATTTTTGGTAGAGACCAGGTCTTGTCATGTTGCCTAGGCTGGTCTCAAACTCCTGGGCTCAAGTGATTCTCCCACCTCGGCCTCCCAAAGTGCTGGGATTACAGATGTGAGCCACTTTGCCCAGCCTGAGTAAACTATTTTTCAATGCTGAAAAAATAGCCCTGTAAACTTTTTCTATTTTGCCTTACAAGGATTTACATAGGTATTGTATTTGGTCAAATCATATATTATGAACCACATGCTGTGATGCTTCACCTTTCTAGCCTCTCATTGAAATAGGGTGTTCCACATACATTGATTTTTTTCCTGATGCATGCCTAATAAGTAATTATAATATTAACAATTTATTGATCACCCTGCATGTGAAACACTGTAATAAACAAATTCTTAGGTTTTATTTGAATAATTTTTGATAAAAAGTTTCTCTAAAGTGCGTCATACATACTCATTCCTTCATGAACAGATTGTATGAGGCAGAAAAGTGTGAGTGTCCTGGAATCATACTAAAGTGTGTCAGATGGTTTTCTCTGTATTAGAGGCTCTTACGCTAAGCTGTCTCTGTTGCCTCTTCACTTACTGTCAACTATCCCTTCTCAGCAGTTCACTTTTGAACAGACCAACATTCATCTGATTGTCTGGGAAACTCGACAACTAAGCTTGTTACCTTATGTGCAGGTCTGAACTGGTAAATTCCGAATTTGACCTTCATGCTCCTATCCCAGAGAAAAAGTATGTGGGCTTGAGATAGCAAATTTTTGCAATTCCCAGAAACATTTCTTATGCCTCGCGTCTCTTGGCTGTGTCCTGGAAGGCTGAGATTTTGCCAAATTAACTGAGGAGTTAATAGGTATAAATGACTGCCGAACTCTTTGTTGCATCCTTTATACCGTAATAATAATGGGTGTAACCAAGGCTTGGTTTATAATGGTTTGTAACCAAAGCTTGTCATCATTTAGTAGAATGTTTCCTTGCAGAATGAGAGATGAGAATGCCAGTGTGCTGATCTAACCCACCAGACAAAACATTTGTTTTCAATTTAGAAATTCTAATGTTTCTTATTAAAAAAAAAAAGGACAAGAGTATTTTGAATAATCCCCAAACCATAAATATAGAAGAGCAAATATCAGTCTTCCTTCTCCCAAAGTCCTGAACCAAACCTGATAAGAAGGGGCAGAAGAACAAAGAGAGACAAGGTAACTTCTGACTTTGAAAAATAACAGAGAAAGTCAATGTCAGGGAGCTGCTCAGATGCTGTTATTTACTAGGTTAAGAGGAGGCCAAGGGCGAAGGTATTTTTTCTTTCCATGTGAACTTTCCGCTCACCTTCATGTGGTGTTTTTCTGTTTTTAAAAGTTCATGCTTCGCTCTCTTTCTGTTTGTGTCCTCTCCCTTCCTTGTATGTTTCTCATGACATACAGCAGGGCTTATAATTTGCTATTTATAATTTTGGCTATTTCATTTAAAGAGTGCCTATTGCTAATATCTCAGGGTTTGGAAAAGATTTGTTTTTTGCACTAGCTGATTAATGAACATAACTAAATTGAGATAATAATTTAAACAAAATAACCCAGTGGTTTTGCCCTCAGTGGATTTTAGACTATAACGTTTTGTAGTTATTCTTACATGCTTATTTTACAAAGCTGGAAGGGAAACTTCCTTTATCACTGAGGATAAAACTTTGCCAACATATTAAAAAATTTGCTAAATGCAAAATTTATGTAGGCATTTGTCTTGCTGTTTCAGGATAATATTGCTTCATAGCACCCTATTTTTATTCCCATTCCCTAATTCTCCCAGATTACTTGGTTGTTGATGAATACAATAACTTTCACCCCTGGACTAGGGCTCTGCCTACTAGGCCATATTGTGCCTTTAAGTTTCTTAAAGTCTGTCTGGAGCAGAAAATTTTGTAGACGCAGAAACAAGGGTGCCTTATCAATATCTAAGAGAGATTTTAGTGTCACTTCACTTGTGAGTGAGCCACCCACTGACAGCCTTTCTTCTACTGACAGGACAACAATCTCCTGAGAATGACAACACCATCAAGGACCTGCTCCCAGAAGACGCTGGGATCGACCACCAGACAGTTCACCAGCTGATTACAGTGCTCATGAAGTTCATGGCCAAGGATGAAAGCAGCGCTGAGTCAGACATCAGCAGTGCAAAGGCCTTCAACACGGTCAAGCGACACCTGTACGTCTTACTCGGCTATGACCAGCAGGAAGGTTGCTTCATGATTGCACCTCAAAAAATGCGCCTGTCAACTTGCTTTAATGCATTCATTGCAGGAATTGCCCAAGTAAGTGTAATAACAGCTTTCAGAAGTCACACCTTTATACTTTTAGTAGAAGCAAGGCATTACATACCATGTAGCCAACGTTGGTTCAGCATAAAGGTTTGTACAAATTGCTTGGTATTATGCAGGAGTATGTGGAGGGGAATGTGAACATTAGTAAGAATTGGGAGCCTGGCTGAGGAATAGTGAGACAGAAAATGACAGAGAGAGAGACTGCATGCGTGTGTGTGTGTGTGTGTGTGTGAGAGAGAGAGAGAGAAAGATGCTAACCTTGTAGCATATGAAGAGTGTCTGTACCTTGATATGATAGTTACATAATCATTTTACTATATTTGGTTTCTTTTTTTTTTTTTGAGATGGAGTCTCGCTCTGTTGCCCAGGCTGGAGTGCAGTGGCGTGATCTCAGCTCGCTGCAAGTCCGCTTCCCGGGTTCACGCCATTCTCCTGCCTCAGCCTCCCAAGTAGCTGGGACTACAGGCGCCCGCCACCATGCCCAGCTAATTTTTTATATTTTTAGTAGAGATGGGGTTTCATCGTGTTAGCCAGGATGGTCTTGATCTCCTGACCTCGTGATCCGCCCATCTTGGCCTCCCAAAGTGCTGGGATTACAGGCGTGAGCCACTGCGCCCGGCCAGTATATTTGGTTTCTAGATCACTGTGCCTATTTTTTTTCAATTACTAACCAAAAATACTTAAATTTGGTTTGTTAATTCTATGTTAGAAATTATAATTTTAGTTTATATTAATTTCAATTGTATCTTAATGAAGAAATCTTTCCAGTTAGAAGGAGGTTCTAATATTCACATGTTCCAATACTTTGTTTGGTGTAAAACAGCTAAATTTGGAGCTACGTAAAGCCTTGTTTTCTCTGTGTGTTTCAGCTACTTTCCATTTGGTATTACACACTCAAATTTACATTTATCTATTAAAATTGCCATTTTATCAAACATTTTCATGCACAGTAAAAAAAAAAAAAAAAGAATTGGTAGCCTGGTATCATCAAGGGAGCATGGGAGATTTTTTTCCTTTTGTAAAATATACATACAATTTGCCATTTTAACAGTTGTAAGTGTACAGTTCAGTGGCATTGAGTAATTTTATGTTATTGTGTAACCATCACAAGCATCCATCCTCAGAACTTTTTTATCATCCTAAACTGAAACTCTGTACCCATTAAACAATAAAAGAGTATAGGCTTTTTTGTTTGTGTGGTTTTATTTTTATTTATTTATTTATTTATTTATTTATTTATTTAGAGACGGAGTCTCGCTGTGTGGCCAGGCTGGAGTGCAGTGGCGCAGTCTCGGCTCACTGCAAGCTCCGCCTCCTGGGTTCAGGCCATTCTCCTGCTTCAGCCTCCAGAATAGCTGGGATCACAGGCACCCGCCACCACGCTTAGCTAATTTTTTTGTATTTTTAGTAGAGACGAGGTTTCACCATGTTGGTCAGGCTGGTCTTGAGCTCCTGGCCTCAAGTGATCCACCCACCTTGGCCTCCCAAAGTGCTAGAATTACAGGCATGAGCCACGGCGCCCGGCCACTGTTTGTGTGTGTTTAAAAAAAAAAAAAAAAAATCCTCTTCCTTTTTTGGCTTCAGGTGGAGAGAGTTGAATTAATCATACAACTTAACTTTATGCCACACCATCATCACTGGCTTTTCCATGTGCATCTGCTACTTCTAACTGCTGTATTGCATGCCATGGTGGACAGACACCATACTTTACTCATCCATTCCCCTAGTTATGGACTCATATTGCTCCCAATGCCTCACTACCCCAAACAGTTCAGTAATAAGCATCTTTGTATACACACCGTATCAGCCAATGTGAGAATTCCTTAGGGAGATGGATCCAGAAGAACTGCTGGGTGGTAGGGTAAATGTATGCCTAATTTGGTCAGTGCTACAAATCTCACTCTCCAGAACAGCTGCACCAATCTGCAAAGATAGAGGACTTGGGGCTACAGAGATGTGGATATGAATTTCAGCTCCACCTCTGTTATTAGTTGCTAGGGCTTAGGCACTCTCTGCTTGCTTGCTTATTGGTACACAGATTTCCTTTTTTGATAGATTAGAGAAAACATATTGCAAAGCACCTTGATCAATGCCTGTCTCATGGTAGGAACTCAATAGATGATTGCTGTTATTGTCAATTAGCTCAAATAGATTGTAACATAATGAACAAAGATGAGCAACGTGAGAGCAATGTGCGTGTAGTCGTCCTGTGCTGATGCTGATAACTGGATGGATCACCGCTTTTTCTCAGCTGTCACTGTTTCAGATACCAAAGCCTCCCTCCCTCTTCTCCCCACCCTCTAAGTCCACATTATGCATGTCTACTTTAGAAATATAAGCTAAAATCAAGGCTGGGCATGGTGGCTCATGCTTGTAATCCCAGCACTTTGGTAGGCCGAGGTGGGAGGATCACGAGGTCAGGAGTTCGAAACCTGCCTGGCCAATATGGTGAAACCCTGTCTCTACTAAAAATACAAAAATTAGCTGGGTGTGGTGCCATGTGCCTGTAGTCCCAGCTACATGGGAGACTGAGGCAGGTGAATCGCTGGAACCTGGGAGGTAGAGTTGCAGTGAGCCAAGATTGCACCACTAAACTCCAGCCTGGGTGACAGAGTGAGACTCCATCTCAAAAAAAAAAAAAAAAAAAAAAAAAGAAAAGAAGAAAAGAAGAAAAGAAAAAAAGAAATATAAGCTAAAAATTAAAAATTAAATTTTTATATGGGGTTTGTATAACTCCAGAAAACCCGTGTCAAAAATAACTCCCTAACATTTTGGCATATATTGCTCCCTCCAAATTTATACACATACATAATTTCATACTCACATATGTATGTCTGTGCATTTTTACAATAATAGGTTCATATTATACATACTGATATATATGCCACCTTTTTAAAATTTTTTTATTTCAATGGGTTTTTGGCGAACAGGTGGTGTTTGCTTACATGGTTAAGTTCTTTAGTGGTGATTTCTGAGATTTTGGTGCAACCTTTTTAAACCTAAAATTTATTATGAAGTTTATATCATGTAAATAAATTTGTATCATATTCTGTATAGTGGCTACATAGTTTTCTGTAGTTATACAAACAGTATTTTGTTTATCTAATCCCATATTATTGAATATGGAGGTTGTTTTCAGTTTGGGGTGACTATAAACAAAGCCATGCTGAATTTCTTTATACATACATTTTGGAACACTTGTCTGATTATGTCTTTGGGATATATTTAATGGCTGTATTAGACGGTATATGCTTTTTCTTTCTTTCTTTTTTCCTTTTTTTTTTTTTTTTTTTGAGACAGGGTCTCACTCTGGTAGCCCAGGCTGGAGTGCAGTGGTGTGATCATGGCTCACTGCAGCCTCGACCTCCCAGGCTCAGAGGATCCTCCCAGCTCAGCCTCCCGAGTAGCTAGGACTATAGGTGTGTGCCACCACACCGAATTAACTTATTGTATTTTTGGTAGAGACAGGGTTTCGCCGTGTTGCCTGAGCATACTCTTGGGCTCAAGCAATCTATCTGCCTCAGCCTCCTAAAGTGCTGGGATTGCAGGCATGAGCCACTGCACCTGGCATGTGCTTTTTCTTATTCCTGAATATATATTACTAAATTGTTCTCCTGAAAGATTGTATCAAGTTTGGTTGGTATAATACTTGGTTCAGATTGAACCAAGTATTGCCGGTCGTCTAGGAATTCCCATTTCTGCAGGTGGTTACCAATACTAGGTTTCTTCATTGTCTAGTTTAACTCTGGTTAATAGTTGAATGGACAAAATTTTATTTTCAATAGGTACTGAAACAAATAATTAATTAGATTAAAACTATTTTCATTTACAAGTTTCAAAAATTTTTTGTGAGGTTGGACTTTTCCTCCTTCTTGCGTACTAGCCATTACTTTTAATATTCTGTGGGATGCCTGTTAAATATTTTGCCTGTTAAAAATTTTAACCACTGGGATGGCTCAAATTTTTCCTTTTGACCTCTGAGTGTTCTTTGTAGTTTTCCATCAGTTATTAATATTTTTTCTATTTCAGGTTATGGACTATAACATTAACTTGGGAAAACACCTTCTCCCCTTAGTGGTTCAGGTGCTCAAATACTGCTCTTGTCCTCAACTCCGGCATTATTTCCAACAGCCGCCTCGTTGCTCCCTCTGGTCCCTAAAGCCTCACATCCGGCAGATGTGGTTGAAGGCCTTGCTTGTCATCCTTTACAAGGTGAGCTGGGTGGTCACTGCTGTTTTGGATGCAATGGTTCTCTTAGAGAGCATATAGCATTAGGAGAACACCTGAGTCTTTAGTTGAAAATTTTGTAGAAGTTTGACCTTCAGAAGGAAGATCAGGATATGCAATTACTGTTAAGAACCAAAGAGCTATTGAAATGAAAATAGAAATGGGAGGCCCTGTTAATATATGCTCTAAAAATGTTTAAAACAAAGAATGATAAATGGTAGGCTACTGATCAAGAACCTCTGTTTATACTCAGTCTTGTATTTTGTCTAAGTATTATTATTTCAGAAAACAAAAGATATCTGAAATTGTATTCATCCACTAAAGGTTTATGCCAGATAATTTTCTTGAAAAGAAATGTAACTATGAACTGGCATGCATTGCTGTCAGTGGTTTGGTGAAGGAGGAAATGAATATGGTCCCTTGTAAAAATAAGGCCATGGGGGAGGGCGTGGTGGCTCACTGCTGTAATCCCAGCACTTATGGGAGGCCGAGGTGGGTAGGTTGCCTGACTCCGGGAGTTCGAGCCCAGCCTGAGCAACATGGTGAAATCCCATCTCTACAAAAAATTAGCCAAGCATGGTTGCACGTGCCTGGTCCCACCTACTTGGGAGGCTGAGGTGGGAGGATCACCTGAGCCCGGTAGGCTGCTATGATCACGCCACAGCACTCCAACCTGGGTGACAGAGTGAGACCCTGTCTCTAACTAAACAAATAAATAAGGCCATGAGCAGAATTTGTTTCTACTTCTCTCTCTCTCTCATATATATATTTATCCCCAAGAGATACTGCAAAAAGTATCCAGCAAGATCAGGTGGAAAAGCTTACCCTCTAAAATAACCATTTATCTTTTTCTCTCTCGTTTCATTGGGCAGTATCCATACCGAGACTGTGATATCAGCAAGATCCTGCTGCATCTGATTCACATAACAGTCAATACACTCAATGCGCAGTATCATAGCTGCAAGCCCCATGCCACGGCAGGACCTTTGTACAGTGACAACAGTAACATAAGCAGATACAGCGAAAAAGAAAAAGGTACATATCTAAATTCTATCCCAAACCTAGCTTCAATACATAATAGATTTCTGGACAATGTTTTCTTAGGAGATAGAAGAGTGTTCCCAGATATCATTCTGGAGTAAAAAAAAAAATCACTTTCTTAATTTTCCAACTTTCCATGAATGTTGCTGCTTTAACTTTGAAATTGAGCATTCAAGAGGAATAAATGATGTGCTTCCAAAGCCTGTATCATAAGAAATAATATTTTGTAAGATATTTTCTGCTGTTTGAATCAGGAGCCTTTGTAAGCCTTTTCTTACGTGTTAGAAGCATCTCGTTTTTGGGCTATAAAATAAGTCTTGGTTGGCACACAGTGGAGCCATTCTTTGTAGGTCTCTAGTTTGCCCTGGTCTTTGCGCTCATAGAGTTTCAATGGAGTCTAAGTTTGCTGAAGTGCTTTTTCCTAGACTTTTAATTTAATACAAAGTGATTCAAGGCAAGGGAAATGAAACATTTTTGCTGCATAGGTGTAAGCTATCTCCATTATCAACACTTTTTCTATTGCTACCTTTTTCTAAAAGGGGCAGTAGAATGCAACTTTAGCTAGGGTAAAATTGCAGCCTGTTTTCAGGTGAGACACGAAGAACCAGGGTGTATATTTTTAGTTTTTAGTGTAAGTCACGGCTGACTAGATTTTAAATTGACATCATTTAATCTAGTCTTTGGAAAAAACCAAGTGTCCACTGACCCTTTATGAGGTTAGTAGAGTCTGTTTTAGTAGGACTGCTCTGGAGATACCTCAAAAGTATAAATTGTACCAGTGTTCCTGTTTGTTATTGCTGAAAGTTCCAAAAATCTAGTTTGGCTACAGACGGAACTCGAGAACTAGGTTCTTTAAGTTCTGGTACCATTCAGATCCCTCCTAAAGAATATCTTGTCTACCAGTTTAGGGTTTAGTCTCTGGCAAATTGGGGAGATCTGTTAAGCTATGGATGTTTTCAGCGTGGGCTTAGTGTTTGGGCCAAACCCTGATGAACCTTTCTGGATGGGAGGCGCCATCTTGTGGTCTTTCAGTCTTGAGTGTTCAATGCATTTTGAAAATTGTTTCAAAGTTATGTAATGCAAGTCACGTAACTATTGGTTGGAAAAACTGCATTTTTCAAAGGATATTTTTCCAAAAAGGAAATAGAGAAGTAAAACAGATTATTGTGTTGCGTTTCCCCAGAAACATGGGAATTTGATAGGCATTCCCATCTTTGTGGAAGTTCACTGGGTTTAAAAACAAATTCATTTTGATTAACATTTATTTTTATTTAATTAAAAAGTTTAGTATGGTTATTTCATCTAAAATTTACTACTTCAAGTTTCATTTACTTGTAGAATTTTGTGCATTAGAACAGGGTCAGTCCTTAAAACTTGATGTATATACTGCCCTTATGCTAAAAAAAACCTTGAATAATCATAATCGCACCTGAGCCTCATTTGTCATATAGGTAGATGTAAATACAGGCCAAACATTATGAGTTCAGTGATATTCAACTTGAATAGTAGGTAAACTCATTATGATGCTATTAAATGCATTTTAGTAGCCTTTTCTGTTGCCACTTTGTACGTGGCTTTGGCCTTTCAAAAGGACGAAAGAAGAAAATTGGTTAAGTAAACTTTATGGGTTGCAACATATGAACTCTTTCCTCATTAACATATTTTGGGGTTTATCTTGGATTTAAAAATGGCCACATGGGTGTAGAAGGGAGGACGTAGAAACAAGTTCAACAGGCACTCAAAGTGACCGGTTTGTTTATGTAGGATTAGGGATCATAAGTGTCAAAGATTCTTTCTGGGATTCATGAGATCCGTAATAGTTACACGTGGTAAGCGCCTCAGAGAAGAGTCTTACTTTAATAGGAGGAAATGTTATTTTCTGTTTTCTTTTTCCTTTGTTTACTCTTTCAGTCCATAATCATTCGTGGAGCTTTTGAGATGACAAGTGGCTTTTCTAAGCTTTTTCTGTGTGTTGCGTGTCTCATTATCAAATGTAGAGTACAGTATTTTGCATTCACACCGTATAAGGTGCATGTACTGTTAGGCTGTGTCTATGCCAGTTACCAAATCCCATAAAGGCAGATTTTTTTTTCTTTTTTGGAAAGCCCAAGATCCACTCATTTTGTTTAATTTCCTTTCGCCAAATCAGCCTGAAAATCCACGCAAAGCAGACAAGTCCAAGCAGTGTCACAGGCTCCTGGAAAAAGTAGCTGACATCTATGTGTCATCTGGTGTTAAGCACACTGGAAAAGTTTCCCAAAAAGGCGCTATTGGACTCTCAAGAAGCCTCTCCTTAAAAATGCTGCCAATTGTCATGTGAAAAGTGATGGGCAATCTTGTAACAGCTTGCTCTGTCCAATAGATGGAGAATTTGATGCCTGGATGAAATACCAACCCATGGCTAGACTTGGGCTGGTGCAGAAACTAACCCAGACCTTGTTCCATAATGCTTTCATTGAAATGCTTGTGTAGACACAGCCTAAGAGAGAATAACCTCTTAAGTGTAATTTTGACTTTCTCTCCCCAATTAGAAGAAGATAGTGTTTTTGATGAATCTGATATTCATGATACACCTACTGGACCCTGCAATAAAGAGTCTCAAACTTTTTTTGCAAGATTGAAAAGAATAGGCGGCAGCAAAATGGTGAAATATCAGCCGGTTGAGATGAATGTTCAGAGAAGTATGAATTTTTTCTCTTAGTAATTTTATGCAGAAATGTTGTACTCTACCGTTTGTTTGGGGTGAAATCTTAATTTTATTATGTTACTACACATTTTAATACCGTTGATTTATATATATGTATGCACAAACAGTATATATATATACACATTTATATATATACGTGAATCGACAGATACATCATTAATGTCATGATCGTCTTTGAGAGCCATTGCTTGATTTGATTTGTTGCAAAATGTTTGCTTCTCTTCCACACGATTTGAATACAGTTTCCTAGATCTGCCTCAGCCAAAAAATGATCCCCTCTCCTATGCACAAATGAACAGAGCTGAGGAATTATCCCGAAGCCCGATTTTGGAAATCAGATCTTAAACTGCCATTTTGGTTTCTTTCATTCGTAAATTTTCCAGTTTTTGAAATTAGAACGAACCTTACAAAAACTTGGCCAGAAAGTTCGTTTTCCCTCCTGGTGGAGCTGGGATTGTGATGATGATTTATGCCAATTGTATGCCCAAGGATGAGGGGAAAAAATGGTGAAATCTCCAAGTAAAATAGTACTAGCTTTTTCTGTTTTGATCAGGTGAAATAGAACTGGCTGAATATAGAGAGACGGGTGCATTACAAGACAGCCTTCTCCACTGTGTGAGAGAAGAAAGCATTCCGAAAAAAAAGCTACGCTCTTTCAAACAAAAATCTCTTGATATAGGGAATGCAGACTCGCTTTTGTTTACATTAGACGAACATCGTAGGAAGTCGTGCATAGATCGGTGTGACATAGAGAAGCCTCCGACCCAAGCTGCGTATATCGCACAAAGACCAAACGACCCTGGACGTTCTAGACAGAACTCTGCTACGAGGCCTGACAATAGTGAAATCCCCGAGAACCCAGCTATGGAAGGGTTTCCAGATGCTCGAAGGCCTGTCATACCAGAGGTTAGGTTAAACTGTATGGAGACTTTCGAGGTGAAAGTTGACTCGCCGGTAAAGCCTGCTCCTAAAGAGGATTTAGATCTGATAGATCTATCCTCAGATTCAACCTCGGGGCCTGAAAAACACTCTATACTCTCAACCTCCGACAGCGACTCTCTTGTATTTGAGCCTCTTCCCCCTCTCAGAATAGTCGAGAGTGACGAAGAAGAGGAGACGATGAACCAAGGCGATGACGGCCCCTCCGGTAAAAATGCTGCCTCTTCTCCCTCCGTCCCCAGCCATCCCTCCGTCCTCAGCCTGAGCACAGCTCCGCTTGTACAAGTAAGTGTGGAGGATTGTTCCAAAGACTTTTCTTCTAAGGACTCAGGAAATAATCAGTCAGCAGGGAACACTGACTCTGCCCTCATCACTCTGGAAGACCCTATGGACGCCGAAGGATCCTCAAAGCCAGAGGAGCTGCCAGAGTTCTCCTGCGGTAGCCCACTGACGCTGAAGCAAAAACGAGACCTCCTTCAGAAGTCGTTTGCTCTCCCCGAGATGTCGCTGGATGATCACCCTGACCCGGGCACTGAGGGGGAGAAGCCTGGGGAGCTGATGCCAAGTTCAGGGGCAAAAACCGTCCTCCTCAAAGTTCCCGAAGATGCAGAGAACCCCACAGAAAGTGAGAAGCCTGATACCAGTGCAGAATCTGATACAGAACAGAATCCTGAAAGGAAGGTGGAAGAGGATGGAGCTGAGGAATCCGAATTTAAGATTCAGATTGTTCCCAGGCAGAGGAAGCAGAGGAAGATTGCTGTCAGTGCTATCCAGAGAGAGTACCTCGACATCTCCTTCAACATTCTGGACAAACTGGGAGAACAGAAAGATCCAGGTAAGCTCGCCTCTCTTCTTTCTCTCAGCCTTAACTTTAAGTTTGTGCATCTTGTTTGATAGGGTACCGGCACTGAATATGCATCAGACTCAAACTCTTATAATGTCAGGGTGTGACATTATAATGGCTTCTCAATCACTCTGAATCCTTCCTGTTTAATGGACAATGTTGGATGCAGATGTGGTTCTACTGGCTCCACAAATGTTTCTGTTTTTGTTGTTTTAAACTCTGCAGTCAATTCTTGACCACCCTTGGCAATGAGATGCATTGGTTAATTCGTATCAGGATAATCCAGGTATCATCTCAGCCTTCCTCAAACAGCAAAAGTCATTAACTTGAACTCTTTGCTTTCTTTTTTTCTCTGCCCTGTACTAGTGAGCTATGATATAGTCCAAAGAAGGAACCAATGTGGAGGCTAAAATAAAGCAGAGTGCCCTAGAATGATTAAGAATTGACTGTATAATCACTTACAGGGCATACAGCTGATTGTAGATACTAACCAAATATCAGAAACCAAAAAATACCAGTTACAGCCTAGACCCTAACCCACGGTCATCACTTGGTGATGAAGTTATCACAGCCCATGGGTTTCCTGCCTCAGGGCCATTTCTTGTGTTTGCTTGGAGGCATTGTTTCTAAGAAAGATAACTTGAAAGAAATGGCAAGCCCATGATCCACCTCATCCTATAACAGTCTTCTGTAATGTTACCGCAACACTGATCAAAACCCATCTTCATTTCTTAGTTCAGATCTTTTAAAAAAAGTTAATGGGGCTGGGCGTAGTGGTTCATGCCTGTAATCCCAGCATTTTGGGAGGCTGAGGCGGGCAGATCATGAGATCAAGAGATCAAGACCATCCTGGCCAACATAGTGAAACCCCGTCTCTACTAAGAATACAAAAATTAGTTGGGCGTGGTGGCGCACGCCTATCATCCCAGCTACTCAGGAGGCTGAGGCAGGAGAATTGCTTGAACCTGGGAGGCGGAGGTTACAGTGAGGTGAGATGGTGCCACTGCACTCCAGCCTGGTGACAGAGTGAGACTCCGTCTAAAAAAATAAAATAAAATAAAAAAGTTAATGGGACTTTAGAAGAAATGGAATTGGCTAGGGATGATTATTTTAGTAGATATATAGACTGTGGAATGTTAAAAACTGGTGAAGGTCTTAAAGACCTCTAGCCTAGCCCCTCATATTATACAGGAAGATACCGAGGCTTAGAGGAGGGGATGCACCAGGTCACATGGCCAGACAGAAGCAGTGCCTGATTCCAGTCACGTTTTCCCGCTGTTCCACACAAAAGCCACTTCTAAGGGAATGCACTCGGCTTTTTTATTTGCCCCAGGCATTTCCAGAGGTTTCTAGCTGCCCTTTAGCTCCTAGGACAGAGCTGTCTACCTCAAAAACGCGCTGTAAAAATCTGTTGAATGAACATTGGCGTGTTTGGAAAGGGTCATGCTCCAGCCAGGCAGGGAAAAAACGGTCCTTGTTCATAACAAGAAAGTTTAAGAAGTTAAGAAGGCTTTCAGGGAAACTGGGACACCTTTTTATTGTTTGGGGCCAGGAACATGGTTGCATATGGAAGGAGGAGGGCATTGACCTAGAAATGATAGAGGTCTATAGGGCTGGTGCATACGAAGCTGAGGTCTACAGGGTGAGTCTCTGTGATGTGTAGGTTGCATGTAGGTTCTAGCATGCAGGTTTGTGTGTGCAACTGTGTTGGCTTCTTTATTCACCCTTATGTTTGATTGTTCCCCAGACTACCAGGGAGGAAATTATTTGTTAACAGAACAGGGGAAAAATACATGATAGTTATAACATGTCTTTAAAATGGCATAATATTATTTTACTGTCATCATAATTGTATGTCTCCATAAGGCTTTGCCTCCCACTGACTCTGATCTGATCTCTTCTGCCCCTCCTTGCTGGGCATGGGAAGGAGTCCCGTGTGCTCAGAGCATGACCCAGGCGTCCCCAGACTTTCCTGTGTCCATCATCAGGAGTGAGGGAGGCCCATACACTTGCCCCTCCAAACCCTCCCAGACGCACAGCCTTGCCCCTGCTAACTGCCAGGAGTCCAGGACTAACCTCACTGTGCACTTCACTCTGTTTACGTCAGTCCCTAGAGTACTGGGTCGTCCTCCGTATCCCTCACTCAGAGCTCCACAAGGCCTTGCATACCTTCTGTTCTGAAGCTTTCTCCTTCGTTACCCTGACTCCTGAAACCCTTCCCCTGTGTCCTAGGAAATTCATGGTCCTTCATGAGCAAAATCCCTCACACACATTCTCCTCTATTTCCCTTGCCTTCTGAGTCTAATGGAAGCCCAGCTCTCCCTGAGGACATTGCTTTCCCTACAGCCCATGTCACTGGACTTGGCCAGGGGCAGCATCTTCCTTGCTCCACACTTCCCCTTTCAGACCCTTCCCTTCTTGTCTCTAGAAACTCCCTCTCTGAGCTGCATACCCTCAGATCACGGCACCCACTACTTGCATTGCTGCATCATCACGAACCCTGGCTCTTCCTCACTTGTTGACAAATTTGATTCGTGGCCCTTCTTATTCTTTCCTAAATTATTCCTGTCTTAATTCCTGTGGATTTTAATATTAGTGTAGATGACACTCCTGACACTTGGTTTCCTTGAATGCATCTTCTCCAGCGATTGTTTTTTTATCCTCCACCTTAGCTCAGCTGCTCACACCCATGGTCACATTGCAGACCTTATTATTTGCCAATAACTGCAACCTCTTCATGATCTCAGTTTCATCTCTCATCCTCTGATTACCATTTCTTCTCTCCCTGGACAATTGTGTATTGATCCAAGTATTTTTTTGCTGTCCCTCCCCTACTTCGTGTCTTTTCTCCTTACTCAACTTAAACTCAAGGCTATCAATGTAATCCCTCCCTGCCTGCACCCTCTTGGGCCTTTCCCTTTTTAGATTTGCTTGGCTAAACACAACCTGTGTTAAATCCAGCTTTCCCTCTACCAGTACCTGCACCTATCAGATGAATGTGACTGGGTGAAAACACATAATGCATTTTTCAAGAAATTAAAAGAAAATTAAGAAATGTGCTTGAATTCCTTAACATGACCAGTGAAAACATAGATCCAGGATTGGTCAGCAACAGCACATGGGCCAAATCTGTCCCACTGCCTCATTTTGCAAATGAAATTGTATGAAGTGCAACTACATGCACAAAATAAAATTTAAAAAAAGAAAAACAAAAACACATAATGTTGGCTGGTATCATTTTAAATTAATGGCCATGAACCTCAACTGGGTCCTTCAACCTGACAATCGTAACATATTTTCCTGGTCCATTCACATTTCCAGTCTCCTAAATGACTATTTCATAGCTACTTTTCTCCCCAAACTTTCAATAAGTCTTGCAATTGACATAATTAGAAGGACTTTCCACAGCCTCCTATCACCTTATCTGCCCACCTTCCAGCTTCTGCACCTACACACCTGGACTTCCTGGCTGGGGCTGTATGTAGGTTAACTGTCTGTAGTCCTGTCTACACCCAGCCTTTCCACATGTGGACACGATTCTATCTCTCTCGCTTACTCAAGAATATAGGCCCCTAAAATTCTCCCTTCTGTATCCTCTCTTAGTATTTTTTTTTCCTAAAGGACCCTTGATTTGAGCCTGCAAACATAATCTTATTTCTCTTTCTTAAACAAACAAAAGCACTTGATCCATGTTCTCCCAACTATTAGCCCATTTTACTCCTTTCCTTGTAGCAAAACATTTTGGAAGAGATAGAATAGAGTTGTCTCTCCCAAATTCTATTAAAGTTGTCTCTTCCAAACTCTATACTAAAACATACTAATGAATTAAAATTAAAAGAAAACAAAAACACATAATGTTGATTGGTATCATTTTAAATTTTGGTATCATTTAATTTTTGGTATCATTTTTAATGTTTTAGTATAGAGTTTGGAAGAGACAAACATTAGTATAGAGTTTGGAAGAGACAAACGTTAGTATAGAGTTTGGAAGAGACAACTCTATACTATCTCCAATTTTCTTCCAGTCTGTTATTTCTAAAAGCTGTTCATAAGCTGGGCATGGTGGCACACACCTGTAGTCCCAGCTGCTTGGAGTGCTGAAGCAGGAGGATCTCTTGAGACTGGAAGTTGGAGGCTGTAGTGTGCTATGATTGCACTTGTGAATAGCCACAGCACTCCAGCCTGGACAACATGGTGATACCCTGTCTCTTAAAAAAATCATTCCTATGAAGCTTTCATTCCTACTATTTCACCCAAAGAGCAGTTGTCAAGGTCACCAGTGTCCTTCACTGCTAAATCTGTCAGCAGTCAGTCATGAGGTCTGATGCTGACATATCTGCAGTCTTTGACACTGTTGGTCACCCCATCATTCTCTTTGGTTCCTCTCTATTTCCTTAATGACAGAGTGACTTGTGGTCTCTGTCCTTGATCCTAGTCTCTTCTCTATGAACTCTCCCTCTCTCAATGGTCTCATCTGGTTTTAGCCTTTAGATATTGTCTGTATGCTAAGACAACCATCAGTGACCTATTGCGGAAATAATGCTGTGTAACAAACACCTCAGCAGCTTACAACAAGTATTTATTTAGTTCGAGAGTCTACAACTCACCTGGGGATTGGCCAAGGCTGGGTGGCTAGGCTCTGCTTCTCATGCCTGCTGACCTCGACCTGGACCTTGAAGCCTGGAAATATTCTGCCATGGTGATGGCAGAGTCACAAAAGAACAAGCCGTGTTGCACAGGCACTTTCCAAGCCTCTGGCCATGTTATTCTTGCAAACATTCTGTCAGCCAAAGCAAATCACATGGCTGAACCAAAGTCAAGAGGGGAAATATACTCTCCCTCTTTAGTGGTAGAACTTTAAAGTCACATGGTGAAAGGCATGGATTCAGGGAGATATGAAGAATTGGGGCCACATCTCTCAAATATTGCATGGGACTATTTTTACTCATATGAAAATATTATCTGTTGTTTATCTGAAATTAACATTTAACTGAGCATCTTCTATTTAATCTGGCAAACTTAATCTACCTTCAAAACACATCCAGAATGTGGCACCTTCTTCTTACCTCCACTGTTTCCACTCTGGCCTGAGCCACTGACATCTCTGACCTAGATGAACTGCTAGAGCCTCCTGACTTTAGAAAAAATGGAATTGGCTAGGGATGATTATTTTAGTAGTATTTTATTTAGTAGTAGTATTTTACACTCCTATTACCTTCATGTCCTCTCAACACAACAGCCGGAGTGATCTTTTAAAATAGGAGATTACACCATTCCCCTGCTTAAAGACTTCCAGTGACTCGCTATTTCTTTCATAGCAAAACACAAGTTCTTTAAATTCCTGCAAAGCCCTATGTGGTCCTAGTCCTCATTGGCTCTCAACTGCATTCACACTATTCTCACCACAATGCTACCTAGCCACAGTGACCCCTTGTCAGGTCTTGAACACCCGCCTTTGTATTCTTTACCTTTGGGCCTTTCCACTGATTGCTCCCTCAACCTGGAACTGCCAAATATCTGTCTGGCTCATTCTCTCCCTTTTAATTCTTTGATCCAACACCAGGTTCTCTGCGATGCCCTACTCTCCAGCCCCTACCTGGTATCTTGATGTCTGTCTTTCTCTTCTCTGTTTCTCTCCTACAGAGAATTGATCTTCCAACATACAATAATTTATTCACTTTTATGCGTATGAATTATTGTCTGTCTCTCCCCTCCCAAATGAAAGCTCCTGAAGGCAAAGATTTTGTCTGATTTGTTCACTGACTCTATCACAAGTGACCAATAGAGAGCTGGCAAATGTCTGATGAAGGAATGAAAGGATAGCCTGACATTTTCTTCCCATCACTATAAAAATTGAATACAAATATTTTAAGCCAAGTGGATAGCTCTATTCAGATATTTATCTTAAATTTATGCAAGTAAAATCTTTCATAAAATGATGGAGGGCTGAGGAAAGATTGCCTCGCTAACAGAATCTTAGTACACTAATGCTTATTACCGACCTTCTTACAGCAAGACGTTTCTTTAAAATTAAAGATACAGCAAGGATTTTAATGGGGATACCAAGGCCAGGCACGGTGGCTTATGCCTGTAATCCGAGCACTTTGGGAGGCCAAGGTGGGTGTATCACCTGAGGTCAGGAGTTCGAGACCAGTCTGGCCAACATGGTGAAACCCCATCTCTACTAAAAATACAAAAATTAGCTGGGCATGGTGGTGTGTGCCTGTAATCCCAGCTACTCAGAAGACTGAGGCAGGAGAATCACTTGAACCTAGGAGGCAGAGGTTGCACTGAGCTGAGTTCATGCCACTGCACTCCAGACTGGGCAATAGAGCAAGACTCCATCTCACACACACTCATATACACACACACAAATAGGCATACCCAAACTCTAAAAGGCTTAATAATCTTTCAGAGAATCCTTGAAAATTAGCTTTAAGCTTTTTCACTAACATTATTGGTGAGATTATTAGGCGTTAGTTGTAGCCTGCATAGAGTGCAGGCCAGTAAGGGTAAGAGAGATAATTATGCATGTTTTTGATTAGTAGTTTGGGGAGGATACCTAAGAGAAAAATCATAGCTGACCTTTACTATCTTAATGGCTAAAGTAATTTAACATTAGTCATTATGCTTTATTAAGAGGGTTTGGGAAACTTTACAAGAGTTATGCTTTTTTGTTATCAAGAGGTTATTAATCTGGCAACCATACCTACTTGAAAGGCCTCTGAGAATCAAAAATAGATGCTTCGAAATCAGTGCTCAGGAACCTTTCTCCTAGACCCTCACCTAGGATCTGTTCTATAGTTTAGCAAGTTTAATGATCATCTAATAATAGAATGGCATTTGTTTCCTTAAAGTGTATGTTTGTATGAATGTATGAGGTTTGCTCTCTGGCAAGAAAAAACAATTTGCACCATGACAAGGATGAGACAGAAACACTATTAAGCTTAAGAACTTGAAGCCATTTAGGGTTGACATCCCTGAATTCCAGTACAGTGTAGTCATGGGAGCCCATGGTGGTAACTCCAAGCCAGCAAGATGCTCAGTATATTCACTGCATGGTGCTGCCTAAGATGGCAACAAGGTTTGGAAAGAAGCCAGTAAACTTTTCAGCAGGTTTTGAAAAATAATTTGTAGTTACCTAGAATAATGTGGGACAGAGTGTTTCCCATTACTGATAGGTTAATAAGACAATATTATATGCAGAAAATATTTCACTTTAAATTCAACATTTGTCAAATAGGAGAGCCAATGGCAGTCTGTTTCTTGCTCAACAAATAAAATACAAAATCTGAATTAATCATGCATATTTATTTCGGGTTGAGTACAGTCCATGCTCCTAAATCACTTAAGGGTTAGCGAAGGCTATGGGCAAGGAAACAGACAATTAGATTATAGTGTGGTAAGTCTGGAGAAGGTTAAAGACAAGGTGCTCTGTAATTACATCAAAAGGGCACCTGACCCAGCATTTTTGTTTGTATATTTTTGTGGAGAGAGGTTGTAGAAGCCTCCCTAAAGGAGGAATTTTCTATATAAATTGAGACGCAAATGATAAGTAGGAAATTGTCAGACAAAGGTGGAGTACCTAGACAGGAGATAGGGATGAACTATTAAGCATATTTAGGTCTTAGATGAAAAGAAATTTAGTACAGAAAGGTTAAGGAATTTGTTTGGGGATATGCATTGTGAACAGCTGAGCTTTAGCTCTGTAATTTTGCTATCATTAATCTCCAAAAGGCAGATCCATAGGTGCAGAATGTCACATAGAGTCAGCTCTCCCTGGAGCATTGTAACTAGTGTATATGTAATTCCATGAAAGTAATTATTAGGCCAGGAAAGTGTATAAAGAGTTGAATGGTTGTAGTAGACAAGAGGTAAAAGATATAGAAAAGGTTCTTGAACTTGCTTTTAATCAGTGTCCTGAGTTTTAAATAATATTTCTGTTTGTAGATCCTTCTACTAAAGGACTTTCAACTTTGGAAATGCCACGAGAATCTTCATCTGCCCCTACGTTAGATGCAGGTGTGCCGGAAACAAGTAGCCATTCCTCAATATCAAGTAAGATTTCCTCTGCTGATTATTTCATCTATGCATTTATTTTGGAACACTGTCTGCTGCCTTGTTTTCAATTTTCCCAATCTTGGTATTGTATATATATTTTAATGTTGCATCAGCTTCCTTGGTGATAGTATGTTGTATATTCTCAGAGACCCTGAGGAGTAGGATGGCCCACTTTCGTCCGTATCTCTAGTGTTTGATAAATCACTATGGTTACTGACTGGCCAAGTATCCTAATTTGTTAAGGAATGATCACTGAATTCCATTATTCAATAAAATAAAAATTGTATAACCTGAACATAAAACACGGAACAGGTTTTGGGGCACATGAAAAGCATTGTCTATGGCAGAATTTTACATGGAACACTTTTATTTAATTTGAGTCGCCTCCATCATTGACAAAATTTGATCTAGGTTATCGTAAAATAAATGTATGATATATCATATTCCCAAAGTCATGACTGAATTTAGCTCTTTTGGATTGGAGAGTGGAAATGGCACGACATTTTACAGGACCTGTAGGAGGCGAGTATTTTGAAACTGGCTTCTGTTACTGGGTCCTAGATTTTGTCCATGGGAGCTTGAGTTCCACTGAAGTTCCATAAGCATGTCCACATGTCTCAGTGGGGTTAATTACGAGACTTTAGCATGAGACAGTCTTACCAAGAATCAGAGATATGAACATAGATGCAATTTCTATAAACCTTTGTCATATGTGCTGATAAATGTTGTGTTCCATGTGGACATTGCCTGAAAAGCTATTTAATAATTTTCATTTGACCATCTTTTGATGATCCTGAAAAAACAGATAAAGATCTTAAATACTGGACTGGTAGTTTGGAACATCATCATCTTCATTGTTCATTCATTCATGCATTCATTCATTCAGCAACTATTTACTAAGTGTCTGCTGGATGCCAGACACTGTGCTTGGCACTGGAGGTCAAAAGTGAATAAATAAAACACCGCTTGTTCTCCAGGAGTTTGCAGTCATAATAGTAATTATAGCTACTATCTATTTAACATCTATCATGTGCCAGGCACTGTGCCAAGTGGCTCACACACATTGTTATCTGATCCAATTGTTACATCAACACATGCGTGATAGATGTTGTTGGCCCCATATTATAGATTAGGTAATTGAGATCCAGAGAAGCTAAATGACTTGCCTAAAGTCAAATATCTACTAAGTGATAGATTCAGGAATTGATGCTAGGCCCTTTAGACTTACAAAGCCATGTTCATTTTTAGTATACCACACTTCCTTTAAATAATTCAAATTCAGTTGTAATAAGGATTATGGAAATTCTAAGAAATAGTTTCCAAATGACAGTTATTTGCCCTTTTGGTAGCAAAGAAGAATGGCTAGTTCTGAATCTAATTATTCTTCTTTTATTACAAAAATCTGTTAGATCACATGATAAAATGCCAATTTTATGACCACATACTAAAATCATAAAAGTGTATCTTCTCCTAATTTGTACGAGTTATCTTTAATAAAAGATAGTGGGCTGGGTGTGGTGGCTCACGCCTGTAATCCCAGCACTTGGGAAGCTGAGGCAGGAGGATCACTTGAGCCCAGGAATTCGAGACCAGCCTGGGTAACATAGTGAGGCCCCAGTCTCTATAAAAAAATTAAAAATTAGCCAGGCGTGGTGGCGCGCACCATAGTCCCAGCTACTGGGGAGGGCAAAGTGGGAGGATCGCTCAAGCATGGGAGATGGCGGCTGCAGTGAGCTGTGATTGTGCCACTCCACTCCAGCCTGTGCACCCTGTCTCAAAAAAAAAAAAATGAAGAAATAAAAAGATAGTGAATTAGAGTATAATTTGAAATAGGATTATTAGCTCAGTAGGACTCAAATGATAGTTAAATATACCATAAAATGAATTTACAAATTACAAATGTTTCATGATCCCAAAGTCATGATTGATCTAGACTTTGGATTTAGCTTAGCACTTAATTAGATTTCCACCTTTCTCCTCCTTGCCATTAAAAGCATGCATTCTATAGCTCTTGGTGGTGTGTTCTTGGAGGTATCATGCCTGGTACCTTATACACTGAGCTAAACATTAAGGGTTTTATTCTCAGGGAATTCTGCTGTCTTTGAAAACACCTGAGAATTGAAGAAATTATTCAATCATCAGAGGTTTAAAATTTTCATTTGATTGAGTCTTCTAGATGCTGCTAAGTTTTAAATTTGTTGCATCTTCAAAAAGAATTCTGCTTTTGAATTTTACTTAAAGATGTGCTTTTCAAGTGAGTCATAACATTGTAAGTTTTACCAATTAGTGGCAAAAACCAGAGATGTTTAGTATTAGGTTGAGTAGTCATTTCCATGAGTTAGGTTAATATTGACTTTAAGACACAAGAATTCCCATCACATCCTTCCCTTTTGATCAGTTTATCAGCTGGTTATTTCGTAGCTAAACGTGTTGTGACCACCATTAATCAAACAGCATGCTAGTTACATTAAAAATAATGTTATAATTGATTTCACATCACACCAAGTTGCCACCTTGGTGCCATGATTGTGAAATGTGTGTATAACATTGAAGAGTTTCCAGGGGCCATGCGGTCATCCCGGTCTCTACCATCCCTTTCTAGGGCGTGTAGTTGATAGCTTCAGTTTCTGAAGTTTTTCTTATAACACAGAGAATAACCACAAGTTGTCAAATATACAAGGTATTTGGGGTCATGCAGAAAAGTTGCATCCATGATGCTCTGCCTCTCTCACTGGGCTGGTTGGTAGGGATTGGTGGGACTGCTGGGAATAGGACCAGAGGAGACTGCTTTCCAACTCAGCAATCTACTGGCAAAAGTGTTTTTCATTGTTTTCTGGTTTGGAAATGCTAATAACTTGACATTTCACTGATGGGATATGTTTCAATGCTTAACTTACAGGATAAAAATGTTACCACTTTTTAAAAACAAAGATGTGTACTAGAATATACTCGTGGAATGTTGTTTGATTCACATTTTTCAAACAGTAGGCAGAGGCTCGCACAGAGATTGAAAACAGCATTGACTTTGGAGTTGATATGTTTTGGTTTTAGGACCACCTCAGTTGCTGACTGGTTCCAAGTCATATAATTTCATTTGCTTCAATTTCTCTCTCTAAAAATTGGGGTTGATATGTGTCATCCTACCCTAAAATATACACGCACACACACACATCATGTACACACGCACACATACACAAGGACCTCATGGGGCTATGAGGAAGATGGAAATAATGTATGCACAAGCTCTGTTAAAGAAAGTTAAGCCATACATTTAAATTTGTTATTTGTCTTAAATCATTTTTGAAACATGGCAGAGTATATAATTTTAAAAGTAGATGAAGATAATCATATTTCATTCAGTTATAACTGGGATAAATATTTACAGGCGACAAATCAGTGCTAATGGGCACTGTTACCATCCTCACTGTGTGAAGAAAGGCATCCGGAACAGCAGAGTACCTTAATTTTTCATTTGAACAGAAGCATACAATTTACCAAAAATTATGAATAGCAAATGAAGGGTCAATTAAAATTCTATATGGATGTGTGGAGCCTTTGTGTGCTGTGGAAATTTATTATTATAATCATCTCCTAATTTCCTCCATCTAGCTCAGTATAGGCAGATGAAAAGGGGATCCCTGGGAGTTCTGACAATGAGCCAGTTAATGAAGCGGCAGCTGGAGCATCAGTCTAGCGCCCCCCATAACATCAGCAACTGGGACACTGGTGGGTCAAGCTTTTTCTTCTCATTCTACCTCTCGGATTAGTGAATGCTACTTTCTCTGTGTCCACTCTGCTCCCTTGTTAAAGAATAGATTTTCTCTCATGTTCTTTGGTTCAGGTAATTTTTCAAAACCACCTAAGGTAATTAGTAAGTCTATTTAAACTTCCCAAGTGTTCTAGAGTGACACGCTCTTCCGTTGAGGCTGGCCCAACTCTTGTTCTCTCTAAGACCCAGATTCCAGATATTAGGTTATTGATCTGGGGAGGAGGGAATGGAACTATGGTTTCATGATGCAAATAAAAAAGAAAACACACAGCAGATTATCAGTATTCTCTGTTGTATAAACTACAAAGTACGCCCCAAATGAGGGAATATTTATAGTAATACTAATAGTGATAAAAATTGTCAGCTTAGTGACATCATGATCTGCCAGTAGGTTTGGGAATATGAGTTCTGTGTTTTAGCCAGCAGGGTCACCAGGTTGCAGCCGCACACCCCCATGCTCATAAGATGGAACTGCATCTAACCTCAATTTTAAAGTAAGAATTGACTGCCATGACATGTCTATTCTAAACATGATCACTCTGCATTTTCTAAACTTTGTTACCACGTTTTGTACGTGTACTACCTTATCAAGCCAGTAGTACAGCCACAATCCTCTTTTAAGTGCCTGCCTTTTCTGTTTTTTTTCTTCCATAATTAAATGGGTCATTTGAGTTACAAGATTCTATATGTGAAAACACCTTGCAACATGCATGCACCACTAAAATGTAAGGGCTTATTATGGTGATATGCTCTGGGGCCTACCCTTGAATCGGACTCTTTTAGTATCGTGATTAATACTTTCTGGCTGCAGTGATGTGAGATTATTTTAATATTCTTCCTGATGACTATGAATTATAATATCCACAAAAGCAAAATATTGAGATACTTTTATTTTCTTCAAAGCCATAGTATTTATGTACATAATTTTACTTGCCCTCATTATTCTTAGAGAGAGAGAGAGAGTGCTAGTCTAGATAACTAAATCCCACACAGCATACCCAATCTCACATTTAACAGATAGTTTCAACTCTCCTGGACTTTATAAGGGTTCTTTACATTGTAAAGGTTTAGTGTTTTCTCTTCATTTTAGTGATATGTGGTAGTGAGCAGTGAATAGCCAAGAGCCAACAGGCAAGGGAGAGAAGGAGAAAGACTGGACAGCCAACCTCAGGAGTTCACTGGGTTTGAATGAAGTCTTTCTGCCTACACCAAAGAGGACTGTGCTTTCTTCTTTATGGAGATGAAGCGATGTAAGGAACTGAGAATGGCAGCTTTTGTTTGATTAGGTCTCTGATAATTAAATGCTGATGTGAGGGCTCTGAAGATGATTTTTACCTTGCTTCTGTTTTCTGCAGCAGGTAGCTCAGCCTAAGCTAACCAACCAGTTTAGATTCCGACTACAATGACAACCTACTTCAATGGGCACAGTAGTTATAAAAAGGCAAACTGATCTCAATTTTCAGTCCAAATTTTAATCTAAGAAAATCTACATGATGCCAAATAACCCATTTAACGGAATTTTTCACTTTTCAACCAAATTTCAATCTTGTTCATGTCACTCTGGTTTGCCATTTAATATTTCCCATTTATATGCTGTCTGAATTTCTTTCCCGAGTTTTCCTGGGCCTGTTTTCCATCCTCCAAATTGGTTCTCGTGGTTCTCGAGTCACCAAGTCCTACAAGCATCATCTCAATATTCTTGTTTTGATTAGCGCCAGAAAAAGTCCTCCTCACATCCGAGCCTAGGGGAGAGTCTGTGACTGTGTAGTACAATGTTAGGTGGCATGTCACTTTAAACTACACATGTAGCTTCAGTAATTTGCTGGTCTCCACCAGAACAGATGTGGCCATGTAGGCACCTGAGAAAGGCAGCCTAAAACATGGATCTGATCAGTTCACGTCAGCACACACCAGCTCCACCCTGAGAGCTGCCTCTTCTCCACCCATGCATATGAGACCTGCCTCTTCTCCACCCATGCATGGCGCCATGACTTACTGCTTTGCCTCATCTTTCATGTGAACAAACATTTTTGAAGCACCATGCCTCCATTTTTGCCCCCTCCCCCTTATTCCTGTTCCCCATCCCTCAGTCCAACACCTGTCATTTCCTTCTACCAGTTCCACATGTTTCCAGTGTGACCTTTCTGGCCATTGCCCCAAATGATCACTTATGTACTTACTGATTTGCATAAAACATTTCTGTCATGGCTGTGATATTAGCCTTTCGTTTCCTATCTGGAGATATGAGATTTGAACTTTTTTGTGGGGGCAGGGTGGGGTGCTTGTCTGGACTTTTTGGGATAGTTTTAGATGCTGTCCTGCTTTTAGTTGCATTTCATAGAACTGAATGGCAGGTTTGTAGTAAAGCCCCAAATAACCCTACCCTAAAATCTAGGATGTGTTCTGTAAATGTTAATAATACATAGTAACAGTGACCAAAAAATTGGCCCCCAGAGATGATTGGTTAAATTCTTTGTGTTCTAAATGGTGCTAAGATGACCACATCAAAGACTGAAACCCTCTATTTATCCACAGAACAGATACAGCCTGGGAAACGCCAGTGTAACGTGCCAACGTGCCTAAACCCTGACCTGGAGGGACAGCCATTGAGGATGAGAGGTTAGTTGAGTCACAGAGTCTCTGGCTGTAAAAGCTGAAGGAGACTGGACATGTCCATCATTTGGTCACCCAGCAGGTGCAGGCTTTTTCTTAGCACCTCCATGGAGTGGGGATGACCTTTGCCCAAACACCCCCAGTGGCTGAGAGTGCGTGACATCTCATCTTTGAACATGGCCAACAGTTCTTCCTTATAGTGACTTTCTAACCCTTGCACACAAAACAAGTCTAGTCTTCTCTCATATATATATATGTTCAAGCCATTCTCCTGCCCCAGCCTCCCGAGGAGTAGCTGGGATTACAGGCATGCACCACCACACCCAGATAATTTTTGTACTTTTAGTAGAGATGAGGTTTCACCATGTTGGCCAGGCTAGTCACAAACTCCTGACCTCAGGTGATCCACCTGCCTCGACCTCCCAAAGTGCTGGGATTATAGGCATGAGCCACCATGCCTGGCCTCTTCTATAATTTTTGGACATTGCTTATTCCCTCAGTCCTTTCTGGACCAGACATTCCTAGGTCCTTCAGCATTCCTCCTCAGACATATCAGTTTTCCATATCATGCCATATCTACTCTTCTGAGCATGGTCCAGCTAATCTGTATTTTTTTCTAGAATATTGAGGTCATAGGCTAATAGTTTCTTTCCAGCTCTCTGAAGTATACATTGAAAAGATTCACTTGAATTGATGCTGCTCACAGAAGCAAGCTGAAGGCCAATCTGTGCTAAGGTCAGAATATTCATTTTCAAAATTAATCCCATGAATTTAAAGTAGTTAATTGTTACCTTTGTTCTTTTTTAATTGAGAAGGCAGATTAACCTATCATTGGTAGAAAAGCAGAATACCCAGAAAGAATTATAATCCCATCTCACAACTAGTCTTTTAAATCAAGTAGACCTATTTTTCTAGACCATGTCACTCTTCTAATTTTCCTAAGGAATGAGGTGCTATTGATCTCCAGCTTTTGCTCACATTTCTTTGGCAATGAATAGCAGTTTTAGTCCCTGTACTGGATGAGGTAAGATTCTTCTCATCTATGGGGCTAGGAAAAGCTTTGATGAGTAGAAGTAAGGGTGGTTGAACAAATCTTTGGTGCTTGTTCATGATCTGGTGACTCAGTAGCAGCAAAAGTGGAATGAAGTGATGAGAACACTAAGATGGAAAGTCAGTCTCTTTCATGGTAAACTCAAGAGCCCATCAGTACAGCTGGGGGATTGATCCATGCATGCCTTTGAGACAAACACCTTCATAATTTTTCCTGTCTCCAAGACTCGCAAAGGGACTTTTGTCAAAATCTTCAGCTTCAAAGTTGGGCTCTGGAGGTGGGCCCCTCTTCATTCAAATTTCTGAGAGCCCTCTGTTTCTGCTGCTAGCTCAGTGTAGCGTGCACTTCAGCTATTCAGAAGGGGAGCCAGTAGTGGAGGCATCAGAAATGTCGGCAGCAACTTGGGGGTGATAGGGACTGCCTTTAACATTGCAGACTTATTGTGACTGAAGTATAACAACGGTGGCTGAGGTCTGTGGCTTCCTTTTTGCATTTCCCACCTCCTCCTAGTACATTACTTTTTGTTCCTACTTCAGTAGCAATATTTAGCGATCCATTGATTCAGCCAGTGTTGCCCTATGGGGATCAGTGTCCAATAACTGAACCTGTCTGCTTTTATAGATGACGGCCATAAATATTGCATCATACATTCCGTGCTGTCATATGGAAAAACAACTTCACAATGCTATTGTCAAAAACACCTCTTTCTTGGCATTTGTATTAGGCAATAATTAGTTTGAAACTGCCAGAATGACTTCGAGTGCCTCCCTTTTCTTGACTTTAATTGTGATTACTATATAATAGTAATTGGCAATAATCTTCTGAAAGGCTTGACTCAGAGGTTTTTTAATTAAAAAATCAATTTCTTATGTTTCTAGTAAGTCTATGTATGTATCATCATATATTGTATGGGCTGAATTTTTCCACTTTTAGCACAAGCATTCTGACATCTGGTCAATGTGGTCTGTCAATGTTCAAGAAATGTGGAGTATTGAATTTAAATTTTCTGTGTGTTGGTTTCTTGAAGCAACTTCATGCGGTTTACCGTGCTATTTAGTAATCAATTGTGTCTTCATTTATCTTGGACTATTTCTTGCCTTTTCTGTTATTAATCAGTGTACATTTATGCTTGTAATTCTGTTGCTTCCACTCAAAGTAACATCTTTATGAAACAATTGAAGATCTTTGTGAATTATACACTTACGTATACTTAGGGAAGGATGTTATCTTGGATATAGCTGATAAACATAGTAGTAAAATTTGGATTCCCATTTGGGAGCTTAGGAAGTGACATAAAGATATTTTCAGATACTTTCCTTTGCAGTTTGGATTTGCAAATGTTCTTCTTATACTCGTGTAACCTTTGATCAGGCAAAGGAGTCTGCAGAATGGAAGCATCTTGACTTTTCAAAGGCTCAACACTATTTTTTCTTCCGAAAATTCAGATTGAAACACATTGCCCACTTGGCTAGCTTTATGAATATTTTGATTCCTTTAGAAACTCATTGTCTGAATCATTCTCCTATTTGAGGAAATCTTTCCCCTATTTGAGGAAAGGTCATACCGGGTTTTTGTTTGCTTGTTTGTTTTCTCCCAGCACCAAGATACTAATTCCTTGATGAGAAAGATTATTTAATGACTCTTGGATTTTTCTGCCTTCTTTCCTGTTTGAGGAACTTAGCGTTTTAGTTATTACTTTGTAGAACATGGCATTATTCTGGATGATCCCTTTGAGATTCTTCTTGGGGTGCTTCATTTTCATGAGACTCTGTCTTGCACTAGTGGCTTTCTTAATGGAGAACAGCTTCCTGACTTTCCAGACTGATTTACTCATCCCTGGACCATGTTGCTAAGATTCTTGCCTCAGATTTCTTTGAAGACATCAAACCCCAAAGTTTTAAACACCGTGGTATCGATTGGCTGACGTGGAATGAGTCACTGGATGGTTCCTTCAAAAAAACTTGATATCACATTCATAAATACTTCAGTTTGAAAAATGCAAGGCCAGGCACAGTGGCTCACAGCTGTAATCCTAGCATTTTGGGAGGCTGAGGTGGGAGGATCCCTTGAGCCTAGGATCTTGAGACAAGCCCAGGTAACAAGGTGAGACCTTGTCTTTACAAAAACTTAAAAATTAGCCAGGCATTGTGGCGTGTGCCTGTAGCCCCAGCCACTTGTGTGGCTGAGGTGGGAGGATTGCTTCAGCCTGGGAGGTTGAGGCTGCAGTGAGCTGTGCTCACGCCACTGCATTCCAACCAGGGTGACAGAGCAAGACCTTGTCACAAACAAACAAACAAACACACTGATATTTCTTAGCTCAAAGATCTCCACTGCTTAAGTGCATGGAGTTCTGGGATCTTACCACCTTCCCATATTAGCAAAACTGTAATGTTGATATGCGTTTGTGATTTTAGAAATGCAGTATCATATGGGAAGTTTCCATTTATGCCTACAAATAAGAATTGTAGCTCTTTTAAGGGTACCCTTGAATAGATTTTCCCCTTTGTCTTTCATCTTTGTCTTTGGACCCTGCTGGCACACCTGAGCTCTTTCTGATTTCTTTCAAAGTCAAGAAGCAAAGAGAGAGAAGTCTAGCTCTTCACTTCAACCAAGCAGAAACAAATCACAATCTTTCTTGACTTCATTTCATGATTGAGGGCTTTCTGCAGTACAGTTGGGATGTCCAAGTTGTATTCCTGGGAATGTGATCTTTGGAGGGTTTCTAAGAGGAGAACCAGGCCTTTCTTGGCCCCTTGAAGCTCATCTATATTCACTGGTTGTCCCTTTGCTGCTTACCCAGGTGCCACCAAATCCAGCCTGCTATCAGCACCAAGCATAGTCAGTATGTTTGTGCCTGCACCTGAAGAGTTCACTGACGAGCAGCCGACGGTGATGACGGACAAGTAAGCTCGCACAGTTATTTTCTTCACCATGTTTACAGAATTTAAGTTTGGTTACCACAGTGGTGAGAAAGTTTCAGAAAAAGCATGCTTTGCTTTTAAGTCATAATTTGTTCCTCCAGTATATTGCCTGGCACACAGATGCTTGTTCAGTGAGTATGATAAAGAATAACCAAAGCGGGTGGATTGCTTGAGCCCAGGAGTTTGAGACTAGCCTGGGCAACATGGCAAAACCCTGTTTCTACTAAAATTACTAAAATTAGCCAGGTATGATGGTGTGTGCCTGTAGTCCCAGCTGCTAGGGAGGCTGAGGTGGGAGGATCACTTGAGCCTGGGAGGTTGAGGCTGTGGTGAGCTGTGATAGCGCCACTACACTCCTGCCTGGGTGATAGAGTGACTGTCTCAAAAGCAAAACAAAACAAAACAAAGCACTTGTAAGATTTCAAGTTTAGAGAAATCCCCTTGGACCAGGAAGCCTTCTTGGTAAAAGTGACCTGATTGATAAATTAGGTAGATGATATGGTTTGGCTATGTTCCCACCCAAATCTCACCTTGAATTGTAATAATCCCCACATGTCAAAGGTGGGGCCAGGTGGAGATAATTGAATCATGGGGGCAGTTTCCCCCATACTGTTCTCATGGCAGTGAATAAGTCTCATGAGATCTGATGATTTTATGAATGGGAGTTCCCCTGCACAAGCTCTCTTGCCTCCTGCCATGTAAGATGTGACTTTGCTCCCCCTTGCCTTCCACCATGATTGTGAGGCCACTCCAGCCATGTGGAACTGAGAGTCAATTAAACGTCTTTCCTTTATGAATTACCTAGTCTTGGGTATGTCTTTATTAGCAGCATGAGAACAGACTAATACAGTATGCTTCTGATAAAAGGTGAGGAAGGGGCCAGGCGCGGTGGCTCATGCCTGTAATCCCAGCACTTTGGGAGGCTGAGATGGGTGGATCACGAGGTCAGGAGATCGAGACCATCCTGGCTAACATGGTGAAACCCTGTCTCTACTAAAAATACAAAAAAATTAGCTGGGCCTGGTGGCGGGCACGTGTAGTCCCAGCTACTCGGGAGGCTGAGGCAGGAGAATGTCGTGAACCTGGGAGGCGGAGCTTGCAGTGAGCCGAGATTGTGCCACTGCACTCCAGCCTGGGTGACAGAGCAAGACTCCATCTCAAAAAAAAAAAAAAAAAAAAGTGAGGAAGGTAAGGTGGAAGGGGCTGATGTGAGTATCCCTGTAGCTGACCATCCATTACTCATTGTAATGACCTGACAGCCATGACTGAAGAAGCGGTGGTGCCTGTCTCATGCAGCTGCCTTGGAAGGTCCACACAGGTCATTGAGTTGCCCATGGAGGGCTCTCTCCAGCTCTTCCTTTGGGATTACCCCGCTCCCCAAGTCTTAATCTTTCCTATTTGCCTTTCTGTGCACTCCATTTCTTTTCTTTTTTACTTAGAAATGTGAATCCTGTATTTTAAAATGTCAATTTGTAAGAAATTTTTATGCTCTTTCTTTGGCCTATATTTAGGAAGTTTTCAGAAGGAAGGGTCACAACAACAGTTGTAGTTCTTGATTCCCTGCTATTCCCATTAGACTTTCGCTTCCTTTTATAAAACTGCTCACTTTATCAGCTGGCTTTGGTCGTGTTGAATGAAATGGACCCTACATTAGGACACTACAAAGAGCGGTAGGTTGGAAGTTACCTAAAAGCGGGTGCCATTGTTTGTGCTTTTACATATGACACTCGGCAGGCCTGGTGAGTTCATAAAACTCATCTGAGTGAGTGGTGGAGAAGAGACTCCATTGTCTCCTCAGGCTTTCCAGATGGTTCTGTAGACTTGACTACCCTGTCTCTTACCCACAAATAGAACATTTTCTGAAAGCCTCCATCCGTGCCTAAGCATTTTGCATTTTTAACTTCAACAAATTAAAAACAAATCTAGTTACTGACTTTCCTCAGCAATAATGTCAAATGCATCAAATCCTTCATCCACAGGCTTCAAACTGATGGCCCAGTTGGTACTCATTCTAAGTGAGAGCAGTCACTCACATGCAGGCCAGATGCTGGGGAACTGAAAGAACATTTTCAGTCATCAGAGGCACCTTCGTGGTCTCTACCATGTGTGCTGTTTCTGTATCTGTGGTGATGGCAGCACTGGAATCCTCTACTGATTACCAGAGTGGGGCTCCTGATCTCCTTTTGGAGACTTTTCCAAGACCTACTAAAAACAGCCGTGTGTGTAGTATATTATATCTTGAGACCATGGTTCTTTCTTTCATGGAAAGCATGTCTCTCTTTTCTTTGCAGATGCCATGACTGTGGGGCCATTCTTGAAGAATACGATGAAGAGACACTTGGGCTAGCCATCGTGGTCCTCTCCACATTCATTCACTTAAGCCCAGACCTGGCAGCCCCGCTGCTGCTGGATATCATGCAGTCTGTGGGAAGGTGAATGTCAGCTTCTGTTTTGTTTGGTAGGAAGGTCCTTTATTCAGTCTCTATCTTGAACTAAAAACTACCAGTTCAAAAGTGAAACATTCAGCCACCTTGTAGATACTGGTATTTGTGACATCAACTCAGACTAGTTTTAAAAACCAAATAGACTCGTCTTTCGACTGAATTCTCCAGCTGCGTAGGGTCATGAGTCACAATGTCAGAGCAAAGCTAGGGGCAACTGCACTAAGGAAACCCCACTGTTTGTTACCCCTGTCACTAAATGAGCTAATGGTTGTAACCACGCACACAACTGTCAGCAGTTGATAGTAAACACTTCGTAAGTATTACCTGTTATTATTATTTCTCTTTACCTGTTTTGAGATGGATTTTCTAGGCATTTGTAATCTCAAGGACACCTCATTTAACTATGAAACTTGGGGCATTGTTGTGTGAGGAGACACATAGTAATTATAGCAGGTTCACATTTCTGACTCAGATAAAAGAAGGATGCACACATTTGGGGAACAGGGCTTTCAACCTGACTGAGAGATTACGCTTAGCTGCTTTGAGGGTGTTCATGCTAAGAAAATTCTATTTAGTAGATAGGACATTAGAAGATAAAGATATATTTCATGGATATGAAGAAAGCTCAAATTCAATAACAAACTGTAGTCTTAGCGTGCACAACTTATAGGAGAGGGTTGAATTAAATGCCACATAAATGTATTAACATTTCCAATCTGTGTGAACAGTGCCAGGTGCTTTAGGCTGCAGGCGTTAGACAGAGCTCTTGGCCTCAGGTACTTTGGGCTTAGTTGCTGTGACAGTTACTGTGGACTCATTGACTAGCCAAATAAGATAGGGTGTGATTAAATGCTGTAATGAGTGGAATGAGAGAGAGCTAAGTGCTAGAGAAGATTAGTATAGGAAAGATGTCTTAAAGTTTATAAGGAGGAGGTAGCACAAGAACTGGATTCTGCAAACTCTTGGCATTTGAGGAAAGGAAAGAGAATGACTCTTAATGTTGCTAAAATTTAATCCTTTTTTAAAAATGAAAAAATGTTGACTTCAAGTTGAAGACAAATAGGAAAGCATTATAAACTCCTCAACCCCAAAAGTGTATGGCTTTCTTATCCTCCCTCCCTCCAGTTTTTTTGGTAGTGTCCTTAGGAGTCATATAGACAGATTGTATAAAGGTAAGTGTGACCATTGCATCTCAAGACTTCAAAATAGCCCATGTGCCAAGTAAGGGATGGATATGGGGATATGGAGAGATAAGAGAAGATGAATTACTTCATTTAAGCCCTTGAGTTTGACCTAGTCATAGTAATTGCAGAATAAATGTTGTCAGCTATCAGCAATACTTGGGGAGTTGAGAGTTTTTATTAATACCAGGTCACAATTTCTACTATCAATACTTCTTAGTTTCAGAATGTATAGAATTATTGTTCTGGTCTGTTATCATCTCTTTGAAACAGATGATCTAAGTTGTCATAGCTATATAGAGGGGTTTGTTTCAGTTTTGTTTCTTTTGTTTGTTTTAACATAAGTGAGAACAATATGTGTTCAAACATTGCCAACTGTTAGGATTGAAACACATGAGCTTTGAAGAAAAGCAAGGGAAAACCAGTAGCAGATACATTTTTACATATTTACATACACATATATTTAAATCTCTACCTCCTTTGGGTAGACTAGCAAGAGACAGGGAGTACATTTAGTGCAAGCTGCCACAATTCTTAGCAACCTAAGCCTAATCACCAAAGCTACCAAGAAAACAGATTCAACTGTCAGCTAATTCAGGGCTTCCTGGCATGCCTCACTTCATCACGAAGAACAGATGAGATCATGTGGTTTTACAAACACATTGTTTATTTGCGCTAATTATGACCACGGGGACCATTCCCAGCAATTCCAAGAGTTTGTAAGCTCAGCATAACGCTTTCGTGGATCACTCAAGCTTTTCCATATGATCTCATACTTTGCTGTCTGCTTGGATCCCTCTTACATGATCCCTTTCTGTAGGTACAGCCTTTAAAATCTCATTTGCTGCACCATTAATTACTGTTACTGTTTAGTTTACTTGTCAATGTTTATCTATTTTTTGTAGTGACATTAGCATGAGAAGGTCTGTAAACAACACAACTGGGAATGGTGTCTGGTGTTAGTGGTTGCTGGACCCCCTATTCTTCTCTAAGTGGGGTCTTGGCTCAGCTCACTCTTACACCTGTAGTCCTAATCAAGTAAATAAATTTGCAACATTCTCCTTATCTGTTTCTTCAGTATCTTACTGATCCAGACATGTTATTCTAAACCCATCAGTATAGTCCATTCTCTTTCTATATGATAACATATAGAATATTTCCACACATACAGAACCGTATAATTATACTTTTCTGGAAATTACATGCTCCATATCGTTTACTTAACCAATACATTTCTCTTCTCAATGTAACATTTCCTTTTTCCTCATTTCAACCCAACAGCTGACAAATATTCCTGTTATCTATTTTACTATCTTATGGAGGCTTTTACCACTTGTGGTTTGTTTATAGTTAGGTTTCAGAGGTTATATACAAAGAAATGAATTTCGAGTTGAGTTAATATGGAGAGGAGCTGGGTCAAATGTTGTTGTGATAACTGTCTGGCCTGGCTGCAGGCACCATTTTGTAGAAAACCAACTTTAACTGCAAGTGTTTCCATGAAAATGTCTAACTTGATATAGCAGGTCTCAAGGACTAGGTCAAGTTTAACTCTAGAGACTGACCACTGAGTGGGCCCTCTGTACTGTCAAGGGAATTGTCAACATTATACATGTCTCCCCATCTAAACTGGAAACACAACAGGTCCTCCCACAATATTAATGCATTTCATCATGGAAACCTAAGATATTTGTGTGACTCTCTTTACTTTATTTCCTAGATTGGCATCCAGTACTACCTTTTCTAATCAAGCAGAAAGGTAAGGTCCTAACGGGAGCCCAGATCTCACTTTCTTTTCTCCTCTGTGCATGTTCATCCTGTTTCTAAAACACCAGTGTGGGGCTGGGTGCAGTGGCTCGCGTCTGTAATCTCAGCACTTTGGGAGGCCAGGGTGGGAGGATCACTCGAGCCCGGGAGTTCAAGACCATCCTGGGCAACATAGCAAGACCCTGTCTCAATAAAAAATAAAAAATAAAAAAAATACCAGCTTGTGCACCACGGAGGGAATATTGTTAGGCTCCAATTGCAGCTCTAGAGAGCACTAGTTATTCATTTTCTGTTCATGCCTTTATTCATTCATTCATTCACTCATTTTAGCCAACAAATACTTTTAAGCCCACCCTGTGCTAGACACTCAGGCCTTCACTGGGGGCAAAACTGACATGATTCCTGCCGTCATGGGGCTTATAGTCTATCCATGAAGCCAATGTGAATAAAATATTTGCACAAATTTATAATTGTAAACTGTGCTAAGTGCTATGAAGAAAAAGTACAGAGAGACTTATATAACAGTAATTCATTCAACAAGTATTTATGGAGTGACTACTAGTTATTGAGGTTATAGTAACTATAACAAAACATCAAATCCTGGCTCTCACGGAACTTACATTCTACTTGAGGAGGGAGAAAATAAGCAAATTAACCAACAGGAAAACTGACTATGTAATTTGATATCATTTAGTGCTAAATGCAAGAAAATGAATCTAGCAAGTCTGGGAGATAGAGAGTGCCCGGAGCTGGTGTTTTAGATATAATGGTCAAGGACAGCATTTTTGAGGAGGTAATATTTGAACAAAACATGAATAAAGTGAGAGAGTGATCCATGCAGTAATTTATAGAAATAACATTCCAGGCAGAGGGAGCAGCAAATACAAAGTCTCTAAGTCAGGAAAATGCCTCATATATTTGGAAAACAGACTAATGTGGCTGGAGCAGGTTGAGTATGAAAAAGAGTGGGAGGAGATGAGAGGGAAGAGGCAGTGTGAGCCAGGCCAAGTAGAGCCCTGCAGGTCATTTTAAGGATGCAGCAGGGAGTCATTGGAGTGAGGAGCAATGTGCTTTAACCTGCTGCATTAGTCCACTTTCACACTGCTGATAATGACATGCCTAAGACTGGGTAATTTATAAAAGAAAGTGGTTTAATTGACTCACAGTTCCACATGGCTGGGGAGGCCTCACAATCATGGTGGAAGATGAAGGAAGAGCAAAGGGACGTCTTACATGGCAGCCAGCAAAGAGAGAGCTTGTGCAGGGGAACTCCCATTTATAAAACCATCAGATCTCGTGAGACTTATTCACTACCACAAGGACAGTATGGGGAAAACCACCCCTATGATTCAGTTATCTCCCACTGGGCCCCTCCCACAACGTGTGGGAATTATGGGAGCTACAATTCAAAATGAGATTTGGGTGGAGACACAGGCAAACCATATTACCTGCTTTGAAGGATCACTGCCTAGTTACTGATCAAGGGGCATGAAGTTTTAGTCAAGCCAGATGAATGAGCTCTGAAGATCTGCTGTATGGCATTGCATCTACAGTCAACAGTAATGTATTGTACATGAACACTTGTTAAGAGAATAGTTCTCATGTTAAGTGTTCTTACACAATAAAATAAATCTTTTTAAGGAAAAAAAATTTTGAGGACCCCTCTGGCTTCTCTGTTGAAAATAGGTTATGGGGAAGGGGTAAAAATGGAAGGAGGGAACCAGTTTGGAGACCATGTTAGCGGTGCAGGTGAGAGGTTAGTGGTTTGGTCTAAAGTGGTGAGAGGCAGCCACATTAAGGATATATTTAGGAAATATTTTGAAGTAGAGCCAACAGAATTTGCTGATAGATTGGATGTTGGGTGTGAGAGAAAGAGAGGAGGCAAGAATGACTCCTAGGTTTTGGTTTAAACAACTGGGTGGGCGGGTGTGGCATTTGCTGAGATGAGCAAGCCTGGATGAGAGCTGATGGTGTGAGTGGGTGTAACGGGTGGTCCCAGTCTGGTCTTGGTAGTGGTAGAGGAGGGGAGAATGAGGGGAGGGCTTCCCTTAAGAAGTGATGTTTAAACTAAGATCTGAAAAAATGAGTTTAACCTGATTATGCACATAGTTATGGAAAGAGCATGGTAAAAACAGTGTGTAGGAGGAACTATGAAAAAGCCAATATAACCACAGCACAGAGATGCAAGCACTTGCTGAGTTTGACTTACCAGATTGTGTATGACTTATAAACCACATTAAATATTTTGGACTTTCTTCTAGCAGCAGTGGGAAGACAGTGAAGGATTTGTAAGCAGCAAGGTGTGTGTGTGCGTGCGTGTGTATAGCATGTAGAAAGGCTACTTTGACTGCAGTGGGGAGAAAGAACCAGAAGAGGGCAGGGACGGATGCTGTGTGTGACTTTGGCCACATTGATCTCTCTGCCTTAGCTTCCTCATCTGTAAAAGAGAGATACTAATATATGCCTTCTTGTGCCTCAGGGGTATTTTCTGTGGACTCAAATGATAGAGTGTATATGATAGCATAACTGTAGCAGGTCCTACAAACATAAGATGATATTATTGTTGACATCGCATTTCTATAATTTATTTTAGGGATGTTTGCTTTTCTTTCTTATGTTCTATTCGATGAATGGCTTTTTAAAAAACTTATTTTCTTAACATTTTTTATGGAAGATTTTAAACATACTGCAAAGTTGAAAGAATTATACAGTGAACTCTCATATACCTATCACCTAGATTTTAAAACAAATATTTTATTTTCTTTATCATGCATCCAACCATCTATCTATCCATCAATTCATTTTTTTGGATGTATTTCAGAGTAAATTTCAGATATTAGAATATATTTTCCCCTACATACTTCAGCAAAGTTAGCATTAACTCAAGTTCAATTTTTGTATACAGTTGTTTCTTTTTTCCTCCAGCTTTATTGAGGTATAATTGAGAAATAAAAATTATATCTATTTAAGATATAAATGTGATCTTTTGATAGATGTGTACATTGTGAAATGATTACCACAATCAAGCTAATTAACATATCACCTCACATAGTTATCTTTTTATTTTTTGGTGAAAACATTTGAAATCTACTCTCTCAGCAAATTTCAAGTATACGATACATTGTTGTTAACTATACTCACCATATTGTACATTGACGATGGTTGTTTCTTTTGTAAAATTTACATACAAGGAAGTGCACAAATCTTAAGTGTTTATTCCTTGAGTTTTGTCAAATGCATATGACTGTGTAACCCAAACCCCTGTAAAGATAGAGAACATTACCATTATTCCCAGAAAGTTCTCTCGTGCACGTTTCCAGCTAATCTCTACCCCCATAGAGGCAAACACTGTTGTGATATTTTTCCACATGGGTTGATTTTGCCCATTCTAGACTTCATGTCAATGGAATCCTACTGTATGCACTCTTTTGTGTCCAACTTCTGTTACTCAGCATGATGTTTTTGAGATTTATCCATGTTGCTGCTTTTTTATCAGGAGTTTGTTTCTTTTTCAAGGCTGAATTGTATCCCATAATTTGCTTTTTTATTTTCTTATTGAAGGACTTCTAGGTTTTTTCAGTTGGGGGGTATAAAAAAATAGATCTATTGTGAACATTCTTATAAAAGCCCTTTTTAAAACAAGTGTTTTTATTTCTCTTGGGTAAAATACCTAGGGATGATATTGTTGGGTTACAGGATAGGTATATGTTTAATTTTATCAGAAACTACTGGAACTTCTCTTAAAGTGGTTATGCCACTTTATATTACCAATCATCAATGTATTCTGGTTGTTTCATATTCTTGCCCAACTTTGGCATTGTTGGTCTTTTTAATTTTGGTCATTCTGGTGGATGTGTAATGGGTATTTCATTATAGTTTTAACTTGCATTTCTCTATGACATTTTTTCAAGTGCTCATTGACCCATTGCGTATATTCTTTTGAGAAGTGTCTGGTCAAATCTTTTGAATATTTTAATTGGGTTGTTGTCTTTTTATTGCTGAGTTGTAAGACTTTATATATACTGAATACTAGTCCTTTGTTAAGTATGTTTTGAGAATATTTTCACCCAGTCTGGGGCATGCCTATTTCTTTTCTTAGTGGTATCTTTTGCTGAGAAATGTTTAATTTAGGTGAATTCTAATGCATTAAAACAAAACATTACAATTATTGCTTCTTTTTATTTGTCTAAGAAACCTTTGTTTACTTCCAAGTCATGCAGATATTCTCTAATGTTTTCTTATAAAGGCTTTATGGTTTTCATATGTATATTTGGCATTTATAAAACCCATCTCAAATTAATTTTTATGTATGGTGTGAGGCAGCAGTAGGAGTTCATTTTTATCTATGTGGATATTCAGTTTTTCAGCACAGTTAAAAAAGATATTTTCTTTTCTTATTGGATCACTGTGGTGCCTGTTAAGCTTAGAAACCATGGAAGGGTGGATCTATTTCTGGGCTCTCTATTCTGTTCCATTGATCTATATATTAATTCTTAAGTTTGCACCACACTGTCTTGATTATAGTACCTTCATAGTAAGTAGTAAGTGTTAAAGTCAGGTAGCATTAGTCCTCCAAATTTAGTTATCTTTTTCAAGATTGGTTTGGATCTCTACATTCTTTACATTTTCATATAAATTTTGGAATAAGCTTGTCATTCTTATCAAAAAAGTCTGCTGGGCTTGTATTGAAAGAACAAATCAATTTGGGGGTAACTGACAGCATGAAAATATTGAATCTTCCAATTCATGAACATGGTATATATCTCATTTTCATGAGATCTTTAATTTCTCTCAGCAATGTTTTTTAGTTTTCAGTGTAGAGGTCTTGCCATTTTTGTTAAATTTATTCTCAAGAATTTTATGTTTTTTATACTAATGTAAATGGAATTTTTAAAAATTTCAACTTTTTGTTGCTGATATCTAAATAACAATTGATTTTTGCATATTAGCATGTATTCTAGCTAAATTCACTTATTAGTTCTAGTAGTTGCTTTGTAGATCTCTTTAGGATTTGATTTTGTATGGAAAAATCATCTGTAAATAGCAAGAGTTTTACTACTTCCTTTCTGATCTTTATGCCTTTTGTTTCTTTTGTTTTTTTTGAAACAGAGTTTCGCTCTTGTTGCCCAGGCTGGAATGCAGTGGTGCAATCTCGGCTCACAGCAACCTCTGCCTCCTGGGTTTAAAGGATTCTCCTGCCTCAGGCTCCCAAGTAGCTGGGATTATAGCATGCACCACCATACCTGGCTAATTTTGTATTTTTTTTTTTTTTTTTTTTTTTTTTTTACTAGAGGCCATGGTTTCTCTATGTTGGTCAGGCTGGTCTGGAACTCCTGACCTCAGGTGATCCACCCACCTCGGCCTCCCAAAGTGCTGGGATTACAGGCGTGAGCCACCGCACCCCGCCTTTTGTTTCTTTTTATTGCCTTATTGCAATGGCTCAGACTGCCAGTGTAATCATAGAGATGGGAGAGTCGGCACCCTTTTCTTGTTTCCTCTCTTACAGGGAAAGTATTCAATATTTACTATTAATCGCAGTAGCTATAGGTTTTTTTATAGATGCCCTTTAGCAAATTGAGGTATTTCCAGTTTGAGGGTTTTTGTTGTTGTTGCTGTTGCTGTTGTTGAGGCAGGGTCTTGCTCTATCACCCAGGCTGGAGTGCAGTGGCACCATCTTGTCAGTCTCAACCTCCCTGGCTCAAGTGATCCTCCCACCTCAGCCTCCTGAGTAGCTGGGACTACAGGTGTGTGCCACCATGCCCAGCTAGTTTTTTGTATTTTTTGTAGAAATGAGGGGGGTTTGCCCTGTTTCCCAGGCTGGTCTCCAACTCTTAGGCTCATGCAGTCTTCCTGCCTTGGCCTCCCAAAATGCTGGGATTACAGGCGATAGTCACTGTGCCTGGCCCAGTCTGAGTTTTTGTCATGATGTGTGTTGACTTTTGTGAGATGTATTTTCTGCATCTATTGAGATATAAGCTTTTTGTCCGTTATTTCTTAATATATTGAATTATACTGGCTGATTTTTGAGTATTAAACTATTGTTATTCTCTTGGAATAAACTCTACTTGGTCATGACCCTACTTGGTCTTTTAATCTATAGCTGGATTCAGTGGCCATGACGACTATGGGTCTGTCTGTCCTCTTCCCATTTCTTTTCTGTTTCCTTCTTTTTTAAAATTTATTTTGATAATGGCTTTATTAATTTTAGTTTTAGGGCTATGCTGCCTGCATCAAACAAATTGGGAAGGGTTCTCTCCTTCTCTATTTTCTGAAGTTATTGTAAGTTCGGCGTTATTTTTTCCTGAAGAATATTTTTGACCTAAAACTTTGAACCAGCATTTCAGGGTAGATGTGGCACAATGAGGTAATAATTGGCATAATTAGGTAAGCAGTACTTCTTACTCTTTATCTATTTACGTTCTTTGATTTTCTCTTTTTTCCTTCTGGTAACTTACCCCCTAACTACATCAAGAAGCATCCTTTCTGGTACCTTAGTCTAAGGGGCAGGGCCTCATAAATTTGGCCCTACTTTTGATGTGCAGAGGTGCACATGAAGGGTGAAGGTCAAATTGCACCTGTCAAAGTCCAGCCTTTTTACAAGTGTCAGCTCAGATGCCCAAAGAAAACTTCCCACATCTCCTAATGAGAATGAACATCTCTCTCACTGCATATATATATATATATATGAATTTTTTTTTCCTCAGAGCAACTCTGTCTTAGCCAGTGACACTTTCCTGGGAGGATTTTCCTGGTAATCCTCATCCAGGGCTCCAGTCTTGACTGTCATTCTGTGAGCATGTGACCTTTGTATGTGACCTCTTCTCTCAGGATCTCATAACCTTCCTGAGTCCATTGTGGGACCTGGAATACGTCTGAGACTACACTGGCATTTCATGGTTCTCTCTTTCTAAAAACTTCTTGTTAACAGGGATTAGGTTTGAGTAGAATATTTCATTTCACTGATGAACATGACAGTGAGCTATCCCATCAGAGGCATGGTGTGCAAATGTCTGAACTCTAAGTAAATATCTGAACACCTGCTCACTGGCCCATGACTTCGTGTCTTTTCTCCCCTGTTCAACTCCAGCATGATGGTTCCCGGCAATGCGGCGGGGGTGGCCAAGCAGTTCCTGCGCTGCATCTTCCATCAGTTGGCCCCCAACGGCATCTTCCCGCAGCTGTTCCAAAGCACGATCAAAGGTAATTCATCCACTGAGGATCCAGGCACCACAAATTTGCCTCATCCCAGACACCCAAACACTAAATCCGATCGTTGACTTTCCAGATGGGACTTTTTTACGGACCTTAGCCTCGTCTCTGATGGACTTCAATGAGCTGAGCTCCATCGCAGCTCTCAGTCAGCTCCTAGAGGTGGGTTTCCTTTAATGACACCCTAAGCCCCAGCCGAAACTCTAAGCCCCAGCACAACTGTGGGCTGTGTTTCTTTGAGTCACACCATAGGATACTGCTGAGGAAGGATTGCAATGTTATTTAATTTAAAAATGAAATCTAAAATTTTAAAATTAAAAAATATATATTAAATTTAAAGCTAAGGGCTGAGTGCAGTGGCTCATGCCTATAATCCCAGCACTTTGGGAGACTGAGGCAGGAGGATTGCTCGAGGCCAGGAGTTCAAGACTAGCCTGTGCAACATAGCAAGACCCCCATCTCTACAAAATAAAAATAAAAGAAATTAGCTGGCATGGTGACACATGCCTGTAGTCCCAGCTACTCAGGAGACTGAGGGGGAAGGATCACTTGAACTCAGGAGTTGGGGGCTGCAGTGAGCTGTGATGGCTACATTACACTCCAAGTTGTAATGGCTACATTACACTCCAATGGCTACATTACACTCGCAACGGAGCGAGACCCCCAACTCAAAAGAAAAATAATAGAAAATGCTAAAATTTAAATAATTTAAATTTTAAAAATTAACATAATTTAAATTTTAAAAATTAACATAATTTAAATTTTAAAAAGTTAATTAAGAAATAGAATTGCATAGAATAGTGTCAGTTGGACATTGCGGCTTTGCGTGGATTTACTCTTCATTGAAAACTTCTCCATACCCTCAGCTAAGTCGTGACCTTGCTTCCACAGAACAACTTGGTTTTCCAAGGGCAGAGTGGTGGGTGGAGCTATGGGCGTTGGATCAAGAGACTTGGGTTCAAGTCTCAGCACTGCTGCAGGTCAGCTCTTGGGGTTTGCTTGCGGGAGATGCTCACTGCTAGAAAAAAAGCTGCAGCTCCTGTAACTCTATGCTCAGTCTTTGTGCTGGGGATTATTTACAGTGAGCATCATTCATTGTTTTCTTAGCACCTAACCACACCAATTGTAGACCCTTGGAAGCTGTTTCCTATTTCTTGCTCACTTTTCACCTCTCATCAATTTTCCCCCTTAAGTTTGTCTGAACGATTTTCTCGTTATCCTTCCAGTCTATCACAGGGATTGGCCTATGTAGTAGGCACTGAACACGTTTATAGCCTGAAGATGTGACTTTTAAACTGACATTTACCAAATAGCGCTATGCATTCCCGTGCTGTTTCAGCAGTTGATGGCCTATGCTTTTGTGTTTTTAGGGTCTAAATAACAAAAAGAATTTACCAGCAGGGGGTGCTATGATTCGCTGTTTGGAAAACATTGCAACCTTCATGGAAGCTTTGCCTATGGATTCTCCTAGTAGCCTCTGGACCACAATTAGCAACCAGTTTCAGACATTTTTTGCCAAGCTGCCTTGTGTTTTACCTCTGAAGGTAAGCTGAGCCGAAGGTTTCATTTTCAATTAATTTCTTACCATTTTCAGACCGTTTATTTACAAGCAGCAGAGTCTTGGGTGATTTAATGTATCGCAAAGGTTAATGAGGAAACTCCGTCAGCCATGGAGTGAGGATGCTTATTTGGGTTGTTCTGTCTTCTCTTAGAGAATGACAGGAATGTGGAGTGAGCATTTTGCTCACTGACTATGAATATGCATGTTTCCAGTTGATTTGAAAAAAAAAAAAAAAAACAAAAAAACAGCCAGGAAGACATGAGTAGACTGTGTTTATCCGGCAGTTTTTCTCCCGTAGATATTAAATAAGTAAGTAAATAGTTTTGTCCAAAAGCAGCTCAGACATATAATGTAAAGTTTCCATTTTAGAGAATTATCTAAAGGGAAGTAATTGCTGTGTTTGTGAATGATGATGTTTCTGCTTGACTGTTACCCCCTACACCATACCATCTCCCAAGAATACACACACAATTACCTACCTGGAAATCTGGTGGCCCAAGGATCATTGACAACATGAGCTCAGTAAATGCAAATAAGAAGCCAATACTGTTAAAGCTGGAAGAAACCTATAAAGATCATCCCTTCCAATGCCTCTGTTTTCTAAATGAATTCTGCAAATTCAGAGAGATGGTATAGCTTCTGGAAACAACACAGTGGTGGCAATGTGAGGATTAGAACTGAGGTTTTCTGACTCACAGTCCAGTGCTCATTTCACTAGCAGACTCTTCTTGCCCTTCTGCAGCAGGGGTGAGTTGAAGGCATTCATGTCTCTAGAGTAGGGGGCAGAGTGGTGGCTGGCAGTGGTGTTGCTGGCTTTGAACCTGACCTGTTCCATGAGGTTTTTTGTGCTTTCTCTATGCAGATTACAGAAGCATTTAACTGGCAACAAAATGAATCAGGCAGGGCATAGCGGCTCATGCCTGTAATCCCAACACTTTGAGAGGCAGAGGTAGGGGGATCGCTTGAACCCAGGAGTTTGAGAGCAGTCTGGGGAGCATGGCGAGACCTCGTCTCTACGAAAGATTAAAAAAAAAAAACATAGGCTAGGCAATATAGTGAGACTCTGTCTCTTAAAAAAAATTAGCTGGGCAAGGTGGCATGCACCTGTAGTCCCAGCTACTTGGGAGGCTGAGGTGTGCTCATTGTTTGAGCCCAGGAGGTTGAGACTGCAGTGAGCCATGATCGCACCACTGCACTCTAGCCTGGATGACAGAGAGAGACTCTGTCTCAAAAATAAATAAACAAATAGAAAGTATTTTAAAAATTAGCCAGGCGTAATGGCATGTACCTTTTGTCCCAGCTACTTGGGAGGCTGAGGTGGGAAGATTGCTTGAGCCTGGGAAGTCGAGGTTGTAATGAGCCATATTTGTGCCACTGCACTCCAGCCTGGGCAACAGAGTGAGATCTTGTTTCAAAAATATAAGATAAAATAAAAATAAAGTGCATTTCCCATAGACAGAAAAACAAAAGGATCAGGTTACCTATTAGTAGCTCCACTTCTGAAATGAGTATTATGTAACATAAGATACTTGATAAAGATCAACAACCTATGCTAATACATTTTTCCAAATGGGCAGATACTACTAATAGGTCTGTAAGGGATAATGCAGGGACCCTTAGCTCAGCGTGTGCTGCTTTGAGCTTTGAGTTACTGTAAGAAGCAGGAGTATAGAGGAGGGATCTTTACCACCTCTTATATTCTATGATCCTCGTTTGCCCACAGATGTGGAGTAGCTGAATAAATCCAAGCAAGAAGGGTTAGTACTTTGAAACTGTGTATGTGTATAGCTACTGTACATCAACACACAGGAAACTGAGTGCACAAATTTTAAGCACATGGAACCTCCTAGGACCCGAGAACCAATCAGGGCTTCACTGCTAAAGAGCCGCACAGGCTAAGAGAAGGGATGGGATGAGGTATGGCAAATTTTTTTTTTTTTTTTTTGAGACAGAGTCTCGCTCTGTCACCCAGGCTGGAGTGCAGTGGCACAATCTCGGCTCACTGCAAGCTCCGCCTCCTGGGTTCACGCCATTCTCCTGCCTCAGCTTCCTGAGTAGCTGGGACTACAGGCGCCCACCACCATGCCCAGCTAATTTTTTGTATTTTTAGTAGAGACGGGGTTTCACCATGTTAGCCAGGATGGTCTTAATCTCCTGACCTTGTGGTCCTCCTGCCTCGGCCTCCCAAAGTGCTGGGATTACAGGCGTGAGCCAAAGCGCCCGGCTGAGGTATGGCAAATTTAAATGCCTGTGTGCCGATGTGACTGTCAGAAGATTTAACTTGGGCACAGAAGAGTGGCAAGTGTTGCCAGCTGTAAACAAGTGGCGTGCCTAATTTGTGACAATCAACCTGCCCATAGGGACCCTGCCTACAGGGTTAATAAAGGAGAAAAGATAATAAGGAGAATTGAGACCCTTAGGAACTAGAATGTGCCAGTCCTTCTATGAGGTCAGTGGCTACTCACGCCTGCCAATTGTTGTTCTGTGGGAGCGCAGGCTTCTGGTTGTCTGTCTTCCTTTTTTTTCCCAAGAGAACATTTTCTGGTTTTTAAATCACTATGGGGGCCTGATGAGCAGCCAGTTTTCAGCCTCTGGTTTAAAGTAGTGTAAATGTCACATCAACTCCGATGAGTGTCGAGCAGATTAAATAGAACCAGTGGTTCCCTTAGAAGGCACTTGTGAAATACTTTCAAAATCTGTGTAAGAATTTCTCCCGCTAGGGCAGATCTGGGCACTGCCCCTGATCATCTTCTGCCTTTGTTTTTAATCTCTGGGGAAAATAATAAGCCACTGAAACCTTCTATAGTTTGTTTTCATCAGTTTATAGAAGCAGATCTCAAACGTCAGTGTGCATCACTGTCCCTGAAGGACTTGCTAAAACACAACTTACTGGGCCTGATTTGGGAGTTTCTGATTCAGCAGGGGTAGGGCTTGAGGATTTGCATTCTGGCACATTTCTAGCTGCTGGTTCTGGGATTCCACTTGGAAAACTCCTGCTTATTTTTTACTATCTTGAGGAAGTTAATGTAGGTGCACAGCTGCAGAAATTTAACTATAGCCTGCTATTGTGATCTATTTACCATATCATTGTTTATTCTTGCTGTAACGTTTACCCCCAGTCCTAGTAAACTCAATTTAAAAAGTACATTTTGATGTGGAATCTTGTCAATATAGAACTTGAATGGATAGGTAAGGCATGATTTTGTCTTGTAGAAATTTTACTGCATTTTCTCAGGTTTTTGTCGTGTTGCTTCATAGCAGAGAAAGGGCAGATGAAACTGGTTCTTATGTGGATTCATGGTTTTTTTAAAAATAGATCTAAGTAGTTTTTTTCCCTAAAAAGTCCTTTCACAAATTGGTGCATCTCTTTAGAATTAGATACATTTAATATCTACCCAACAAATTTCTGTTCATTGTCTGTCCATCTATTCATCCATCCATCCATCCATCCATCCATCCACCCATCCATCCACCATGTCTCTATTCAACTGTCTATCTCATTAATTTTTAGGGCTATATCTTTGAAAAATACTTTAGGAGCTGTGTTTAATTATTTAATTGTTTACCATTGTATAATTGTTTAATTAAAATTGTTTTAACCTGAGAATGACTTTTTTCAACAAGGATATTATGGCATGGGAATCTGTTGAGATGCAGTCATATTTCAGATTTTCCTTTTGCTAAACTAAATGCTTTCAGAACATATTTGAAGCAAAAGTTATATTAAGGTGGAAACTAATTTTTACTTTTTTTCATATTTATTCACAGTGTTCTTTAGATTCCAGTTTAAGAATTATGATTTGCCTCTTGAAGATCCCTTCTACCAATGCTACAAGGGTATGTATGTTTCAGAAAAACATAACCAATTGGTTAGTCAGTTTTTTTTAACCTAATGAGATAGGCTTGTAGCAATACTGAAGACATAGTTATGGCATACTGAATGCTTCCCTTTCAGCCTCCTTCTTTTTCTTCATGCTAGGTCAGTGCCTTGTATAAAGAACTCTATCTAATACATCACAATGTCATGGTTTATAACTGGTCCTGCTAACCCTGGGCCATGCCCCCCAATCCATCCCCCATACTACTAACTAGGCGATCCTTCTAAACAGGATCTTATCGTGTTGGTTCTTTGCTTTAAAATCTCTGATAACTTCTCATTTCTGTCAGGATGATGTCCAGATTCCTTAATGTGGTATCTAAGATGTTACTTCATAACTCTCCAGCCCACCTTTCCAATTTAATCTTTGGCTCCATGTCTTATTCATCCCTTCCTCCTATGCACTTTCAGAATCAGCGTTATCATCATCATCATCGAAACAACAACCACTGTTTGTTATCATATGGCAGACATTATGCTTAATGCTTCAGATATATAATCTTATTTAATTTCATACTTCCTTGCCTTTGCTTAGGCCATTTCCTTTGCCTGAAATGTTTTATGCCCTTGCTGGTGTGGTGAACTCCTTCTCATTCTTCAAGGTCCCATTTAATGAAAAAACATATTCATATTATCTGTAGTAACTTTTTCCTGTATCAGCTTCCATGGTATTTGATAGAGCTCTCTATAGTAGCACTTACATTGCCCTGAAGTGGTTCCAATGAGACCACAAGCTTCAAGAAGTTCTGCACCGTGTCTCATTCACTTTTGTATTCCAAGCTGTATTTCTGCACTGCATTCGCTGCAGTGGTACAATAGTTTGCATTGCTATAGCTTGTAATTACTATTTAATATACCAACAATGTACGTATTCTGCAACTGTTTAACTTGACTGTGCTTTCATAGACTCATGGTTTATGCTAGAAAGTTACAAAGAGATCATTGGTTCAATCCACTCATTTACAGACGAGGAAACAGGCTCAGAGAGATGGATTGTCTTGGCCAAGATCACATAGCTGGTTAGTAGAAGATTTGTGACTTGAACATAAGTCTTTTGGGTCCATATCGCCCCATCACTATGCTGCTCTTCTAAATATAAGAGCAAGTTTCCATATAGGCTTGAATTCAGGCTTCTCTTTTTGACCAATAAGGATACATTATGTGCAACATGAGACATTCCTATTCCTTTCATCTATTGACAATGTTTCAAGACAATAGCATATATATATATATATATATATATATATATATATATATATATATGTGTGTGTGTGTGTGTTCATTTTATTTTATTTTATTTTATTTTGAGACAGAGTCTCGCTCTGTCACCCAGGCTGGAGTGCAGTGATGCCAACTTGGCTCACTGCAGCCTCCGGCTCCCGGGTTCAAACAATTCTCCCTGCCTCAGCCTCCCAAGTAGCTGGGACTACAGGCATGCACCATACACCTGGCTAATTTTTGTATTTTTAGTAGAGATGAGGTTTCACCATGTTGGCCAGGCTGGTCTCGAACTCCTGACCTCAAGTGATCCACCAGCCTCAGCCTCCCAAAGTGCTGGGATTACAGGCATGTCCCACTGCGCCCAACCTCAAGGCAATAGCATTTATATGGAGCAAAGAATAATGAATCATTAGTACTAAGTCTGTGAGTTTCTTTAAGATTTTCTATATGGAAAGCACCACATGGATTTCTGTGGGGGAATACAAATAAGTAAAAAACAGAATTCCTATCTTTAGGGGCAACTAACACAAAGTGCATTCATTTTCATATCGATTAGAAAAAAGAACCTCAAATACGCTCATGTCCTTTAATTTAGTCATTTTTTTTCTGGGAATCTATTCAAGGAAGAAAATGCAAATGCTAATTTCATGTAAAATATATTTATTGGGTTGTTATTTATAGTAAAATGTGACTTTGTGGCCATTAAAATGGATGATTATGAAGAATTAAATGGCACTGAGAATTTCTGATGTTGTATTAAGTTAATATAAAACAAAATATAGGATTGTACATGTGTAATATTTCCACTACATATCAAAATATAATCACAAGGTGGTGGGACTATGGATGACTTTTACTTCTTCCTCATGTGTCCTTTCCTACATATCTTGAGTTTGACATTGAACATGTATGACTTTTGAAAACCAGACAGTGAGCACTATAGAGATTGAGAAGTATTGGAACTCATGGCATGCAAGTGTTTTGGAGTCCAGTTAAAATCCTATCTTCTCTGCAGAGCAATTCTACCTCTGGAAAATTGCCCTGGAACTTGGCTTTGAATTCTACCTGATACCTTTATGGTCTTAGGCAAATTGCTTGTCTACTTAACTGCCTAAGCTGCAGAGCAGGAATGGATACTAAAGCTTCAGAAGGTTAATAATGAAGATCATAGCTAACACTGATGGAGAGCTTACTGGTGCCAAGTGCTTTACATATATTATCTCTTTTAATTCTCATAACTTGCACCCTAATGAGGTGGAAGCCATTATTATCCCCCTTTTACAGAGGAGAAAACCAAGTTCCAGAGAGATTAAATCACTTATTCAAGGTCACAGTGAGCTAGAGTGTGAAAACCCTTGTGTCAGAATTTAGTGCTTGTGTCATTACCTATATTATAACACACTGTCTCCCAGGATAGTTATGAGAAATTTGAGTAAGATAAACTATATGAAATCATCCATCTAACTCTGTCTGACACTCAGTAGGTACTCAACAAATGTTTCTAAATGACTTAAGAAAGCATATGGAACTAAAACTGATCCTTCATGGGTAGGATTCAGGGGGAGAAACCAAAACAGACTATGCCTTCCTGATTAACATTGGCAGGAGGCTGGGTTGTGATGAATTTTATCTAAGCTATAGTACTTTAGTACTTACACGTAAGGGTGGTTTGCACTACTTAACCCAGAAGACAGGCTTCCAGATCTGAATATGATGAACTCATAAATACTTAAATGTTCTGAAAATAAAGTGGAAGATCCCACTGCAAACCCCACACTCTTGATTGCTTAGGGTGGACACGAAGACAGGGTTGTAGTAAGGAAGGTTTGTAAATGATACCATATGGAAAAATGAATGTCTTTTTGAGCAGTGAAATGATTTGGTCCTGCTCTTTGAGCCCTTGACTGAAGGTGCAGTTCTGTTTTTATTAGACCAATGGGGTTGCTACAGGAGCCACTGGGCAACAGAGTTTTCAATTAAAAAAAAGTGATTCCATTAGTTAAAGTATCATAAGATTTTAATACTTTTTTTGAAATGAAGTAATCAGCAATTGACTTTATTTGGCCCCAATCTCATTGCAGAGTTTGTTGGAACCATTTTCAAAACTGCTCAGCTTTGTAATTCAGAATGCCGTCTTCACTCTGGCCTACCTGGTGGAGCTGTGTGGCTTATGTTACCGAGCTTTCACTAAGGTAAGCAAGCTTCCATATGTGTGTTCCTGTGAAACTGAAAACTGGCAGAAATATATTCTTTTGAATCAGTGTCAAGTCCCTTTTAGCTCAGTTGCTTCCATATAGTTAAAAATGAGTAATTCTACTGAGGTCTAATAAATACCATGGTAAGGAAACACTTTAAACACACACACACACACACACACACACAAACACACATACAATGTCTAAAATATGCACATATGCAGATTCAGAGAACTGAGGGTCATGTGGTTAGAACAGAAGTGGTATTTTTAATGAAAAGAGCTAATGGTTGACATGACCTCTTAAGGTCCTTTTCAAGTTCATCATCCCATGATTAGTGGGGCAAGGCATCTCTACATATCATTTTTATACCCAAAGTAGAAAAATATCAGCTGTCATTTGTAAAAGCCTTTGAAGAGCTCCTTAATTCTCATCATTTGTCTGTCTCTCCAGGTCTGGGTTCTTGGCCTCTGAGATTGGAATCTTATCTCATCTTTTGTCATCTTGCCTTAATAATGGTTTCTCTATTGCATTATCTGTAGAACCCCTGGCCCACTACTGAGAAAGTGGAAAAGTACTGCTGGCCCAGTGGCAGTAGCAGCCTTGTTGGAGCTGGTAGATGCTGTCCTAATGGAAAATCAGAAGGCAGGGCAAAATGGGAGCATTTCTGTCCTTAAGAACAATGTGCAAATGTTACCCTTTCAATTTCCTAATTTTCCAAGCTTGTTTTCAATGGGTCTCTGTTTCTGTTGTTCTCTCTTGAACATTCAGAATGTTTCTTATTCATGTTGTCCATTTCTATAAGCCCTTTATTTTCCTCATAAAAATCTAATTTTATACTGAGGCTTTCATTCTATTTAAAGCATTCTTGTCCCCTTTCTTACCAACTTGGGTCCATTCTGTCATGTTAAATGTTCCATGGTAATCTTTGTTTTTCTGATTAGAAACTATTTATTACCCTGCCTGGAGCAATATGTTTTCTAACTACCATGATGGTCAGCATTTTTTTCTTCTTTTAGAAACTTCTTGAAAGATAACTTCTTCTTCTTTTTCACTTAAAAATGTAGATCTATAAGACACAGCACCAAAAAGATTTTCTATTTCTAGAAACCATTTGATTTCTTCATTGTGTTTATGTTTAATTTGTTTAAATTATACCTTTTTTGGGGGAAGAATCATAATAAGTTTATACTTTCTATGTTGTACACTGTAGATATTGATTACAGGGGACCTTCTAGCATTTGGATTCAAGATATTATTGGTTTTCAATTCAAAATATTCATTACACAGGATATCTCCTCATAATCCCTCATAACTTTAGTGGCCTTTTACTTCCCATTATCATCTACCCTTTCTCATTCTAATACAAGATGATGATTACTTGTAGAAAGCTTTAGTTGATGGTGTTCCTACCTTCCTCACAGATAATGAGAAACTATAAGAAATCGTTTAAAAATAGCAGTAGCTAATTGAGCTGTCTCCCTTATATAATCAAAAGAAAAGGCATAGAAAGGTAAGAACTTTGGAGACTTCACTTTCTAGCAAACTGGTAGTCTAGATACCCTGAAAACCACCCCACTTAAAATACTAGGAACACTGGATGAAATGTAATAAAGGTGATTTTTAATGTAGAGCTAATTTTATAGAATGAAAGGGGCAAAAATGAAGCGGGATTGACAATCAGAGTGGTAAGCATATAAGTAGCCCTGTGGTGGGGCTGTTGCTTGTCTTGGTAACTTAGTGGCTAGAGTTTTAAAGCCCATACAAAGAAAAGAGATGAAGTCTTGGGATTATCCAGGCAGGGAGTTTGATCTGAGTTATCCCTAGCAAAAGGTCAGAACCCTTGAAAGCCTATTCACTTGGTAAAAGGGTGGTTTGGAAAGAATACATTCTTATATAGAGGTGACAAAGAATGGTATCTGTCTCAGTTTGGGAACTGGGAGAAAGATTTATAGTCTCCCTTGAAAATTAGTAAACATGGGCCTATCTTGGATCAGGTTTAGAGTTTGAATTTATAATATCTGCATGCTCTTGGAACTCCCAAGTTGAAGAGTCAAATAACATTAGTGCTTAGTAAGTAATAACCTTGGAATATCTGGCAGAAGCAAGATCAAAACAAGCCTCAACCCTCTCTGGAGGAATATATCTCCAACCTAGGCCCAGCAGGATTCCTATAGTTAAAATCCTAATGAACATGAGCTCATAATCTAAAATTACAAAGCAAATGAAGATACAACCCACCTTGTGATAGATTAGGAAAGTCAACAAGTAGCAAGATCATTTCCCACAAGAACTTTCAATATTAAAACTGTGATAAAGACTATAAATGATATACATATCATTAAAAATGACAATATATAAGTGACTATACTTTAAATGATATGCATATGAAGAATGTATATATAAATATTATAAAATATAATAAAAATATAAATCTAAATGACTATACTTTAAATGATAAGCATATGAAAAATAAATAAAATAATATAATAGATTTAGTCATTTCAAAAAAAAAAGAAAATAAACCAGACAGATTTAAACAAAGTAGAAATTCTAGAAATGAAAAACAATCACTGATATAAAAAACTTAATGGATAGATTAAATAGTAAATTAGACATAGCCAAAGAGAGAATTGGTGAAATGGAAAATAGATGAGAAGAAATTACCTAGAATTCAGAAGAGAGAGATAAAGAGATGAATATAAAGAGAAATTCTAACAGATATCTAATAAATATTTCAGATAAGGAAAATAGGCTTTTTATCAATTCTAGAGTTGATGGAAATATTTAATTTTCTGATTCAGGAAGCACAATGAGCCCTGAAAGTATTATAAATAAACTAAAGTTTTACCTGCTCATGTCATAATGTACATGAGTAGGTATAACTTGTCAAAACAGTCAAGACAAAGAAAATATTTTCAGAAAAACCAAGGGAAAAGACACTCTGAAGACAGACAATACACTTCTCAACAGCACAATAGAAGCCAGAAGATAATTGAAAAAAAAAGTCTTTAAAATGATAAGAAAAAAGAACTATCTACTTGGAATTCTCTACCAGCTAAGCTATCCTTCAAGAATGAAGGATAAATAGATATTATATCAGGAAAATAAGAAGGCTTCTAATAGATTCTTACTGAAACAACTACTAAAAGATGTAAGAAGGAAAGTGAACCAAGAAGGAAGGAGTGAAATGTGTGAAGGAATGATGCTCAGAAATTGGTACAGTGTGAAAATCTAAGTGACCATTGATAATACAAAGCAGTAATAATAATAATGTTAGTCAGATAGGCATAAAAACAAAATGACAATAGAATACTAGAAAATAGTACTCTGTAAGGGGTGTGTGTTTGTGTGTGTGTGTGTGTGTGTGGTTGGAGACTGGAGTTAAAGCATTCTATATATTATCTACAAGAAGGACAGAGATAATGAATAACTTTGAACTCTTAAGAATACAGGTAGACATTGTAAATGTAAACTCCAAAGGCCAGAAATAGAATTTATAAGTTCCAAACATAGAATAAAACAAGAATAAAAATTCAATCAAGACAAAAAGAGAAGCATAGAACAAGCTGTAATAAGCACACGTAGGATGACAGAATCACAATAAATATAAGTTTACTAGACTCACTAGGGATTGTCAGATTGACTTTTAAAAATTAATCTACATCTAAAACATGTCTAAAGACAGCAAGAAAATTTAAAAGAAAAAGGTTGAAAAAGATATACCAGACTAATACTAATAAAAAGAAAGCTGAAGTTAGTCAACTGACTTTAAGTTGAAAAGCATTATTACAAAGAAAGTCACAATATATTGATAAGAGGAGCAACTCACCAGGATAATGTGACAATTCAAAAATTACACAGAGCTAATAATATAGCCTCCAAATATATAAAACAAAATATAATAGGCTTACAAAGATAAATTGATAAATTCACAGTTATACAGGGAGATTTTCTCTTTCAGTTATGGATAGATCAAGCAGATAAAACATATAGTAGATTCAAACAATAACAGTGAGCAAAGTGGATGCAACGGTCATATAAAGAATCCTGAATCAACCAATTTTAGAACAGATTTAAAAATGTGGAAGATTTTAAAACATGGAACAGATAGTAGGCAATTAATTAATTAAAGAAAGGAAGCAGTAAAGATAATAGCAGAAATTAATGAAATAAAAAACAGATATACCAGCCTGGGCAACATAACAAGACCCTGTCTCTACAGAAAAATAAAACAATTAGCCAGTGTGATAGCATGCACCTGTAGTCCTAGCTGCTCTGGAGGCTGAGGTGGGAGGATTGCTTAAACCCAGGAGTTTGAGGCTGCCACAAGCTATGATTGCACCAACTGCACTCTAGGCTAGGTGACAGAGCAAGACCCTTTCTTCTTCTTTGAAAAAAAGAAAGAAGGAAGGAAGGAGAGAGAGAAGAAGGAAAGGAAGAAAGGAAGGAATGAAGGAGAGGGAGAGAAGGAGGGAAGGAAGGAAGGACAAAGGAAGGAACAAAGGAGGGAGAGAAGGAGGGAAGGAAGGAAAGAAGGAAGGAAAACATAGATACAATGGAAGATCAATACAACAGAAAGGTGGCTCTTTGACTAGACTAATAAAATAGACAAACCGTTGGCAAGACTGATCAAGAAAACCAGATAAAACACACTGATAAAGAATATCAGCATAACTACAGACAGAGATTTTGAAATCAACAACCTTATGCCAGTAAATTTGAAATCTTTGACAGTAGGTACAATTTTCTAGAAATATATAATACAAAACATCCAGAAAGAAAGAAAAAGAAGTAACTGACTAGACTTAGGTGCCTGGAAAATGGAATCAATAGTTAAAAACCTACCCTCAAAAACTATTCCAGCTTTAGAGGACAACTTCTACTAAACATTTAAGAACTGATCGATCTCTTCTTTATACAAACTAATAGAATAGAAAAAAAGGAACACTTCCCAACACATTTCATGAGGCCAGTAGAATTTTGATATCAACCAGAGAAGGACAATAGGGGAAAGGAAAATTATAGGTCAATATCCTTCATAGATGCAAAACTTCTGAATGAATAATAGCAAATCAATCATTAAAAATAGGGCCTCTTGACAGAGTTGGAAATGTCTCAAAATATAAAAATGTTTAAATATTAGAACATCTATTAATATCACCATGTTATCAGATTGAAGAAGTAAAACTTCTATCATTATTCAGCAGGTGCAAGAAAATAATTTTTTGTAATTCAGTCATTTATCATAAGCTCTTATCAAACTAGGAATAGAAGGGAACTTTCTTAACTTCATATAGTGGGTCTACCAGAAACATCTAGCCAGCATTATATTTAATGGTGAAATGCTAAGAGTCATCCCTTTAAAATCATAAATAAGATGAGAAAGTCTATCATCACTGTTTCTATTTATCATGGTGCTGGAGGTCCCATTCAGTTCTGCAAGACAGGAAGAAGAAATCAAAGGTATAAGGATTAGAAAGGAAAAATACAACTCTCATTTTTCATAGGTGATACGATTACAAATGAACCAAAGGGAATCTATAGACAGCTTTTTAGAACCTACAAGAGAGCTCAGCAAGGATGCTGGATACAAATGAATACCCAGAAATCACCAAATTTTAATATTCAACTACAGATGATTATAAAACATACTTTTAAAATGTCATCTATTGTGGTGACAAAAGATAAATCTATTAAGAATGTGCAATGGCTGGGTGTGGTGGCTCATGCCTATAATCCCTTCACTTTGGAAGGCCAAGGTGGGAAGATCGCTTGAGCCCAGGAGCCTGAGACCAGCCTGGGCAACAAGGCGAGACTCCATCTCTATACAAAAAAAAAATTAGGCGGGGCAAAGTGGCTCATGCATGTGATCCTAGCACTTTGGGAGGTGAAGGTGGGTGGATTGTCTGAGCTCAGAAGTTTGAGACCAGCCTGGGCAACATAGTGAAACACTGTCTCTACCAAAATACAAAAATTTCGCTGGGCATAATGGCACGCACCTGTAGTCCCATTGCTTGGGAGGCTGAGGTGGGAGAATTGCTTAGCCCCAGGAGGTAGAGGTTGCAGTGAACCGTGACTGTACCACTGCACTACAGCCTGGGTGACAGAGTGAGACTCTGTGTCCTTCACAAAAAAAAAAAAAAAAATTATCCTCTAGTCCTAGCTATTTGCGGGGCTGAGGTGGGAAAATCACCTGAGTCTGGGGGTTTGTGGCTACAGTGAGCTTTCAGCCTGGGCAACAGAGTGAGAACATTGTCTAAAAAAAAAAAAAAAAAAAAAAAAGAATATGCAAGAACTTTATGGAGATAACTGGAACATTTTACTGGAGAGCATTACACAATGTTAAATAAATGGAAAGAGATTTTATGTTCATGGATGAAGACCCAGAGTAGTAAAAACAGGTAATTCTCACAGAACAACCTATAGGTTTAGTATAATGACAATTAAAATCCTGGATTTTCTCTTCTGGTGGTGGTAAACAAGATAATTTGAACCTGTTTTCCCAGTTAACTTAAAAAGTAAAAAGAAAAAAAGTGAACAAAACATTTTCTGAAAACTTCTTCAAAATGCTAACTATATAGAGAAGGGTTATGAGGCTCAGATCAGGAAGAGCCCAGATATTCAGAGGTGTTAGCCCAGCACTGATGGCCATTTTTACCCAGGGAGTGTTTGTCAATCTAGATGTGACTGAGAGGCTGCAGTTTTGGAAGCCCCATGAGGCTAGAGGAACAAAAGTCCGGATCCAGAACCTACCAAGAATGGAGACCCTGATGCCATGCCTCCTGACCCACACATTTTTGGCTTTACATTTTGGTGTAAAGACACCCCCATAGTAACTTTCCTTCATGTGGACACAGCTCAGTGTCAAGCCCTGTGGTAGCCCAATGTAAAATATTACAAGCCTTGTATGTGTATTAAGGTAACCCTGAGCCTGGGTAACATGGCAAAACCTCGTCTCTATAAAAAAATTTTAAAAAAATTAGCTGGGCATGGTAGCGCATGCCTGTAGTTCCAGCTACTCTGAAGGCTGAGGTGGAAGGATCACTTGAGCCCAGGCGGTCAAGGCTGCAGTGAGCTGTGATTGTGCCCCCGACACTAAACAAACAGAAAGCTCTTTGAAGGAAGGTAGCATTTCAGGCTGCAAACCATTTCTGCAAATATCTTCCTAACAAAGCATTCAGCACACAATCAAAGATAACCAGACATATGAGGGGGCAAGACACAATGAGTGAAAATGAATAGGAAGAAAAGACAGTGGAGACAACCCCACAGGGACTCTACTTATTTGATTATGAAAGGATTAAGATACACAGGGCTTCTGAGACACTTGCAATGTGCTGTTGTTTGTCTGGGAGGTGATTACATGAGTGTTCGGTCCATCTTCTGAGACTGGAAAAACTCAAACTCAAGCCATGTTTTTCCTCTGCTCTCACAGTTATCAAGACCAAAGACTTCTGTGATCAAATGTGTGGAGATTTCTTCCCACCAAAAAGCAAGCAATGGATTCTGCAGAATAGACTCATTTCTATTCTGACACTAATTACCTGGAGATAGCATCAGATCCCATGGGTTGAGGGCTCAGCCCCTAAGACTGTCCTCCATCTCCCACCTTCATTTGCCAATTGCAGGCTCTGGTTGTTTTACCCGTGCTTTTGTCTAATTGGTTATAAATTAGGGATCCTTCCTCTTTGGGCTCAATTAATTTGGTAGAGCAGCTCACAGAACTCAGGAAAGCACTTGCTTACATTTACCAGTTATAAAGGATATTAGAAAGGATATAGATGAAGAGATGTATAACGCAAGGCACATGGGAAGGGGCACAGAGCTTCCATGCCTTCTCTGGGCATGCCACCTTCCAGGAACCCTCCATGTGTTTAGCTATCCAGAAGCTCTCCAAACCCTTTTCTTTTGGGTTTTTATGGAGGTTTCATTATGTAGACATGGTCAATTAATCCATTGACCATTGGTGATCAATCCAGCCATCAACCCTTCTAAGCACTTCTCTAAAGGTTGAGGGGTGGGGCTGATAGCCCCAACTCTCTAATTGTGCCTTGGTCTTTCAGATGATCAGTCCTCTTCCTAATGCTACCTAGGCTGCCAGCCATCAGTCAACTTATTAGCATACAAAAAGAATCAGTTTGGGAGAGTCTAAGGATTTTAGGAGTTGTATATCAGATACAGGATCAAAGACCAAATATATATTTTACAGTATCATACATATGAATCCATTTAACTGTATGCTTATATTTTATGTACTTTTCTGCACATGTGTTATATTCAACAATAGAAAAGTCTTACAAAATTGAAACCAATTCAACATTCCATCAACAGGGGGACTGATTGATTAATTTTGGTGTATTCATACAATAATATATTGTTAAGCTGTTGAGTTGAAAGAACCAGAGCTATATGTATCAATAAGGATAATTTCAAAGATATATTGCAGTGAGTAATTACAAGTTGTGGAAAGATATGCACAAGATAACATTACAGAAAGTTTAAAAATGCCAAACAATATTATATATTATAATGGAGACAAACATATGTAGTTAAACTGTAAAAACATACATGAAATAATAAATACCAGATTCAGAATAGTGGCCACTTCAAAGAAGAGAGAAAGGAAGAAAGAAAAGAGAGCACTGTATAGGTAGCTTCAGCTGTTTCTGTGATATTTATTATTTAAAAAGGATGAATCAACTTTCAACCAGGGATTAATATCCAGAATATACAAGGAACTCAAACTCAACAGTAAAAAAACAAAAAACAGGGCCAGGCGCGGTGGCTCACACCTGTAATCCCAGCACTTTCGGAGGCCGAGGCAGGTGGATCACCTGAGATTGGGAGTACAAGACCAGCCTGACCAACATGGAGAAACCCCATCTCTACTAAAAATACAAAATTAACTGGGCATGATGGCACATGTCTGTAATCCCAGCTACTTGAGAGGCTGAGGCAGGAGAATTGCTTGAACCCGGGAGGCAGAGGTTGCAGTGAGCTGAGATAGTACAATTGCACTCCAGCCTGGGCAACAAGAGTGAAACCCTGTCTAAAAACAAACAAGCAAACAACAACAACAACAAAAATGTAAATAATCCCACTAAATAAATAATCCCTCTAAGTAAATAATCCCACTAAACAGTGGGCAAAGGACCTAAATAGACATTTCTCAAAAGAAGACATACAAATGGCCAACAGGCATATGAAAAAAAATGCTCAATATCTCTAATCATCAGGGAAATGCAAATCAAAACCACAATGAGATATCATCTTACCCCAGTTAGAAAGGCTATTATCAAAAGGACAAAAAATAACAGATCCTGGCGAGGATATGGAGAAAAGGGAACTCTTGCGCCCTGTTGGTAGGAATTTAAATTATGAAGCCACTATAGGAAACAGTATAGATATTTCTCAAAAGACTAAAAAGTACCTGTCCTATGATTCAACAATGTGACTACTTGGTATTTATCCAAATGAAAAGAAATCAGTATATCAAAAGGATACCTGCACTCCCATGTTTATTGCAGCAGTATTCACAATAGCAAGAGTATGGAGTCAACCTAAGTGTCCATCAATGGACAAATGGATAAAGAAATGTGGCATGTATACATAATGAACTACTATTCAACCATAAAAAATAGCAACAGGGATGGAATTGGAGTTTGTTATGTTAAGTGAAATAATCCAGGCACAGAAAGACAAATATCATATGTTCTCACTTATATGGGGATGCTAAAAAAAGATTGATTTCATGGAGGTAGAGTGTGGAAGGATAGCTACCAGAGGCTGGGAAGGGTGTGTGTGGGGAGGATGAAGAGAGTGGTTCATGGGTACAAGCATACAGTTAGATAGAAGAAATGAGTTCTAATGTTCAATAGCAGAGTAAGGTGACCATAACTAATGACAGTATATTGTGCATTTCAAAATACTATAAGTGAGGACTTGAAATGTTCCCAATGCATAGAAATGATAAATACTCAAGATGATGAATAACCTAAATACTCTAACTTGATCACTACACATTCTGTGCATGCAACAGAATATCACATGTACCCCATAAATATGTACAAATATTATGTATGAATTTAAGAAAGAATGAAAGAAGCTAGGATTCCAAAAAAGGATGAATCAAATAAAGCAAAATGATGTGATCTGACAAAGAGGGTGGTAGGTGCATACTGTATTCCATTCTCTCCATTTTTCTGGATGCTTGAAATAGTCCATTTCAGAAATAAGTTCCTTGGAGAGGTCACAGAATAAAGAGTTGTATATGTTTCTCTCTAAATCATTTTGTGTTGAAAAAATACTTTTCGACTGATTTAATTGCTGCAGTTCTTGGAACCTGTTTCCTGTGAATAAGAACCAAATACTGGGGCATCAGTGTTTAAGAGATAGCTTATCTTTTTCTTATCCATTAAATTATTTGTCCTCAGTGCTCCTGTAAACTCATTACACACACAAAAATGCCTTTTTTTTGTTCTAATTTTATTTCTTGAGGACACTTCACTATGCATTTTTGAATACTGTTTTTTATTTCTGACCCGTGAATTTTTTGGAAGCTCTTTTGACATGGATATACTCTAATTGAATTTCTAAAATCACTTACCTCCTTCTGTTTTGTTTTCTTTAGGAACGAGATAAATTCTACTTGTCTCGTAGTGTTGTTCTAGAACTTCTGCAGGCCCTAAAGCTCAAATCTCCTTTACCAGATACAAACCTTCTTCTGCTTGTTCAGGTAAGCTCATGCTTGATTTGTAAAACTTTTCATGAGATCCATGTATGTTTGGGAAAATTAAGGGAGGTGTAGAGTGTATGCATAGAACTAAATATCTTTGCTTAGAGATGATAAATAATATATCTTATATGGACCATGATCTAACTAATAGTATGCACCTGACGCTTCCACTGGCTAAAAAAGTCCAAGAAGGAGTATTGATTTTGTTCCTACTGTGGAATTAGTTCTGTGGGGGTTAAAAAGAAGAATAAAACAATAATTTTTGTCCCCAAGAAATGCGTGATCCAGTAGGTTAGAGGGTCAGGTCAGTCACCAGAGCTGAGACAGGTCTACTGAGGCCAGAAGTGGGGGAACAGGCTGAGGTCTGACTGCAGAGTCAAATGAGTATGGGTGATCCCTGAATCTCTGTGAGCAGAAGTAAAGGAGAGGGTGGGTCAGGCCAGAGACAGTCAAATGGCAGGATGCACTGAGTGGTACCCACAGTTGGGTGTAGGTACGCTTCAGCCCTCAGGGGACCACTGAAGCTGAGGACCACTATAAGGCAGGCTTTCGAGAACTGGCAACAATTATGCTTTTGGTTTTAGGGCTTCTGAGGGACTAAAGCCTTCTACCCTGCTGTCCTTAACTCAGCATCTTAGGCAGGCATGCAGGTTTCGATGACCTGAGACAGGCTATGATAGTGCCATGAGAGAAAGAGGTAAAAAAACTCCTAGGGAGAAGTTGAGAGCAGGATGGATCCCACCCCTTATGATGTGAAATCAGAGACTTCATGAAGGAAGTAGCATTTGAGTTGGGTCACAAACGACTGGAGGGTACAGACAAATGTCTTTGCCTGGGATTAGGGTTCAGCATAGAGAGGTTGACTGGCTTCAAGCATAGGGGAGGCTTAGGCAGGATGGTGGAGTACATTTAGGGATAATGGCATGAGGATAGGGTTGAGAAAAAGTAGAATGGCTGTGCCAGAGGAATCAGCAGGGGTTCAGGTAACCTGGCACCCTGCCTCTCACCCAAGGGTTGAGGCTAGATTTAGAGACTTGGCCATGAGCTACAGCTGGGATCAGGGTGTCATTCAATGGCCTTTGGGTAAAGTGCCCAGCCATTGCATCACAGCTGTGTCAGCACTCGCTGATGAGCATTAAGACCAGTCCCAGAGTCTGGGCCTACAAGCTGAGGGTTAAATGATTGAAGGAATATGGGAGCTTGGTATCAAGGAACTAGACAGATTTCCCTGAATTCTAAGTACTCATTTTGGAGACATGAGAGAGAAGGGAACACTAATGGAGGACCTATTATGTGTTAAGCATTTGATCCTTACAGCTTCGTGAAGCATTGGTTCTGTATTGCATGGGGGGGTTCAGTGGCTTGCCCAAGACCACGGTGCTGGCCTAAGTGACAGGTAGTATCAAGCACCTGATTTCAGTGTGTTAGGGCTCAGAGCCCAGCTCCCTTTGGTATAACACACAGCCTTGACAGGCCCTTTCCATCCCTTACGTGGATTACTGTAACAGCTCTTAGCTTTGTGCACCTCTTTAATCTCTTTCCGCACCAACCCAATCTTCTGGCCTGTGGCTGCCTAGAGGAATTTTGCTGAAACTCCGCTTTTCTGATAGAGATCACTCTTGCATCAGAAACCTAGAGTGACCTTGTAAGGTCTGAACTATCCAGGTCTTCCATCATCTGGCCACATCTGACTCTTCAGCAGTATTTCCCACCACAAATATTTACTGACCACCTATCTTGGGCTGGGTTCTGGGAATATAGAGATGTGACAGGCATATCCTGATAATGTGCCAATTACTCTCCTGAAAGTCTAGACAGTGTATAAAACACTGTGGAAGAGGAAGTGGCTAACTGAACCTAGGAGACGGAGGAAGGCTTATGAAGCATTATGAGGCCTGACATGGGCCAGGTGCTCTGCAGGGTGCTGGGGAAACAGAAGAATCAGCCATGACCCCTTCCTTCCAGGAGTTTACAATTTAGCAATTGAAGTTGACATGTAAGTTAAAAAAAAAAATTCCCACATAGTGCAACGGGTACAGTAGTAGAGATGTGTACTGAGTAAGGAAGTGTTGTTTGTAGAAGAGTTCACATGCACCTTGAAGGATGCACAGAAGTTCAGGAGTTGACCCAGTAGAGAAGATGAGGAACAACTCTTGTCATTTACTGTTGAATATCCACTGCCTGGTCTCCGTACTCCCTCTCTAGAGACTACAAATCATTAGGATCAGAACTGAGTTTTTCTCAAAGGCTTGAGATTTAATTAAAAAGTTGGTGTACTTTCAATGAATGGTCTTGAGTTGTCTTTGAAGGGCTTTCTAGGACACATTGAACTCTCAGTGAGTCAGTGATTGCTGGAAAATGACAGCAATGGATGCAGGGCATGCTGTCATCAGAATGAAGTGGCTCTTATTATACCAAGTTACTGGACATCCCAGGAGGAAGACAAGCAAAGTCACAGCCAGAAAATATCTGTGCTCCTAAAGAGAAACCAACTTTGCATTTCTCTCTGTGGATTGCACTGGCCAGGCCCTTCTGCTCACATAGCAGCAGCAACACTGCCTTTGAGAACAAGCAGTGTTCACACAGACTTTTTTACTTATTTATTTTTAATTAATTTTTGAGACAAGATGTTGCTCTGTCACCCAGGTTGGAACGCAGTGGCATGGTCTTAGCTCACTGCAACCTCTGCCTCCCTGGCTCAAGTGATCCTCCTACCTCAGCCTCTGATGTAGCTGGGACTACAGGTGTGGGCCACCATGCCTGGCCAATTTTTTAAATATTTTTAGTAGAGATGGGGATTGGCCATGTTGCGCAGGCTGGTCTTGAACTCCTGGACTCAAGCTATCCACTCATCTTCGCCTCTCAAGGTGCTGGGATTACAGGTGTGAACCACTGCTCTTGGCCCAAAAAGATCTTTTTGAAGATTCATGGGATCTACACTGACTTGGAGGAGAGGGCAGGTGAACAGGGCTTAGGGAAATATCCCGGGAGGGATTTAAGGTTAGCAGCCTGACTGTGTCTGGAGGTCACTTGCTTCTGAGAGTGTTGCAGTTGGAGATGTGCCACCTGAAAACCACCTAGACTTCAGGGCACTGAAGGTGCTTTCCTGCGGACAGTGAACAGCATTCCCTTAATTGCCCTTTGTCTTGAGCAGAGCAGATCTGTGTGGCTGATCTTCTTGGGGTCTAGCACTCCATACTGTAACTGCTGGAGACTGGTTTTCAATGCAATACATTAGTCAACTGTAATAAGCACTTGTCACAAGATGCCAAAAGAACACTGACAGTTTAAATTACCCAGTGCTTAAGGAAACCACAAAAACAGTGATTATTGCATCACAGTTAGGTGAATAAATAACAAAAACAAATGAAGAAGAAAGACAGCAAAAAGATACTTCTGAATGTGTTTTATGGGTTTTCATCTACCATTTCATCTTTTTAAAACAAATGTGTGACTTGTCATTGAAATCATTAAGTTACAAAACATCAAGTTGTAAAATTATTCAGATTGAAGGGGTATTTTGGAGACATTTTCAGATCATGCCCAGGAAAAACAACTTTATGGAAATGTTTCAGTCTTCTCCAACAAAAAATGTTGAGCGTGGTTTGTTCCTGGGTTTCAGCACCAAGGGAAAAAAAAATTAAGCCATTTCAAAGTAACAAATCTTTGTTCTATAAACTCTTAAGCAATTTTTATTTCTAATCAGAGAAATAAAAGTGAGGCATACCTTAAAACAGAGTAGTTCCCTTTTCTGCCCTGTGGTCCTGCCTAAGTCATGGAGAGAAGTCTTCCATGGGGCCACACATGGTATATTAGTCTGTTCTCATGCTGCTAATAAAGATATACCTGAGACTGGATAATTTATAAAAGAAAGAGGTTTAATTGACTCACAGTTCCACATGGTTGGGGAGGCCTCACAATCACGGCGAAGGTGATTGAGGAGCAAATTCATGTCTTACATGGCAGCAGGCAAAAGAGCTTGTGCAGGGGAACTCCCATTTATAAAACCATCAGATCTTGTGAGATTTATTCACTACCATGAGAACAGTATGGGGGAAACCACCCTCACCATTCAATTATCTCCACCTGGCCCCTTGACACATGGGGATTATTACAATTCAAGGTGAGATTTGTGTGGGGACATAGCCAAACCATGTCAGATGGGATGAGGAGAAACGTTGTTTCTCTTGTGAGTAGTTCCTCTTTTTTTTTGAAATGGAGGCTTGCTCTGTCACCCAGGCTGGAGTGCAATGGTGCAATCTCAGCTCACTGCAACCTCCACCTCCTGGATTCAAGTGATTCTCCTGTCTCAGCCTCCTGAGTAGCTGGGACTACAGGCACGCACCACCACACCCAGCTAATTTTTGTATTTTTAGTAGAGATGGGGTTTCACCATGTTGATCAGGCTGGTCTCAAACTCCTGACCTCGTGATATGCCTGCCTCGGCCTCCCAAAGTGCTGGGATTACAGGCGTGAGCCACTGCGCCTGGCCTAGTGCCTCTTTCTAGGGTTTCTCAGTTGCTTTTTTTCTTGCCCTTGACTGCCTGGGTCCTCCAGGTGTTCTCTGTAGAATAGTGGAAATGACAGCCTACTCTCTGGAAGCTTCTTTTAGGCCAAAGATCTAGGCTGGAGTCAGAGGAAACCTTTCCCCTTTACCTTTGGGCATTGTCACCTCCTGGCACTTGGACAACCAGGCTTACATCAGGGACAGATGATCTGCCAGGAGCAGACAGTGACTTTCTTTATGTATATCAGTGACCATCATCTGAAGGCCACCCAGTGAGGATGGGTTTAGTTAACTGAAAATGCAATTTGGAAATGTAAAAAAGATCAGTAACCAGAAGGAAAAACTCCCTAGGTGATCCATCACGAATGACACTGGTCCCCATGCTGAAAACAGAGTCTGTTGCTCCAATGTTGCATTTCCCGTTCATTCTTTCACCCCATAGGGAACTGCTGATATTTCCTCTACTACTTTTCTAATTAATAACAGTAGATAGATGAGCTCACTAAGATGGAACCATTTCTATTCTTCTCATAGATAGACCATACCTTTGTGTTGCCAAATACTCTGGCAGTAAGAGAGGCCCCTAAAAGAACAAATAGAATGCTTGTCCAAGAAATGTGGGATCACCCAAGTTTTAAACATGTCAAGACAGTAACTGGTACCAATCTGTTTTTTAATTCCTAGAAGTTCTCCCTGGAGGCCTGGCATCATGGGGAATTCCCCAGCTGCCTCTATTGTGGTTGTCTAGCCATGACCACTGTTGTTTACGTATAAAGTTTTTTTACATATGAAGTTTACATATGTAAAGTTTATGTGTGAATTTACATGTGAAGCTGGGTGGCCTTAAATGTTCAGGTGGATTTTTTCTTTTTAATGAAAAAGAGGCGTGGAGATAGGAAAGAATTTGCTGAATAGAAAAATGTCATTTCAGAGTCCAAATTGTTGATCCCCAGGGCATAGTTCTCCTTTTGCATTTTGGACAGATGCACTAGCACATTATTTTAATTCAGATCTATTGACGTTTTTGCTTTTTGTTTCCAATATTTTCTTTTTTGCTGGTTTGCTGTGGATATTTTATGTGTAATAGGTTATTATAATTGTTCTCAAGATAGATTAGAGTTTTCATAATAAGTGATAACTCCCACCATAAAGACTGTTTAAGTTCAAATCAGAAAGAATTTCCTTAGCTCCTATTATGTGTCAAGAGTAGATATTCGACCGGGTGTGGTGCCTCACGCCTGTAATCCCAACACTTTGGGAGGCTGAGGCAGGCGGATCACGAAGTCAAGAGATCGAGACCATCCTGGCTAACATGGTGAAACCCCGTCTCTACTAAAAATACAAAAATTAGCTGGATGTGGTGGCATCTGCCTGTATTTCCAGCTACTCGGGAGGCTGAGGCAGGAGAATCGCTTGAGCCCGGGACACAGAGGTTGCAGTGAGCCGAGATCGCGCGACTGCACTCCAGCCTGGCAACAGAGCGAGATTCCATCTCAAAAAAAAAAAGTAGATATTCTGCTAATTTGCATGTACCACTCCCAGTCTGTGGGGTATACCTGCATATTGAAGTTATGAGAGATCATATTGTTGAAGAAAGGTTTTCTTTTAAAGATGTGTTCGTTGTGGGCTGGAGGACAGAGAACTGGTGGAGGAACAGCTGTTGTTTTTAATTCACAGAGTTATCATTGAATGGGGTTATTAATATTAGTTGAGTTCGTAACAATGTGATCACTCTGAGATTAGAGGTGAAGACATTATTTTGGGTATCATTTTGATAATGAAGTTAGTAATGACATATAATAGATATCATGTTTCTTTTGTATTCATGGGGGAATGCATATTTCAGTGCCCGATTTCCCTCAAGGTACAGAACTCTTCCTTCGACAGCGATCATCATTTCCTTCCCTGATTCTTGTTATATATGATTATATTTTGAGCAGCTCTATAACATCATAATAGATTTTTTTTCAGTTTATGGTTGGCAGCCATAGAAAACAAAGACAGAAAGGTTTATTAAGGTTTTAGTTGTGCATCTGATGTAAAAATATGCTGGATGACAATGCATGGATAAAAAAAAGATGATTTCTGAGGCTTATGCACTTTTATTTCCTTTAATATGCCGGATTCTCTGTGTACCTCCTTTACTTTTAGGGTGATTTTTGATTAATTCTGACTAGTAAGAGTTCTCATAAATCAGACAGTTGGATCCAACCTCAGATCTTGACGCTGTGTGATTGCTAACCATGCTGAAATGTGCTTACATTATGCTCTGCATTGCACTTTGCTGAGTATTATAGGTGAGAAAGTGATCTGCTGAAGGGAGATACAGACATTTAAAATTTTACTTCTTCACAAACCTTATCTTGACCTCAAGGGCCCATCCAGGCCATGCAAACATACTTAAGTGGGGTCTAGGACTTTAAACCATCCTTATAGAGACAGCTCTAAGTGAGCCCCTTACCTCGCATAGTAGATATGGCTCTGTCTCCCCTGTGGCCTCTCTTAGCTATGCAATATCATTTCTGATGTAAATAACTTAATTAAAATTAATGCTGTTGTCCTCACAGAGGTTTTAGAACTCAATTATAAGTTGTTTGTCTTAGACTGAAGACTTAGATAGCTATTTATTTATTTATTTATTTATTTGAAGCAGAGTCTCACTCTGCTGCCCAGGCTGGAGTGCAGTGGTGCCATCTCGGCTCACTGCAACCTCTGCCCCCCAGGTTCAAGCGATTCTTCTCCTGCCTCAGCCTCCTGAGTAGCTGGGTTACAGGCATGTGCCACCACACCTGGCTAATTTCCACCTCAGCCTCCCAAAGTGCTGAGATTACAAGCGTGAGCCACCACACCTGGCCTAGATAGCTTTTTAAAATGAATTTTATGGGAAAACATGCAATCTCTACCAGGAGACTGGGTTGGGAGTGTTCCTTCTGTTCACTGTGTACGTCTATCAAATATTTCAGGTTTCATTTTTTTACTTATAGGTTTTGGCTGGAGTTAAAGGCTTTACATTTTCTAAAACCTGATTTATTTACTTTTCCTTACATTAGAAATAAGCTTAAGTTAGGTGAGCAGACATAGCAAACCTGGATAAGATCATAGAAAACGCTAGGTGTTCCCAGGATGTTACCAGTTGTCCCCTTCTATGCCAGATTCAGAGTTAATGGCTAAATAGATTCTTCAGTTTTCTGTAACTGTATTTGAGGCAAATGGAAATGACAGAATGTTAATGTGGAGATCTGTGTCCACTCCTGTCACACAGCTCTTGGGGACAGCTCTGCTTGTGCCCTCTTGCCCCCATTCAGTTACATATACTTACGTGCTTTCCATGGAGGACGCCCCTCCCACACTTGAACACCAGCTCTTGGCCCTGAGCCGGAAGTCTAAGGGTTCCTTGGCCTCAGGAGGCCTTTGGCTTAGAGGTGTACCCAGTTAGCCAAAACCTGCTACCTGTTAATAATGCTTACATTTAAACCCCTGACTAGCCCGATAATATGCTGGTTTCTGTTCCTTTGTTCCATGCCTCCTTATCAGGCCTCCTAGAGATTTACTCTGCGACCCTAGTTGTTATTACTTCTCTCTAGTGTGACAGGGACCGAGCCTGCTGACCCATTCAGCTTCCCTGTGCCTTCCAGTATGAGAACAAAATGAATGAGAAGGCGGAGCGACTGGTGCTGAAACTTCTGAACTCTGCACAGCAGCAGTTTCAGGTCCCAAAGTTGTTAAGGCTACTGGCCAGAGGGCAGGAAATATAAATTGAACAGGACCTAATTGCTCATAGCCAACTCTACTTCATGGTTAACTTTTTTTCCTAAGACTATTAATAAATAATTGAGTGCTGCATTAAGTGAGAAACACCTGTCAAAATCTGTAATGAAGCAAATTAAATTGAAATCTGGCAAATCCATTCTTGTAATGATCTCAAGTCATAACTGGCTAATGGATTTGCTTTGTAAACTCTCACTGAGCCCCTCTGAGGTGTCCGGCACCAAGCTAGTGCTGGGGATGAGGTGCATCAAGCCTGTGCTCTTGAAGAGCTCACAGCAGGTTGAGAAATGGACCCATAAGTCACTGCAGTCTGACGTGGTGACTGTTACAATGGAAGTGTGTGAAAAGTCCTCTGGGCCCCCAGAGAAGGAGTGGGGGTCTTTATCAGCACAAAGGATACATGTGGATGAATAGGGGCAGGAAGATGAGATGCTGAAGTTCCCCTGTGGGGAAGAAACAGGTAGAATACTCACTCTGAGGTTGATTGTTTTTCTGGTTTCTTTCTAAATATATGATACGATAATAGAAATCATGAAACTGTATGAAATGTGCTTACAGTAACTGTCAAGAAGTACTAAACAATAAATAGAATGACTTCACAATAAATCTGACAATGCTGACATCTTTTATTTTTTCTTTGATTGAATGCACCATTTCAGTGCCACTTAACAGTCTGGGTAAAGTAAGACTCTGTGTGTTAATTTTAGTACTGTGATTCTGAGTTTCTGATAGGAATGAACCATCATGATTAGCAAATCTGATCTATCCAAGGCAGATCGTCATGAAAATAAACACTAATTAATTTAAGCCAAGTTAATAAAATGATAAATTACTTATTAATGTCCAGATACCCTTAAAAATAATTATCCTTTCACTTTTTTATTAGTTTATTTGTGCAGATGCTGGAACCAAACTAGCTGAGTCAACAATCCTGAGCAAGCAGATGATAGCCTCTGTACCTGGAGTAAGTCCTGACCAAATTCATTGTCTACATACTTACATTTCATAGAATAGTAGTTAAGAATGTAGGCTTTAGACTTACATCAGGGTTTGAGGCCTGCCATTTACTAGCTATGTGACTTTTGGAACGTATTTTAACCTATAATTCTTTGATTCATAACATCTGTCAAATGGGATATAACAGGGTTTAACATATAGTTTGAGGATTGAACGAGATAATGCATGCAAAGCATATTAGCAAGGAGCCAGACATAGTAAATGCTGTGAAAATGTTATCTATTAAAAATATTAACAAACATTGCCTATTTTTTGATATTTTAGTTATTTTCTATATTTTTCTATTGTAACTAATATGCAAAGAACATCTTTGTGCTTAAATCTTTGTCCATACTTCAGACCATTTCTTTATAATAGATTTCTGGGAATAGAATGACTAAACTATGTTTTTTTTTTTAAGGGTTCTTGATAATGTAATACAAGGTTCTATGAGACAAAAATCCCAATTCTCAACGACTTATGAAAGTTTATTGTTTGCTCATATGAAGTTTAAATGGGTATCCTGATTAGTAGGGAAAGGGGGATTTCCACGTGCATACTCGGGGATCAGGTTTCTTCCATTATGTGCAGTCCGCTGCAATCAGCTTGATTGTGGTTGGGGAAAGGGAAGAGAATATGGCCCATGGGGTTTTCACAGGCCAAGTCTAAAAGTGTGTGGTTTTTTTCCTACTCACATTCCATTGGCTAGAACTCAGTCACATGACCACACCCAACTGCAAGGGATGATGGGAAATGTGGTCTAGTTGTGGGCCAAGGAAGAAGACAGACCTGGGGAGTGGCTAGCCAGTCTCTGCTGCATGCTCGCTGTTTCCTTTATCGTTTAATTCTTTAAAACTCAATATTTGCTACCTATGCCATAGCTAAAAAAATAATGTCCCTAATAATAAAAGGGTTATTGAAATCAGTAATTAAAAGACGAACATTCCAACAACAACAGAAAAGCAACATATAGGTCCCTTTCTGATGACCAATAAGCCATTAAAAATAAACCTTTTACTCTGATAGCAATCAATGAATTGTAAGTTAATATGAAGTATAAAAATATTTTAAAATATAAAAATTAAAATCGGCTAGCCAATCAGCAGACTTTTCTGTCTCAAAAAAAAAAAAACACACACTTCATCAGGGCATGAAGGACATATAGGAAGCTGCATATCTTTAATGTATGTGACTTGATGAGTTTGGAAATGATTATACATTCATGAAACTACTACTGTGATCTATGCCATGAACATATCCATCATCTCCAACAGTTTCTTCCTGCCCTATTTGTTTTTTTGTTTGTTTGTCATTAGCAATGAGAGCACTTTACATAAGATCTACCTTCTTAAGAAATTTCTAAGTATGTAATGCAATATTTCTAACTCTAGGGACTCCGCTGCTCCGTAAATCTCTAGGACTTACTCACTTTGCATAATTGAAGCCTTGGACCTTTTGACTAATACCTCCCCATTTTTCCCTCCCCAGCAGATCCACCTCAATGATTAGACTTATTGATGGTAAAATGAAACAAGCATTCTTGTAAGCCACTAGTGGTAGTAAAACCAACCTTGCTGGAGGGCAGTTTGACAATCTTCCTTTAGGAATATGTCTGAGAAAATAAATATGCACATGTTTTATATTAAGTATGTTTATTAAAGCATCATTTAAAATAGCAGAAATATGGAAACAAAGTAAATGTCTAACATCATCAGGGTATTGTTTAAATAAAATAAGTTGCATCCATAAGGTAAGACTATTATGTACCTACCAAATCAAAGTTTCAAATAATATTTAATTAATTGGAAAATGCTTATGATGTATTTAATTAAAAAGCAAGTTAGAAAAATGTTATCTCAATCTTATAAACATTATATGTATGTGTGTATGTTATATACATTAGAAAAATTAAAAAAACTTGGAAGGAAATATTAACAGTAGTTTTCCCAGAGGTGGAGGACAGGAAATTAGGATTATGGTGATTTCAATTTTAATTTTAATGATCTGTATTTTCCAAATTTCCTATATTAAACATGTGTTGCTTTTATAATCTAAGAAATGTAACTTTAAAATCAAATATTAGTTTTGAGGAAGAATTAGCTATGGTTTGCTTCAATTTGTGAGTTTGAGTTTTGAATATTTTCAACTTTTTAATCGTTAGTTTTCCTATGAAATAAATGTAGCTCTTCTGAAACAAATGGAGCTTGACTTCTTCTGTTTTGTTTCTTAAGTAACACACCTAAGGTTATTCTTAAGCTTTGCAAAGTAGAAAAAAAGGAGGAGGGATTGGAAATTATATGTTTTGTTTCCTAAGTATATATGGCTCACTAAGATTCTCTTGACCATACAGTGAATTTTAAGGCTTTTATCAGATGTAGCTGGTTGTCTCTAAAACAAAAGTGACTTGGTGGTAGTAAATTCCTTGCTCTCATTTTTTGAGATTCAAACTTAAAAGACAAATATTGAATAATGCTCCTAGGAATTATTTTCAGTGACATTTGCCTAGTTGAAATGCTATAAAATATTGCCTATGAAAGAAACAAATCCCTTTCAAGAAATTCAAGAACATAGTCTCCAGTCCTATTTGCATGACATGTGAAAGGTCAGAGAAAATGGAATAAATCGCGGGGAAATCCTTTCTTGCACGAAAGGATTAATATTCCAAAAGCAGGAACACAATAACCTTTTATAATTCCTTCACTTGATTTAAATTAAAAGAAGAAAACTTTGGAACGTACGAAATGCTTGGAAAACACTCTGACAGACTGCCAATGACCTTACTTTGCTGTTTGTTATCCTGTCAGAAGAACTGACAAGCGTAACATTCTAGAAGAGAGAGAAGGTGATATAGTTCAGTACCGCGCAGATTTACATGAATATGGGAAAATGAGAGCCACTGGGTGAGCTAGTTAAGTCTATAATGTTCCAGATTTTCCTGAAGAAAGCCGAGGAAGGCCTTTAGCGTAGTATTCATCTGGCTTCAAAGCCTGCCTCGTTTGATCCACATGATACCCAGCCTGATGTGTGGTTTCTCTCATACGGCTTTGATATAGCAGCCTGCTTGTTCATTTTCCTTTGCTTTGCTTATAATCCTAAATTCACTGCATTCTCAGGGAGAGCAGGCCAATGTCATTTAACGACCTAAAACACAAACTTGCTTTCTTTTCCTTCAAAACTTTTCAAACACACTTCAAGCATGTGGGGAAGATGACCATTTCGTTTCTTTCTTTTATTTATCCCCTAGCAAGAACTTGACAGTAATACATGTATCTATTTAGTAGTGTACCTACTGTGTATAAGAAGTTAATTTGCAAGCGACTTGACTAGCATGAGAATTTTTGACTCTTTCAGCAAACACGATGCTTGTTTATGTACTTTTTTGACAGAAAATAGATTCAAGATTCTGGTGGTAGAATTTGGTGGCACGTATTTTATGTGTAGCTAAGACTTCCCTAGAATGAGAATGTGTTGCTATGTTTTGGGATGAATGATGTCCTAAAGACTCTGATGCTAATGGCATGACATAGGCTGAATCTTTGCATACAAAGCAGTTTAAAAACAAGCACACACACACACAAAATCAGTTCAATTACCCAGTGGATAAAAGCATTTAGCCCCATCTCCCATAGGCCTCTCCTGTTTCTTTGTTCTCTGCCACAAACCTTCTATCAATTTTTGTCCAAATGCTGGGCAGACAGTCACAGACCAAGCTGAGAGTAATGGAGTGAGTCAGAAATCCAGAAAGTAAAACGACTCCTTAGTAAACAACGTGAAACCAGAGTGAGGCAATCATTGGAGTCAGGGCAAAAATGAAGGTGTGACCCAGCTGTGTCCTTGTGTTTCAGTGTGGGACTGCAGCGATGGAGTGTGTGAGGCAGTACATCAACGAAGTGCTGGATTTCATGGCAGACATGCACACGCTGACCAAACTGAAGGTGAGATGACCGCCACCTGCTCATCCCTCAGGTTCACAAAACAGAGATGCTTTGAGAGAATTAAGCAGACCATAGGGAACTTATCGCTACCTGGGGAGGCAGCCGTGGCACTGTTGAATGAGCCCCTGTCTTGGGGGATCAAAGAGCCAGGGTCCAGCTTTGCAAAGAGGAAAAGAGGAAGGGAAAGGACATTCACATGGCATCAGCCACATGCATAGCTTTACTTTTGCCATATATTCACTTCTCACAATACCTCTGTTAAGATACTATCCCCATTTTACAAATGGAGAAACTGAGGCTTGGGGTGGTGTAGTACTTGCTCAAGTCACACTACTAAGTGGTAAAGTCAAGGTTGAACCCAAGATTCTTGTGACTCTCAATTCATTCTCTTTTTACCACATAGCATCGTTTAATTACCTTGAGCATCAGTTTCCTCATTTGAAGAACGAATCTAATCATCTGTACCTTGCCTGACTGTTACGAGGGTTTGATCAAAAATAATGTACGTGAAGAGACTTTCATAAACTGTAGCACATTATGCAAACATACACCATGTATTATTTTTTGCTCCATTGAAGCTGTTTTCTTAAAATCCTTGATGAAAGGGGATAGAACAAAATTTAATTTGCATATGGACAAAATCCCAGTGAAATTGTTGAGATTATTGAGTTTTTGCAGGGTGGAATGAATTGCTGATGCAGGTCCACTTTCCTGCTGTGATTCAACTAGGGAGCTAAAAGATGAATAGTTTGAGAGATCTGAGGAAGGCCCTAGACAGAGGGCAGAAGAGAATCCAAACATGGTCCAAGGAGCAGCCAAATTGCAATCTGGTGCTAGATGATTCCTTTTTGATAATTAGGAGCTAGTGATCCCAGAAGTTCATCAGCCAAAAATATCATCCCTTAATCACTGAACTGTTCTCTGGCTCTGCTCAGACGATCAAAGTGGTTTTTGGTACAGTGATAGATTTGCAAATCCCAGGCAGAAAGTAGAATCAAAATGTAAACTGAGAATATCTCACGATATGTAAACCCATTCATTTCTTAATGAGCTCCCCTGTCGTTCGCTCCTGTGCCGGTTACTGCTTGCTGAATCTGAATACCCATACTTAAATGACTTTGATGTACAAAGAAGAGGAAACAATTATTACCTAAACATGTTTAGGTTGTTTTGCAGATGCTTTCGAAAAATAATAAGTAGGAACCAGGATCATCAAAAGGTTGGAAATACAGACATAATCTCACCCTCTGATTTTACATATTGGGAAACAAATCAGAAGGATCAAGTGGCAAGTGGCTTATCTAAGGCCATGGGACTAGCTAGGACAGACCTGGGTCTAGAACCTAGGTCTCAATGCCTAGTTCAGTGCCCTTCCCACTGAGCTCACACTGAGCAAAGAAATCTTTCTAAATTAATTCAACAAATAGGTATGAGCACCTGTAATGTCGTGGCACTGTTCTAGGCATTGGGGATGCTGTGATGAGCAAAAGCGGACACAGTAGCTGCTCTCATTTAATTTATAGTCTGGTAGTGGAGGCCACATTTAGTGAACATTTCACACAAACTACAGTAAAAATGTGTCTCTCACAATTGCTATGAAAAAGAGGCAGAAGGCAGCACGGACCTGGCCGGGGAGGTCAGGGAAGGCTTCCCAGAGGAAGTTACATTTGAGCTAAAACCTGAACAATTAGGTGAAGAGAGGCAGGAATGGCATTCCAGACAAAGGGAATAGCAGCAGGGGGGAACACAGAGAGCCAACACAGCTGGAGCTGCAGGCAGAAGGGGTAAGTTCTCAGTGGCTGGATCTTTCTGGCTTTGTAGGCTAGGGAACTTTCCCTCCTTTTATCCTAAGAACAATGGGAAGGCTCTGAAGAAGTTTAAGCAGGTTGTTTGCTCAGAGTGGCGATAAGCGGGGTGGAAATGACAACCTCTTCTTTTCAAAGAATGGCCTGGAATGAATCCAGGTGTCTGCCAGAGTTACAAAATACCATTCGGTTTTGTAGAGCCACATGAAGACATGTTCCCAGCCTCTGCATGAAGATACCTTTGGGGGACATCTCAAAGTGGGGCTGGCCCAGATTGCAGCCATGGACATCTCACGGGGCAACCACAGAGATAACAAAGCTGTGATCCGCTATCTGCCTTGGCTTTATCATCCCCCCTCTGCAATGCAGCAAGGGTAAGACCCTTACTATTCCGGGAATGAGGGTAAAGAAGGCAGGAGACACCCCTGAGTTTCCTCGGGCTCAGCTAGAGTTAAGGAGTACACCGAAGATTTATGACAGTGGAATATACTTGGTTAGGAAGATGGAAATCAGATCCCATCTCCTTACGTACTTGCTGACCCAGAATGCTCTTTGACATGCTGCCAAAAAATAAACCTGTCCTCCCACAAAAACCTCAATTGTCCTTTCATGAAGAATGAAAATTTTGAGCTTAGAATTACCACTTTAATGCTTGATTTCAACTAGTTAAGTAAATTAATAGGTATGTATCAATATATTTGCCTTCAAGCAGCTTAGATTGTAGCTGGAACAAAAGCTATAACAGGGATGAAATCGGTGCAAGATTGTACAAGCCCCTGGCTCTGCCTTTTAGGGAGGCTAAAGAAGAGAGAGGCATGTATGGGTTTGTTGACTTGGGAACTCAGAGTAGGTTTGAGCCCACCCTTTTGTGTGGTCAGCCTTCCTGTCCAGAGGAAAAGTGTAGAGTGGGAATGAGAAGGGTAGGAGGAAAAGATCACTGGGGAGCAGGAAAATGGGCAGCTGTGTTATATCTCCTCATCTCTTTCCTCCCCTCTACTGGGGATGCCAGAGAAGAAATTTCTTTTTTTTTTTTTTTTTTTTGAGACGGAGTCTTGCTCTGTTGCCCAGGCTGGAGTGCAGTGGCACCATCTCAGCTAACTGCAACCTTCGCCTCCTGGGTTTAAGTGATCCTCCTGCCTCAGCCCCCCAGTAGCTGTAATTACAGGCATGCACCACCACGCCCAGCTAATTTTTCTATTTTTAGTAGAGACGGGGTTTTGCCATGTTGGCCAGGCTGATCTCGAACTCGTGACCTCAGGTGATCCACCCGCCTCAGCCTCCCAAAGCACTGGGATTACAGGCGTGAGCCACCGCGCCCGGCCCACCAGAGAAGAAATTTCTAAAGGCAGGAGTGGAAAGGGTTTAGAAAGAGAAGCTAGTCAGAGAGGCAGTCAGCCTTGTGGAAGAATGCTGTGTAATCCTGTGTCACCAAAGGCTGTTCTTTTCTCAAGAAGCTGAGATCCAGGATTAGAGTGGAAAACAAGAAAAACAGATATATCATTTTGTTGACACTCAATTGCCTTGGCGTTTTGTTTTATGTGATTGCCTGCAAGACCACACTTTCAATCCCTTCCTTCAATAAGCATTTGTTATGCACCCAATGAAACACAAAACATAAAATCATCTTTAACACTCCTTCTTCTCTAATAGACCTAAAGAATTCATTGAGTGTGTCTCCCATATCCGACTGTTGTCCTGGCTGCTGCTGGGTTCCCTCACTCACAATGCAGTGTGCCCAAATGCCTCCTCTCCCTGCCTGCCCATTCCTCTGGATGCAGGCTCCCACGTTGCAGACCATCTTATTGTTATCCTGATTGGATTTCCAGAGCAATCAAAGGTAAGTGATTTCTGCAAGATTAAGACCGTATGCATCGCAATTGCTAATGGAAACCTTATCAGCCAATTATGTTTCTTCTGAGAAGAAAATACATCTTATCATTTGCCCTCCTGTGGATGTTAGAAACACAACTTTGTGCTAATGTCTTATTTAAAGTTGTTTAGATTCCCAGACTGTCTTTCCCCCCGCCCCCAAATTGTTTTTCGGCTTACTTTTATAAAGATAAATCATGGAGTCAAGCAAGAGTTGGCTTCCCAGGCATTTCTGTCTCAAAATAATGAAGAGAAATAAAAGGCTAGAAATATAATCAAAATTCTGTGATCAGTTTTTAAAACCAGAGACAAAACAAAGGAAAATTCATTCTCTATCTAATTCTTCATGTACCATCTTTTCAACTGAAATCTCTAGAGATACAGGAAAATACAAAATGAAAACAAGAAGGCCAGTTGGGAACTCACTAAAGCACACATTGGCATGACCTACACAGGGGAACTTTGTAAATTGCAGAGACAGGTGATGTGCTAAAGGAAGAAAGTAGACCCAAGGCAGGCACCAGTCATGAGCCTGTGCAGGCAAACCGGACACATTGGTACTAATCAGCTCCGAGGAGCCAGGGGACCTTCACAGAGCTTCGGCAAGTTCTGGGAGGTCACATTGGTCTTGGGGACAGCTCGGGTTTGGGACAGGGCAAGCTGACGATGTGATAAAATGGCGCACCCATCCCAATGATCCAAATGATGTTCACAAAAGGAATTAGGCAGTCGATTCCTAATATTTCTACTCAGATCCGGGTTTGATTCCTAACTATGGTACTTGCGATTTTGTGAGCTTGACAAGTGTGTCTAACCTCTCTATTATTCAGATTTTCATCTGTGAAATAGACGAGGGGATGGTTGGAGAGTGATGGAGGTGATATAGGAAAAGCCTCTGGCGCCATCTCTGGCGTGTTGTAGGTGCTCTCTCTGCACGTGCTTTCCGCTAGGAGGAGGATCTCCGCTGCTGCTGCTATGATTATGAACTTCTGGGCGTGTATTCACGTATATCACCTGCTTTACTCCCATGCTTTGAAGAGACTACTATTATCCCCATTTTACAGATGAGGAAACATCCTAACATGGCAGAATGATTATTCTCCCTAATCTAGTTTAGGGATGGGAATGTCAGTTTCATTAAAGGGCAAGGGGGTGGGTAGATTTCTTCAGCAAATTAAGGTGCCTTCTCTTAAAAAATGTGCTTTGTTCTCTGAGCACACTCCCACTGGTGGAGAAGAGAGCACAGCAGATAGTTTCAAGGTGATGAATCATGACTTTGTAACTCTGAGATAACGTTATGCCTTTGTGCTTCCCCTGTGCTCCCTGGCAAGACCAAAGCCATGCGGGAGGACTCCGTGGAGGGCCACAGCCTGCTGGGATGCAATGCACTGATGCCGTCTTCTTCCTTTTCAGACCTCCGTGCTGCACATGTGCTCCCTCTTCCACGCGTTCATCTTTGCTCAGCTGTGGACAGTTTATTGCGAGCAAAGTGCCGTCGCTACAAATCTCCAAAATCAGAATGAATTCAGCTTCACGGCGATACTGACAGCACTAGAATTTTGGAGTAGGGTGACACCCAGCATCCTTCAGCTAATGGCCCATAACAAAGTGGTGAGTTCACAGACGAGTTTCCCTTCTGAGATGGAATCTCAAAGTGTCCACACCACTCCTAATCCTCACACTCCCTGTTTTCACAGATCTCAGTTGTAAGGTTATATAAATGGATCGGGGATATGTTACCTTATAAGCTGGATGTTCTGCTTGCATAAGCATTTTGATTAAAAATAAGCATTTTGATTAAAAACAAAATAATAGTTCAAGAGATCTATTGTACGCCGTGGTGACTACAGTTAATAACAATATATTCTATACTTGAAAATTGCTACGAGGAGATTTCAAATGTTCTCACCATAAAAAATAAGTACGTAAGGCAATGTACATGTTAAATAGCTTGATTTAGCCATTCCACAATGTATATCTATCTCAAAACTTTTATATTGATATATGAATATTAAAAAAGCAAACAAGTACAGTTATTAATATTAAAAACAATTTTTATTTTTTCTGCCTAACATCAAATGTATGTTGTATGAAATATCTACCTTGAAGGGTTGTTTGATGCTATAATGTCAGAGGGTTAGGAGTGAGATTCATATTAATTGAGGATTGCAAAGCAATTTAGAAAAACCTTAGCCAATTGGGTAATCTATTTGTGGTGGTTTAAGAGTAGACTGACTACAGGTGTTCATTCCACTCAGGCCTCAAAGCCTGAAAAGAGCCTCACGTTTTCAAGCTGGCTTATAGGGACCTATGCTCCCCAATCTTCAAATCCAGTACTGTTGAATGTAGACGGCTACCAAGAAAGGGGCTGTTCCAGAGCTCATTGGAAAATGTCTGGGGTATGGCTAGCCTAAGCCCACTTCATTGAACCAGTGTGGAGTATTCATCCTGGAGTCAAGGTTGGAGGATATATGGAAGGAATTTACAAGGGAGTCCTTTGGTTCTGACTGTGTATTGGAGGAGGACTCTCAGCTGGGAAAGCTGCAACCAGCGTCTTGTTATGGGGACACCATCAATAGAGTTCTTGTTTGTGAGGAGCAGGGGACCTGGAGGGACACCATAATGATGATTCCAGTGTACCCTGAAACCCAACACTACACTGCCCACAAAAGGCATTCAGGAAATTTTTTTTAATTGATAGAATAATAGTCTAAGAAGTATTTTCTTTTGGTTCTTAATTAGAAAGGGGATGGTATATTTCCTTTAGTGAAGCACTTTGTTCTTTAGAGATGCAAATGATACAGGCAATTCTATGTGTAGAGAGATGTCTTAGTTCAATTTAAAGGAAGTTTATGTGAAAATCTTAGCGTTTGAATAGTTCTGTTAATGGAAAATAATTACATTTATTGGATCACAGATTCTAGGACTAATGAAGAATTTGGAGATCAAACATTCTATTCTGTTATTTCACAGACAACAAAACTGAGGCCTTACACTTAAGCTAGAGATTAAAAATGTTCCTTCTATCATTAGTTTTTTGATACCAAGAAATACCTCTCCTCCAAATCACTCTCCATATTTAAATGTTACAAATGAATTTGTTGCACATGAATTTTATGCAAATGATATTACAAAAGAATTTGAATTAAATTCATTCTGAAAATTTTGTTAAACCATATAAGCCAGTCTGGTAAAATCTCCCTGGAATATTTAAAATCCAGCCATAGGAATTTCTGATGAGGGACATCACCTCTACTGTCTTTGAACTGTCGTAAGCATGGCTACATTGTCCCACGGAGAATAAAGCCTCGGAAGCAGATCTGCAGTGAATTAAACAGTTATTGCCGATGAAGACACTGTGTAGAAAGGATCAAGATTGAGAAAGGATCAAGATATTACTGGGGAACATTGATGTGAAAATTACCCTAGTCTAATGTAAATCCCCTTACCTTGCAAAAGATATCCAGAAAACCAAGGAAAATAGTCTGTAATTGTCTGACTTTGTATCTGGTGCTTTCTCTAAGACAAATTAATTTAGTTTCAAATAATATTATTTTAAATCATTATATGGTGTATAAAAGTAATTCAAGCATTTGTCATCTCCCCTCCCTGGGTACCCTCCTCTCAAACAGACTAGCGTGATACAGAACTCTTACACCCAAAGAGTTCCGTAGTTAGAAATGAAGGCAACAGAGGCCATTTATCCCCTGGTGTGAGTCAGTGCAGTGCAGATTAGTGAGATCAATGCCTGAATTCCATTGGCAGCCCTGAGTTGAATGAGGGAGGCATGACAATTACCAAGCCTCTGGAGCTTTTTTAAAATTCTTTTTCTGGTTTGACGTTTCAGAGGTGAATGAACACCACTGCCAGTGGTCTCCTACGGTCATTACACAGAAAGACCTCATGGGCACAGGACATCGGTCTTCTGCGGCTGCAAACTAGTTTGCAAGGTTTCTATATCACTGGAAATGGAATTAACTTTCATGTTTGTTGTTTCAGATGGTAGAAATGGTGTGTCTCCATGTGATTAGTTTAATGGAGGCATTGCAGGAATGCAATTCGACCATTTTTGTCAAGGTAGGAAAACCTTATGATTTTTAAAGACCATTTCTTACTGCTAAAAACAAATGTGGATTTATGTTGAAGGTACTTTCTGAAGATAATTAGTTTTAACATTCAGAGTTGGGGCTGGAGAATTCAGGCTCCTATAACAACCCTTTACCAAATGGTTATTGCATTAATTTTGCTCTTGGTCTACCACTGTGACCAACTTTACCTGGGTTAAATCTATCAGACCAGGCCAAGCATGGTGGCTCATGCCCATAGTCCCAGCATTTTAGGAGGCTGAAGCAGGAGGATTGCTTGAGCCCAGAAGTTTGAGACCAGCCTGGGCAATATAGTGAGACCTTGTGTCTACCAAAAAACAAACAAAAAAAAAGGTAACACAAGTACTGAAAATATTACTGGGGAATATTGATGTGAAAATTACGCTATTCTAATATAAATCACCTTACCTTGCAAAACATATCCAGAAAACCAAGGAAAATAGTCTGTAATTGTCTGACATGGTATCTGGTGCTTTCTCTAAGACAAATTAATTTAGTTTCAAATAATATTATTTTAAATCATTATACAGTGTATAAAAGAAATTCAAGCATTTGTCATCTCCCCTCCCTGGATACCCTCCTCTCATCAGAAACAGACTAGTGTGATACAAAAACGAAACAGTAGAGAACTTGGTTTCCCACTCCGTTTATCTTTCTGCCTCCCCTCTTTTTCCTTTCCTTCCTATCGTTCCACCTCTTTGTCTCTCTGATCCTTCTTCCTCTCCTTGTATCTCTTCTTGTATTTCTTTATCTTTCACCTCTATATTCTATTATCTTGGCCACTGTCACCAACCACCATCACCACCCACTAGTGGGCATCAACTTGGAACCTTATAACTTGCTGTTTCATTCCTTGGTTAACTCCACTCTTCAACAAAGAACATTTGTCACATTCACTCACACTATGCTGAGGAAAAGCAGCCCATTTTCAGGGAAAACTTGACTGTTACCAGAACAGAACAAGATCATTGGTTCAAATGGGTTAGATATATGATATGTAGCTTGATAATAGCAAAAGTCAACACTGTTGGAGTGCAGTGGTGCAATAATATACATATGGCAAATGGTACATATTTAAAACGTGCAGTTTGGTAAGTCTTGACTTACATTATGCCATGCACCATGATCAAGACAATGAACATATCCATCACCTCCAAAAGTTTTTTCAGGCCAGGCATGGTGGCTTATGCCTGTAATCCCAACACATTGGGAGGCTGAGGTGGGCAGATCACTTGAGGCCAGGAGTTCAAGACTAGCCTGGCCAACATGGTGAAACACCATCTCTACTAAAAATACCAACATCAGCCAGGCATGGTGGCACACACTTGTAATCCCAGCTACACGGGAGGCTGAGGCAGGATAATCGCTTAACCCGGAAGGTGGAGGTTGCAGTGAGCCTAGATTTTGCCACTGCAGTCCAGCCTGGGCAACAGGATGAGACTTTGTCTCAAAAAAAAAAAAAAAAAAAAGCAAACAAAAAAACAACCAAAACTTTTTTCATACCCCTTTATAATCCTTCAGTTGGGTTACTCATCTCCCTGTCCCCAGATGACTACTGACCTGCTTTCTGTCACTATAGATCAGCTTGCACTTTCTAGAATTTTCTTTAAGTGGATTCATACAGTATATACTTCTTTTGCCTTCTTTCACTTGTAATAATTATATTGCGATTAATCCATGTTATTGCATGTAGCAGTGGACAATTACTTTTTATTTCAGAGTAGTAGTCCATTGTATGAATATACCACATTTTCCTTATTCATTTATCAGTTATTTGACATCTAGGGGGTTTCCAGTTTGGGGCTTTTACAGATAAATCTGCTATGAAGAGTCATGAAGATGTCTTTGTGTACATATATGTTTTCATGTATGTTGGGCAAATACCTAGGAGTAGAATGTCTGGGCCATGTGACAGATGTATATTTACCTTTAAAAAAATTGTTTTCCAAACCATTTTCCAAAGCTGTTGTGCTCTGTTACATCCAGTATATGAACAGTGTATGAGCATTCCCAGTTCCCCCACATCTTTGTCAACACTTGGCATAGTCAATCTTTAATATTAATTATTCTAAGAGTTGTGTACTGGTATCTTGTTGTGGTTTTAAATAGCATTTTCCTGTTTGCTAATGACATTAAGCATCTTTTCATGTACTTATTTGCTGTCCATATGTCTGCTTGGTGAAGTATCTGTTAAAATTATTTGCCCATTTTTTATTGGGTTGGGTTTTTTCCTGATTACTGAAGTTTGAGATACAAGTCCTTTATCAGGTATGTGATTTGCAAAGATTTTTCTCTGTGGTTTGTCTTTGGAATTTTTAATTTTGATGAAGTACCATTTACCAATTTTTTTCTTTTATGAATCATGCTTTTGATGTTGTATTTTAAAAAATCTTTGCCTAGCCCAAAAATAATAAAGAGTTTTATTTGTGTTTTATTCTAAGTGTTATCTATGTTTTCACTTGGGTGTTAGTTTACATCTGTGATCTATTTTGAGTTAACTTTTGTATATGGTGTGAGGTGTGGATTGAGGTACCTTTTTTGTATATGGATAGTCAGTTATTCCAGCATCATTGTTAAAAATACTATACTTTCTCCGTCAAATTGCCTTTGCACTTTTGTCAAAAATCAAATAACTATACAATTCTATTTCTGACTTCTTGATTCTGTCCCATTGATCTCTATTTCTTTATTTTTATTTTTATTTTTTTTCCTGAGACAGAGTCTCACTCTGTCACCCAGGCTGGAGTGTAATGGTGCAATCTCGGCTTACTGCAACCTCCATCTCCCAGGTCCAAGTGATTCTCCTGCCTCAGCCTCCTGAATAGCTGGGATTACAGACACCTGCCACCATGCCCAGCTAATTTTTGTATTTTTAATAGAGACAGGGTTTCACTATGTTGGCCAGGCTGGTCTCGAACTCCTGACCTCAGGTGATCTGCCCACCTTGGCCTCCCAAAGTGCTGAGATTATAGGTGTGAGCCACTATGCCCGGCCAGATCTCTGTCTATTTTTATAACACACTGTCTGCGTTACTATAGCTTTATAATATTCATTGAAATCAGGTAGTGTCAGCCTTCTAAATTCATTCATCTTTTTCAAAGTTGTTTGGCTATTCTAGGTCATTTGCCATTCGAGATAAATTTTAAAATTGGTTTGTCAATTTCTACAAAAAGATTGTTAGGGGGTGGACACAGTGGCTCATGCCTGTAATCCTAGTGCTTTGGAGGGCCAAGGAGGGAGGATTGCTTGGGTCAAGGAGTTCAAGACCAGCCTGGACAGCCTGGCAGCATATTGAGACCCAGTCTCTACCCTGCAAAAAAAAGATTTTTTTAATTAGCTGGGTATGGTAGCACATGCCTGTAGTTCTAGCTACTTGGGAGGCTGAGGTAGAGCACAATGATTTGAGACTTTTCTTTTCTAATATAAGTGATTAGTGCTATAAATTTTCCTCTAAGCACTGGTTTAGCTGCATCCAACAATTTGGCATGTTGTGTTCTCATTTTTATTCAGTTCAAAATACTTTCTAACTTCTCTTTTGCTTTCTTTCTGGCATTGATTATTTAGAACTATATTGTTTTACTTCCAAATATTTAAAGATTTCCAGAGATTTTTCTGTTATGGATTTGTAGTTCTAATGTATCAGAGAATATACTTTATATAATTTGATTCATTTTAAATTATTGAGACTTGCTTTATGGCCCAGAATATTGTGTATCTTCATAAATGCTCTGTGTGCACTAGAAAAGAATGTGTCTTCTGCTGTTGTTGCTTGGAGTTTCCTAAGTAAGTTAGTTCAAAGTTTTTGATTGTATTGCTCAAGTCTTCTATGTCCTTCTTGTTATGTCTGTCAACTTATTCTATCAATTATTGAGAAAGGGGTATTGAAATATCTCTGAATGTGGATTTATTTTTGCTTAATGTATTATGAAGCTCTGTTATTAGGCTTATGTCTTTAGGATTGCTATATTTTCCTAATGAATTGAAATTATAAAATGTCCCTCTTCATCTTTGGTAATATTTTTAGTTTAGTTTAGGTTTTTTTTTTTTTTTTTTTTTTTTTTTGAGATCAGGTCTTGCTCTGTCACCCAGACTGGAGTGCCGTGGTGCGATCTTGGCTCGCCACAACCTCTGCCTCCCGGGTTCAAGCAATTCTCGTGCTTTAGTCTCCTGAGTAGCTGGGACCACAGGTGCCCACCGCCATGCCCAGCTAATTTTTGTATTTTTAGTAGAGACGGGGTTTCACCGTGTTGGCCAGGCTGGTCTTGAACTCCTGACCTCAAGGGATCTGCCCACCTTGGCCTCCCAAAGTGCTGGGATGACAGACATAAGCCACCGTGCTCAGGCTGAAAAAACTTGGAGGTGATGGATATGTTCGTTATCTTGATTGTGGTGCATGGCATAATGTAAGTCAAGACTTATCAAACTGGGTGTTTTAAATATGTACCATTTACTATATATGTATTATTGCACCACTGCACTTGAACAGTGTTGACTTTTGCTATATCAAATTACTAAATGTTACCCATCTTTGGTAATATTTACTAATAAAACAGTCCAGCTTTCTTTTGACTAATGATAGGATGGTACATATTTTTTCATCTTTTTACTTTTAACCTATCTATGTTTTTGTATTTAAACTGCATTTCTTATAAGCAGCATAAAGTTGGATGTTGCTTTTAAAAAAATGCAATCTGACAGTCTCTTCCTTTTGATTGAGGTTTTTAGATCATTTTCATTTAATGTGTTTTGTGATATTGTTGGGTTTAAATCTATTATCTTACTGCTTGTTTTCTATATTTCACATCTGTTCTTTGTCTCCTGTCCTCTCTTTTTGTGCCTTCTTTTGGATTAAGGTTTTTATGATTAAATTTTGGATATAATTTCCTTTTCTTTGTCTAATTAAGATAAACTGAGATGGCAACTAAGATAATTAACTTAAGAACTTCCTTCTTTTCAAACATCAGCATTTAGTGCTCTAAATTTCCTTTCAATACTGTTTTAGCTGCTTTCCCCCAGATTTTGAGAGATTCTCATTTCCATTCAGATCAAAATGTTAATTTCCAGTTTGGTTTCTTCTTTGCCCCTTAAGTTGTTTAGAAGTGTGTTTTTTAATTATCTTTTAGCTGTATGTCTTTGTTGTTGTGTTAGTGGTTGATTCAGAGTTTATAGTATATATTTTTAATCACAGTCTGCCTTCAAGGAATATTATACCACCTCATATATTGTATAAGAACTGTACAATAATATACCTCCATTTCCCACCTCCTGACTTTTTGCTATTATTGTCATACATTTTCTATATATTTTATAAAGCAAATCATACATTATTATTTTTGCTTTAAACAGTTGACTATCTCTTAAAGAGATTTTAAACAAGTTTTATGTTCAGTTATATTTGCTATAATTGCCATATTTATATTTGCCATTTTAATGCTCTTCATTTCATTCTATAGATCTAAACATTCATCTTTCATCTTTCCTTCTGCCCAAAGGATTTTCTGTAAAGTCTCCTGTGCAGGTCAGCTGGTGATTAATTGTTTTAGGTTTTGTATGTTTTAGAAGCTTTATTTTGCTTTCAATTTTGAAAGACAGTTTCACTGGGTATTGAATTCTAGATGGATGGTTTCGGAGGTTTTTTTTTTTTTTCAATACTTTAAAGATATTGCTCCTCCATTGTCTTTTTGCTTATATTGTTTCCAACAAGAAATCTGTCATTCTTATCTTTTTTGTCTGTATGTGATATGTCTTTTTTCCTCTGTTGTCTTTGCCACTATGGTTAAGCAATTTGATGATGCTATGCCTTGGTAGAGTTTTCTTCATATTTCTGGTGCTTGGGTTTGGTGAGCTTCTTGAATCTCTGGATTTATAGTTTTCATTAGATTTGGAAAAATATCAGCCATTGTTTCTTCAAATATTTTATTCAGTGCCTCTACTCAACATGCCCAATCTTTCTTCTACCTTCTTGACCATATTGAATATAGGTATCATAACTGTTTTAATGTCCTTGTCTGTTAGTTCTGTTATCTGTGTCATTTTTGTTTTATTTTCTGTTAATGGATTTTTCTCCTCATTCGTGTGTTTCTTTTGTTGTTGTTGTTTCTTAGCATGCCTGGTAATTTTTTATTGTATTCTTGACATTGTTAATTTGACTTTCTTGGGTGATGGATATTTTTATATTCATATAAAATATTCTTAAGCTGTATTCTGTGACATAGTTACATAACTTACAAATATCTTTATCCTTCTGAGGCTAACATTTAAGCTTTGTTAGGTATTGATCAGAGCAGCAATTTTTGTAGGGCACGTAGTTCTTCACTGCTGCTGCTGTATACCACTATCCTTATCAGTACTCTCATGATGTTCTATGAGTTATAAGATTTTTCCACTCTGACTAATAGGAACACAAAATATTCTTGGCCCTATATAATCACCAGGGGATTTTTTTCCTTCTAAGATTTTCGGGTCGTTTTTTCTCCAGTGTTGGGTAGTTTTTATAACTTGCATGTACTGGTCAGCACTCAGCTGAAGACTCAGGGGGATCCCTTTTCAGATCTTTGGAGTTGTCTCTCTCTCTGTAGATCTCTCCTGTCCAGTACTCTACCTTGAAAACTGTAGTCACTTTGACCTCCCAGGGCTCCTGGCTACCTCTCCTCACTCAGGAAGACTGCCAGGCTCCACCTGCATTCCTGCTGCCAGTGCTACTGCCTGAAAACTCTCTCTAGGCAGTGAGCTGGAATACCTGCAGGACTCACCTGGTTTGTTTCCTTTCCCTCAGTGATCTCTGTCCTGCATTTCTTGATGCTCAATACCTGAAAAACATTGTTTTTTATAGTTTGTCTGGATTTTTAGTTGTCCCAGGCAGGAGGGTAAATCTGGTCTTTGTTACTCCATCTTGGCTGAAAGAGAAAGTTTCATCACCAATTTTAATTTTGAGGGCTGGAATAAGCAGGATTGAAATGAGTACAGTCCAACCAGGCAGGAAGTCTTCCATTTGTTCTGTAGCATGAACCAAGATAAGAGGAAGGGTATCACTTTTATTCTTGTGAAAACCTATTTTTTAAATGTCCTTCAGTTTTCAGGATATTGTTTCTGAAGAGGGGGGAGAAAAAAAAGCCCAACCAACTTTACTCCATCATAACATTGCAGAGCCCAAAATAAATCACATCTAATTCTTACTGACAGATTTGTAGGAACCACTAGCAAAAGAGAATGAAAATGAAAGTTATTCAATAAGTCAAATTAACATTTCTGAAATAGGGTGATGGCTGGGTTATATAATGTCATCAATAATGATGAGCTTTAACTGGATACATTTAGTCACGTGATTTGCAAATCACAAACCTGAAGGTCCCTTGCAGGTATATTTTAGAATCACATGGTCATAGATTACATCAATGGGGAAATAATAAAAACACTTTTAGACCAACATCACTATTCCCCTTGCTTGCTTCACATGGACGCTTAGCCACAGTGGCAGCACTGGGAAAGGTATCCACCCAGGGACAGGGTACTCAGTACTCCCTGACCCTACTCTTCTCAAGTCCCTCACAATTCTTAACAGGAGGTTAGTTTGGGTATTTCCCAAATATCAAGAGGCGTATGGGCCCACTTCTGTATTAAATAGTCAAAGGTCAACAAAGTCTGTAGCATCAGCACCCTCCAGGGCTTGCTTTTTGCTGTGCAGAAATTATAGGGGGAGACAGTTAGACTAGATAAATTTTTTTTTTCCATTCAGAATGTCTAGAGGAGCCAGTCCTAGTAAGGGTCAGAGGGCACAGCCTTATCTGGTACCAATCTTTGTAATCCCACCGTTTTGTTATGAGGGTTGGGGGACAGGGGGAGGCATGGAGAGGGTGGCATCTTCTGATATTTTCAGCTTTAGTCTCATTACATTTTCTGATACACACCATACTCCATTTATAAACACAGTATTCATGTTAGAGACCAAGTGTTAGCTAGCTGCAACAGAAACACTACGTTTAGGAATGTTTAGGAGTAAATGTCAATAGAAGTCAAATTAGCGAATTATATACATCAACAGAATGTTAAAAGTCAAACAACAGCCAGATTTAGCCTTGGGAACAAAAACAGGGAGAGAAATGCAGCTTATCACTTCACCAAGTTCATTTTAAAGAAAATGTGATGAATTCAATGAAACCAGCAGCTTATGGCTATGACTAACTTTGAACTCTGAGGTCATTCACATACTGTCCCCCATCCCAAAAAGCTCTCCTTCGTCTTTGGTTTTGTTCATTACATCAGTGTCCCCCAGTTTGCCCAGGTTAGAAACCTCTACCTCTTCTTTGACCTTTTCCTCACTTGAAAGAGCAGACTCATCCTCAGATCCTCAAGATTTGTCTCTGCAGGTGGAATCCTTCCCCATCCCCAGAAACTGTCCCTGGTCTTCTCTGGACCATTGAGGCAACCTCCACAGTGGCTCTTGCCTCCATTCCCTGCCTCCTTCTTCACCCTAATCTGCAGGCTGCTGCCACGGTGATCTGTCTGGAGCACTGTTTTGCTCATGGTGAATAGAGCATCCCCTCTTCGGAAGTTGTATTGAATTTGGAATAAAATTCAGATCCCCTAATTTGGCATTTAGGGCCATCTGGTGGGCTAAGGGTGTGAAGGCCTGGCCTGTGCTTTTCTAAACTTGTTTTTCATGGCCGTTTTCTAAGAGCCTCACATGTCAGCATCACGTGACTGTCTCCCCTCCCCGACTCTCTGCACACTCCCACCAATGAGCTTCGCCATGCCTTCTCTCTGCTTCCTGGAATGCCCTTGTTCTGGCTTCCCAGGACTACCAAGGTATTACAGTCTGGGTGGTTCAACCAACAGAAATGTATTCCCTGGAAGTTCTGGAGACCAGAAGGCTGAGATCAAGGTGTCGGCAGGGTTGGTTTCTTTTAAGGGATTGGAGAGAGAATTTGTTCCAGACCTGTCTCCTAGCTTCTGGTGGTTTGCTGGGTCTTTGGGGTTCCTTGGCTTGTAGGTCCCTGTCTTCATCTTCACATAGCATGCTTTCTGTGTGTTTGTGTGTAGGTGTCTAAACTCCCCTTTTTATAAGGACACCCGTTATATTGGATTAGGGGCTCACCCTACTCAAGTATGACCCCATCTTAACTAATTTACATATTCAACAATCCCATTTCCAAATAAGGTCACATTGTGATGCAGTGCAGATTAGGACCTCAATATAGATTTTAATGGGGCACAATTCAATGCATGACAACACTACTCCTTTATTTGAGTGGAGGGTTGGAAGGAATATGGAGCGAAATGATATGATGCATATTGGTGTATTAAAGATCTGAGAAGTACTGAAATATAGAAACTAACATTTCCAAACCTATTGGATCGGAGTCCCCCTCCACCATTTAAAAGCTCTCCAAATTAGAGTGCCATGGGACACAGTTTGAGGAATGCCATATTCTGTCTCCGACTTCTGGATGCACAAGGCCATGAATATTTACTTAGATTTTAAAGGACTGAAACACGGAGGAGGGCCCAAAGCAGAGAGAAGGAGCAGCTTCTGGAGGTCCTCAGGCCAGGGCACCTATGACCTCCTCCCAGGAAGGACCACATCAGAGGGGTTGAGGTCCTGTCAGAGAGGCAGCAGAGGGCCAGGGTTCTCCAGCAGGGACTTGCTGCTTGGCTGTGTGTGCTCCCACACTTCGCAGACACCCGGCTCAGTCTCGCTGTATTACACCTTCCAGATCGCAGCCAGGCATCTTGGAGTGGTCTTTCTCGCTCACTTAAGTGTTCCATCCACTGACCAGAGATATTTTCTTAATGACTACAGGCAAATAGAGTCGCCATTCCACTCAGACACTCAGTTCTAAAGATCCTGTGGAGGAAATTCTATTTCAAGAAAGTGAGGATTTAATTAAATAAATACACATTTAATTTCCTGTGCTTGGTAGCTTTCGAGAGACAATCAGTCATTTACTCTAAAGTGTGTATCTCAGGCACTCATGGGGCGCTTATTAACCTCCAAATGCCACTGGCTCAGCGGGGTTTGGCCTCAGAAAGACATTTTGCTGATAACGGGTAGCCCTGCAGCAGGGCCCACATCCGTGCGCGACGTGAAAGGGATTCAATGTGGCCTGTTTTCCCTTGCAATGAGCGAAGCTTTGTGGGAGAATAGAGGACACTAATAATGAAGCTTTTGTCTTTCTCTATACAGCTGATACCTATGTGGTTGCCAATGATTCAGTCAAATATCAAGGTAAGTCACTCCCTGGGCTGATTGGAAGCTCGGTTTCCTGCAGAGAACGTATAACGTTCCTAGGGATTGTTGATGCTCCATTTACTATGGAGAAGGATGAATTCAACCTGCTCCTGGCCTTAGAGGGCTGATAATGCAGGAGACCTGTGGGCCAGGTAAGGGCTCTGCAGGCAGGGGGTGGCAGCAGGAACCATTGTCCTACTGCTTGAGGTTGGTGAGGATGCAGTGGAGGGCGGTATCCCAGGGTCTGAGCAAGCCTCAATCCACTGATGAGAGTACAGGCCGAGGCCGGGTGCAATGGCTTCTGTCTGTAATCCCAGCACTTTGAGAGGCCATTGTGGGAGGTTTGCTTGAGGCCAGAAGTTGGAGATCAGCCTGGGCAACATAGCGAGACCCCATCTCTGCAAAAGAATAAAAATTTAACTGGCTGTGGTGGCATGCACCTGTGGTTCTAGCTACTTAGGAGGCTGAGGTGGGAGGATCACTTGGAAGCCCAGGAGTTCGAGGCTACAGTGAGCTATGATCCTGCCACTGCGCTCCAGCTTAGGCAACAGAGTGAGACCCTGTCTCTATTTTAAAAAAAGAAATCAAAGAAATATAAATTGGAAATGAAAAAATAAACTGTCACTATTTGCAGTAACAAGATTGTGTATATATAGACAGAGCAAGACCCAGTCTCTCAAAAAAAAAAAAAAAAAAAAAAAAAGAGGAGTAGCATACCGACCCCTTGGAGGATACCTAGGCACATTCAGTGATGTGTCCTGGTTGCTAAAATGGATTTTCTATCATGAGAAGAATTCTGTTATGACAGGACAACCTCAAATAAATGATAGGATTGAGCTACAAGGAACCTACTGCCTCATTTTATATATGAAGAAATTTAGGACCAAAAGGAAGAGTGACTTGGTCAGGGCCCCACAGCCTAAAAGAGGAGATCCCGCCTGAATATGTTTCCCAGCCCCAGGCTTTGCCTTGACTGGCGCTTTGTCATTGTAGGGGCAAACATACTCTATGACCAGCAAACAGAGTTACTGGGCGTGACTTAAGATGGCAAAGCCAGCTGCCTGCTCCATCCAAACCGGGTCCTGTCTGTAGCACTAAGAGTGTCAGGGGGATGGGAGGAAAAGCTGGAAAGTTTTTTGCTGGGTTTCTTCTCCGAGTTGGGGAGGGATGCTAGTGGAAGGAAAGCGGTATGAACTCAGGGTACCCAGACACCAAAAGAGAAAAATGCGGCTGTCAACAATGACCACAGCCTTTGAGTCCTGATTACGGCCTTGGTGCTATTTGTGGCGGCCGTCGGGGGCATGGGCACTGCTGAAAACTGCCTCTCGGTACTAGTTTTTTCTGTGAAAAGAGAGTTTCTTGCACTCTCAGCTTGAAGCATTTTAAATTGCCTCTCTTACCCTTTCCCGGCTTTATGGCAATCTGTGGCGATTGCCCAGATGGCCAGGAGCAGGCCGACAGAACTCCCTAAGAAGCTTGGAGAAAGAAGAGAAGCTATCATCCTAGCTTCTTCATGTGCCAAGTTCTGTTCTGAGCACTTTTTTAACCCATTTGTCCTACACAAACCCCCTGAGTAAGTGTCACTATCCCCCCTTTACCCATGAGAAAACCCAAACACGGACCAATAAACCTTGTTCCCAAAGTCGCCTATAGAAGAGCCAGGCTTTGAACACAGGGATCCTGACAGCAGAACCCGGGCACTTCACCACCACACCAGGTCCCTGTCGTAAACAGTTCACTGGGGCCAAGTTTATGTGTTAGCCCAGCACTGGTGTGGCAGCTTTATGTTTTCATTGCAGTGAGTCTGTCAAGGTGAGCATGTCATTATTATGATGGGTTTGGGCCAGGACGACTCTAGAAAACACGGTGCGATCCCCCGCCCTGGGCACTGCCAGAGTAGAGAGTTTGCCTTCTTCAGGCCAGACAACCCTTGAGCCAAGCCTAAATTCTGCCTGCAAGAAGCCGCCCGGGTCGACACTCCCTGGGTTGCCCGTGAAAAGAAATAAACTAAAACCTCTTGCCCTTTTTCGACAGCACTTATCTGCGGGACTCCAGCTTCGCCTCCAGGCTATTCAGAACCACGTGAACCACCACAGCCTAAGGACGCTGCCGGGCTCGGGCCAGAGCAGTGCTGGCCTGGCAGCCCTCCGAAAGTGGTTGCAGTGCACTCAGTTCAAAATGGCCCAGGTGGAGATCCAGTCCTCGGAAGCAGCCTCTCAATTTTATCCTCTATGAGTGGACTCCTCGGCGCTCAGTGTCAACACTCTGGTTTAGCAATAATGGGTTTAAAAACAAACAATTTGATCCAAGCAGGTTGGGGAACATATTGGTACTGTACATTCTCTTTCTAGTTTAGTAAAAGATGTGCAAAGGCCAGAGAGGGCCGAAAATGAAGCTTTCTTGCTACACATATTTCTGATGACTCCTTGGGCTATCTGATTAAGTGTTTCCTTACATTATTTTTTAAAAACCAAATCATTTTTCTTTAACTAACTTCTATTTTTTTTAAGAAAAAAAAATAGACTGGTGGGTACTCACAGAAAAGTTGTATAAGTCCCCCTGTTGCTATTTTTGATGATAGAGAATAAATAGGGTTTTTGAAACCTTTGTAGTGTTTTTTCTTAAAATCCACTCTTGGCAATGCAATAAAAAAAACCGTCACCATAAGCCAGTGACACCTGACTGAAGCTTTTTGTCTTTATCCTGGGAAAAGTGGCAGCTTGCAAGGAACATTACAAAGTGCACTTAGAAATTAGGTGGTTAAACTGTGCCAATTGTTTTCGTTGTTTTATAATATCATTTTCCAAAACTGTCCAGTAAGTTTTATTATTTTTAAAACTAGTTTTTCAACTCATTAGTTCTAGGCTGTACTCTCTTGTAAGCTTTATGATAACCACTTTAGTTTTGTGAATAATAAATTTTATTCTTTTGTTAATACTTGTATACAATTTAATTGAAAACTGTAGCTTGCACACTGGACCAGATGAGTCCCTCACTGGCACAGTGCCCTGCACCTGGAGTGATGTTTCATAAAACGGAATTTTAATAGTGTAAGAGCACCAAGATTTCTCTGCACCTATACCTAGCGTTGGACTGTGCATTCCAAATGAAATTCCTCCTCTTTATCCCTGTAATGCACTGACTAACAGAAGACTTACTACACATTTAAACTGTATATTGACATGCTATTAAATGCGTTTTTTATTATCTTTGTGAGCCTGGGGTTTTTTAAAACCAGTTTATAGAGCTAGAGTTTAGTTCCTGACAACCATTCCTTCTAAAGTTCTACAGCTTCTAACTTCACTTAAAACTGAAATTATGAATAAGAAAAGGCTTTCTTTCTGGCCATTTGATGAGAGGAATACACAATTTGTTTGAAGTCCACCTCTAGGAAGGACCCTGAGGGCAAAAGACCTTTTTTTTTTAATGTTTGTTATTAAGGGGCTTCCTTTTTCTTCTGGGAGCTCTGAGATCTTAATGCTTCTCAGAGGAAAACAAGCCCTCAGATGTTTAATTGTTCATATGAGTTCTAGAAAGAGTGATCTTCAAATCTTCATCCTTATACAAATTGCAGAGGACCATTCAGGCTCAGTATGGAGAGTACAGAAGTGATCATTCTTCATATCTGGCTAACAAACTCTTCTGAAAGGCCTCTCCCTGGACAGAACCCTTCTCCGTCTCAGTCATGCTTGGCTGAGCTTCCGTGAACATTTTGTCTCATAGTCAAGTTGTGCATTTGTTTATCTCACTTGTAAACGGTGACAGCTTTGAGCATACGTGCTATCTCTGTCTCCTCATGGTTTGGCACACAGTACATGTTTAATTAATGTCTATCGAATGGAATGGATTCAGTTAAGCAACAGGCCTTGCTTGAGCTCCCCATGGGCACCATGAGCTTTGCATGTGACATTCTCTTTTTTTGCATCGGTTCCTGGAGGAGGAGGAGGCTCTGGCTGCTTCCCCTGTGAGGGTTTCTACTGACATCCTCATCTGGGCTCAGCTGCAGGCCTGGCTCTTGGCTAGTCCTGAGCCCACCCTGCCCCAGGCAGCCAGGATCTTAGTGGCCCCATCCTACCAGTAGACAAGGTCCAAAGTTACCCACACCTTCTTCTCCCACTCCCTCTTCTTTGCCCAGTTCTTTGAATGGACTTCTGCCTGAACTTTTCTTTGTGTTTGCATCTTCCCCAAGCTGCAGACGAACCCTTAACCTGGCACTCTTGACTGGGGCCCCCATTTAATGCTTCCAACTGTCTGGACCTGTTTCCTTGACCTAGAGTCTTGGTCACTCCCAGGCAAATCTCTCTCCTTGCTCTTGAGAACCAGGACCCTTTTCCCTGTCAACTGACCCAAATGCTGTCCCTGCTGGCACCCTGCCACTTCACTGGCTGATGGAAACTAGTGAGCTTCCCCCAGCCTATGCTGCACCCGCCATTGCCAGTGTCCTCATCTTCTTCCGCAACCTCATGTCCACCCTCCAACAAGTCGGGCTCAGGCACTTCGATGAAAAAAAGAGAGGGGACCAAAAGCTTCCAACCAGTTGGGCTCAGGCACTTAGAAGAAAAAAGGAAGAGAGGGGACTTATGGAAATTTAGCAAGATTGGCACTAATAATAAGTCGGAAGAGAACCCATTCACCTAAGGCAGAGGAGTCAGCACCCTCCGCTCACAGGTGCAATGGAGCCCACAGCCTGTTTTTGCAAAGTTTTAGTGGAAACAGTCACACTCGCCATTTACATATTGTGTAGGGCTGAGTTTGTGCTACAATAGTAGGCAGAGTTGCGACAGAGACTGTATGACTCAGAATGCCTAAAATATTTACCATCTGGCCCTTTACAGAAAAAGAGTGCTGACCTCTGACCTATGTAAAGGCCCCTGAAAGGCACTGAGCTGGAGCCAGCCCTTCTGTGGATATATTTCCCTTACCACCTTAGGGGCACTGGGATTTCCATATTAGTGTTTCCTCATCTGTAAAATGGGGACAATGACACACATTCTACCTCAGAGGGCTGTTGAGATGATGAAAGAATGCAAGAAAAGGGCTTAGGGCAACACCTAGCACGTGGTAAGCACTTGTTAAAAGTTACTGATTATTCCTTTTATTCTTATGTTTAAGCCTGGAGAAGTAAAGCTACTTGCCCAAGGTCATGCAGCTAGTAAGAGGCAGAGCCAGGACTTGACCCAGGCTATCAGACCCCCAAGGACTGTGCTCCCAGCCGCTGCCCATATGAACTTCTGCCACAGCACACATCATCCCCAGGTGATGGCCACAAATGCAGAACAGAGGGCAGGGAGATCTCAGCAAAATTTACCTGATCCAAATTTGACCAGCACTAATTATTGGCGTGGAGAACGGCCACAGTACAGACTGTTTTCCTTTCCACATAGCACCCTATTGGTTTCAGTGTGTGAACAGAATACACTGAGATTCCCAAGGGTGGAATCGGCCCAAATCTCCAAATGTGTAGATTCTATTCTTAATGATTTTTCACAAAGGGCATGCCTCTTATGAGTTGGGTGACCTTGGACAAGTTACTAAACCTCCCTGGACCTCTGTTTTTCCTTCTCTGTAATATGGTGCTGTCTACCCATCTTCCTGGGGTGATGGAAAGCTCAAATGGGTGGAGAACTGTGATGGTACTTGGGAAACTGCGCTGGAATCTGTGCATCCCTGGGAAGACTTGCTGCCTCCTGAAGAGCACACAGAGGGACAGCTCACAGCTACAGGCTCATTTGGTTTTGTTTCTTCAGCCAGTGCCTCAGGATTAAGACCTACAATACCCAGGAGAGCCCAAACATGGCAGTAGCCAAGAGCATCCAGTCTCCACTGTGTACCATCTCTTAGCAAGCATGTCATTCAGCCTGACACCGGGATGTTTCCAGCAAATCTCTTCCCGAAGACTCTCATCAGAGGCCAAGTGGTTGCAGCAGATTCGTCTCTGTTTCCAAGCTACAACAGGCCAAATAAGACTGGATTGGATCAGAGAAGATGGGTCCTCCCATCTCTTTCATGAGCTGGGCCCCTGGCATTAATTGGACAATGCAGATCGTTTATTATACTTCTTTAATAGAACTGATGGGCAAATATGTATATTTGGAAAATTGGTGTTTTGACAGTAATGGTAGGTTCTTAAGAAGAATGAAGGGAGTGGTTGGAACCCAATGGAATAGTACTGAACCGTGTTTTTGTGGAGTTTGAATGCTTTGGGAGACGGCTGATGTGTTATTAGTAAAAGGCTGGCCAGTTCTTCACTGACAGGAACGAGTAGTGAGCCTCAGTTGAAGGGGATACAAGAGAAACAATAATAGCCACCATTTATTGAGCATCTACTAGATACAAGCACTCTACATACATGATTTTTATTCCTTAGCCCCTTCCCCTGGGTGAGATAAGCCTTGTTATTATCCCCACTTTGCAGGTGAGGCAACTGAGGCCCAGCGGTTAAGTGCCTTATCCAAGATCATGCAGCTAGCGGGAGTAGCATTAGGACTGAAGGCCGTCTGCCTCCAAAGCAGGGCCTCACTCAATACATGTTCATTTCTATTCCCTGTTTTTGGGGTCTAGGCTCCTTTGGCTAAAATGTGCCAGAAGCATGGGGTAGAGAGATCTGAGGGTCTTTTTCTTTGAGGTGGCTCAATGTTATCGGCATCTCTGTTTATCACTTCATCTCACATAGGCATTTTTCCCCTTGCTTTGGGAATTCATGTACATGCAAAAAAAATTTGGATTACAAATTAAATCACATTTAGTTTCCCACTTAATATAGTAGTTTTAGGAGAAAGAATAATTATGAGTAGAAGATTGTGATGATAGGGCTGGGCACGGTGGCTCATGCCTGTAATCCCAGCATTTTGGGAGGCCGAGGCAGGCGGATCACCTGAGGTCAGGAGTTCGAGATCAGCCTGGCCAACATGGTGAAACCCCGCCTCTGCTAAAAATACAAAAATTAGCCAGGCTTGGTGGTGCGTGCCTATAGTCCCAGCTACTCAGGAGGCTGAGGCACAAGAATCGCTTGAACCCAGGAGGCGGAGGTTGCAGTGAGCCGGCCGAGATCGTGACACTGCACTGCAGCCTGGGTGACAGAGCAAGACTCCATCTCAAAAAATAAAAAAATAAATAAATAAAGATTGTGATGATAAACTCTGCTAGATTAGGGGCCTATTGAGGGTTTACCCAGCCCTAAGGAAACTTGCCCCTAATTACTTATAATCATAGTGACCAGTAGGAGAGCTTGTCATATATAGCAGTTTTGATATAGTAACTTCACAACAGTTAATCTTCACAACAATGCTGTGAGGCAGACACTTCTATTATTAACCCCATATTAGAAACGGGAAAAGGCAGGCATGGAGAGATTAAATAATTGCAGGAATCATTCAGTAAGAGATAGAGCAAAATTTGAATCTGAATATTTCTGCCTCCAAAGCCCAGGTTCGAGCTATTACATATTACCAATAGCTAAATGATAGGAAGCCCCTTGTTACTCATCTGACCTCCAAGGTAACCTAGAGTCATTTAGATCACAAGTTACCAGCTGGCAACCTGCCGGCTGGCCCTGGCCCAGAGCATATTTTCTTTGCTGCGCTTGAATTTCTAATTTCTTCCTTTGGTCTGGATACTTCTGGTGTAATATGCAGTCTCCAGCTTTGCTCAGTTCCCGCCACTGACCTCAGTCTCCAAAGCAAGAAGAACAACCCACCAGCCCATGGGCAGAAATCCTGCCACCTCGGGGCTGGTTTACAAGGCCTGGTGTGCTCATTCATTCACCTGCCTGGCCCTGCAGGGCAGTGGTTTTGCTCTCCACTTTAGACTGGCTCTCCCATTTTATGGGCCAAGAGGGGTGGGATGTTCCCAGCGCCACTCAGCCATGCTGTCTGCCCCATGTGGCCCTTCCTTTCCCTGGCATCACTCCTCTGCCCCCACCTGCCCCTCCATATGCCAACCATCAGCCCTGACCCTGTTTCAGGCCAGGGCTGTTCTCTCCAACCCACGACCGTCCTGGATTCCTCTCACTCAGAGAAGCTGAGGTCAGGTGGGTGGGGCAAGGTGAGCCCCTGGCACCAGCTCTTCCCTGCAGGGTGTGCAGGACCTTTGTGGAAGCCACAGATTTGGCTGTTTTAAGAACAAAGAGCTGGCTTTTTAATTATGCAGCCCAGACAGGCTCCCCGCAGGTGGGTGGAGAGGGAGCTCCCCAGGGCTGCCTAGCAGACGCCCTGATTTCCACTCCTTGAAGTGGCCACTTGGAGAAGGAACCAGCAAGCAATCAAGCATGAAGGACAGAAAAACTCTCCAGGTGAGGACAATCACTCTGCCCAGTGGGGATGCAGGGTGTGGGGGGCTCTGCGGACAGCAGGGTGTGCCCAGGGCCTCCAGCTTGCAGTGCAGAAGCTGGGCTCCCATGCTGGGCTCGGGTGGGGGAGGCAGGTGGAGAGGAACCCAGACAGGGCTTTGCAGCCAGGTTGGTTCTCAGAGTTGGAGTCTGGACTTCCTTGCTAACTTGCTCTCTGACCACAGGTGAGTCATTTAATCTCACTAAGCTTCAGTTTCATCAACTGCAAAATGGAGATGACAATTCCTCTTTCCTGTAAGGAGTGAAGGGAATGATGGCTGTCACGTACCGGGCACAGAGTGGGAATCCCAAACAAGAATGGGAGCTAACCTTGATGAGGCACGCCCTACTCGATGCATGCCTGGCTCTGTGTTAAATTCCTTGCAGTCACACAGCCATTTATTCTTCAAATTGTAATGCCGTGTGGCAGCTGGTGTTTTGCTGAAATGAAATCACAGCTTGCAATGGGCATTTGGCTCCCATTCTTCTGAGCGTGGTGCTCCCACGCTGCTGGCTTCGTGTGGTGACTCACGGCCCACTCACGTCTCTATGTTTGAATGAGCAACCGGGAAATCCTCCTCCATATGGTGCGTTCTGCCAGCATTTGGACTTCACACGGTGTGAGCGCATGATTGGGTTTGGAATGGGGATAATATTTTGAAAATAATAAATGGATATATTCTTTATTCTTCTCCAGGAAACCACGTGCCCCTGTCTAGTTCCATGGATTTCATGGGGCAGGAGGAAGTTGGGATGTAGGGGAAGTTCTGGCAGACAGGACGAGGAGGCAGACAGATCACCTCTTCAGGACCGCAGGGGATTGTCAGCAAGAGAAAAAGGGAGACAAATTCAGGGGGGCGCTGGGAGGCCAGGTGGGCGTGTCTTCACCTTCCCTCTTACGGGTGAGGATGTTGTAGAGATGCCCAGTTGAAAAGGCCCCTGGGAGCCCTGGAAGATGGTGGCGCATAAACCTCGAAGAGAGGCATCCACAGCCCTCCCTGAACCAGGTGAGTGTGCAGAGTTCAAAAGTCTCCATGGGCGTTCAGGAACACGTACAGAGGCTGCAGTCAGGAGGAGGAGGCTGCTTCGAGCCTGGACATTTGCAACTGGAGTGATGGGGGCAGGGGTCACCCTTCGCCTAGAAAAGCCCAGGCACAGCCCCACAGTCACCTGTCCAGGAAGCAGCCCAGGCCAGCCCCTCTGCAGCAGAGACCTGTGAGAACCCAGAAGATGCCGTGTGGCCTGAGCCCAGCTCCCCTGCACCAGGCTACAGATATCTGCTCAGGGGTGCCTGCGGGTGCTTCTTACAGGGAGCAGCCCAGGAAGATGCCTCAATGACTAAGGGTCTATCTACAAGACCCAGAGTCACCCAAAAGACTCTGGTCAAACCAGAAGAGGCTGCAATGCCATCAATCCACAAATTCAGGGTTTTTATTCCTCTCCCCCCTCACACCCAGTGAGGCAGGGACTCTGGACAGTTATATGAAATAAAATGCTATTTTTTCCTTTATGCCTGTGTGTACTGTGTAAAATGTATAACCCACTGTTAATTAACAAATATTTCCCATGCCCAGCACGTTTGGATGTTTGGAGGGCTGGATGTTTGATGACGAATAAGGCCCCTGCTCCCGCCATCTTACATTGAAATGGGAGGAGAAAGGCAGGTACACAGATGGGCAATTGTTCTTAGGGGCTGAGAAGTGCTGTACTGAAAATAAACTCAGGTGATAGAATAGAGAATGATGAGATGTGCTCAAAGAGAGCCACAGGTGGTAATCGGAAAAAGAGCCACTGGAGATTATCTCCCGCAACTTCACAGATGAGAAATCCGAGGCTCAGAGGGAAAGAGCATTGCAGAAGTCACATATGAAGAGATTTTGTTAGACCCAGGGGTCCCTGACTGCAGCTGCTGTGTGCTTCCCACGGCAGGGGAGATACTCGGCTATAAATCCAGCTGAAATGGACCATTTAAAATCCAAGGAACTGTCTGGGTTGGAAGAGCTTGGAACTAACTTGTAGCCACACAGAGCTAGGTCTGAATTGCACTCTGTGCCTTAACTGCTTTTTTTTTTTTTTTTTAACCCCTTGGTAAGCCACTTAACCTCAGTTTACTCATCTGTACAATGGGGGTAATCTTCCTGCCTCCTAGGCTTGCAGGGACTATTAAAGAGATAAAGTACATGAAGCCCTGGGAAGCTGGCCCTGAGTGTCCCTTTATGTCCACACTGTCGTCATTGTCACTGTGCACATTGTGGGGCCATTGCCACCACCACCCTACCCCTGGAGGGCAGGGGCCTTGTCTTGCTTCCCTCTGTATCCCCAGGACACAGCACGTGTCCCCAGTCAACACTAGGATATGAGTGAGCAGCCGCTGTCTAGGGACTGCCAGGCTCAGGCAGTGGAGGATAACCAACTGGAAACATCCGCCAGAGAGGGCAGAGAGTGGGAGCTCTGCGTGCAGGGCTGTCTGTGCCGCCCAGGAGAGGGGGCATTCCTCTGGCTCTGTGCATGCATGGCTTTATGATCCACGTGTGTTCAGCGAGGAGGCTGCCTCTGAAGGGGACCTGGATAGCAGATGAGTGGTGGCCAGGCAGAAACTGGAGGGAGAGGTGAGCTGGGCAAGGACAGCGAAGCCCAGCCAAGGGGTGGGCGTGGGAACTCGAGGCTGGCAGTGAGTGTGGTTTGCTGGATGATGGGGCGTGGGGTGGGGTGAGCAGTGAGGAGTGGGGCTGGGGAAGCCTCGGGGCCCAGGGCAGCTAGACTAAAGATGGGTCCACAGCAGCCAGCAGGGTGGGCTTGAGTGCTCAGCTGGGCAGGCAGGGGTTGCGTGGAGTGAGGAGAAGCCTGAGGCAGGTAGAGAGAGGGAGTGGAAGTAGGGGATGGTATGGGGAGGAGCTGGGTAAGTGGAGGTGGGTTGGAGAGCAGATGGGAGGGCCCAAGTAGGACTCACCAGGTTGAAGGAGCTGGGGACCTCTGAGGTTTCCAGCTGGGGCCTCTGGTTTGGGAAGCTGAACTCTGTGTTCAGTGTGGTACCTGGCTGGTAGCAGAGCCACTTAAGGATCTGGGGACTGACTGACTGGATGAACATATGATGGAGAGCAGAAGGAGCCCCAGAGGAGAGCCCGGAGAGGAGAGGAGGACAGGCTGGGAATGCGGCTCCACCTGCCCCCACAAGCAGGCCCTCACAGAGCTGGATCTCCCAGACAAAGGCAGCCATAGGTGTCTGGAGCACAGGCTGTGGACACCACTTGTGCCAGGCATGGAGACAGGGCATCCTCCATGTGTCACAGGACTGGTCAGCTACTTCCTAAGTGGGAGGATGGTAGAGGAACAGGAAGCCAGTCACTCAATGGGGGCTGTCATGAGCCTGGTGATGTGGGTGAGTCTGCCCAAAGGTGAGGCCACAGAGCGGCCACGTTACTGAGCCAGCTGCCACCCGAAGCCAGCGCAGCAGCTCACTCAGGCTCACAGGACCATCTTCTGTGATGTCACACCATAGTATCATGTGTGAGGAAGGCAGGAGGAAGAGCCTTCCTGCCATCACTTGCTCTCATGCATCCAAGACAGTAATTCTGCCACCCTGCCAGGTGCTGGGCAGGGATGTTCTGTGGGTCCTGCTGCATCTCCCACCTCACGGGCAGCAGCAGGACCCCAGAGCAGGACATGGAGCTGTAAGGTGGCCAGAGCATAGTTTGTCATGTTGGCCATAGGAGCTGTCGTCACCAGTGGCCAAAGTCCCCAAAGGTGTGAGGTGGAGACACTGGGCTGGCCCCTAGGAGGGCTCTGACGCTGCACCTGTGTGCTGATGGCTCCCGGCACCTGTATGCTCAGCCGATCACCACCTCCCTCTGCCAGGCTGGCCCTGAGTCCCCATTCCCAGGCCCCTGCACAAGCAGGCAGAGCACTGCACATAGGCCTGCCACTCCCTGCTGGCCTCCGAGCTTGCTGCTGAGGACGCCTGGGCTGAGGGTGCACAGGAGTGGGTGTGAGGCCTGAGATGTCCCACTGAACCCTCACCAGCTTTCAGGCAGGCCCCAGGAGGGGGCCAGTGGACAGAGGAGCCCTCACTATCACACAGGCTCTTTCATTAAAGACAACAGTGACAGTCATTGTAACAATGGCCATCTTCTACTGCGTGTCTACTGCGTCTTCTACTGCGTATGCAGGCCAACAGCAGCTCACAGAATCCCAGGTGCGAGGGGCGCTTGTAACAGGAGTGCCTTTAATAACTTCCATGTTCCCTCCATGTCCCTGATGCCTGGGACACAAGCCCTTCCCTGAGTTCCTGCACTGAGCTCCTGTCCCCTGGGCTGTGAGCCCAGTTAGGGGGATATACCTGCCCACTGGCTCTGGGCACACAGGGCTCTTAGCTGGCCCTCACTGAGCTAACTCTGAAGCCCCAGGGAAGCCAGGCAGGGGTGGAGAGAGTCTGAGTTGTGGCCCCTCGCTTGTGCCCAGTGGCCGGGCCTTGAAGGCACCAGGCTGGGTTCAACCCCCAGCCCCATCCCTGTTTCCTGGTATGTGCTTGACCTTGGCCATTGTGCTCCATTTCTGACCTGTCTCCTCACTCCAAACAGGAGGATGAAGATGCTGCAGGTGCAACTTTTTCTCTCTTCCTACATCCCTCCTGGCCCATCACACCGGAAGCTCTTCCCCACGGCTGCTTCCTGTGAGGCTTGCCTGAGGGTGAGGCTGGAGCGGGGAAAACAAAGCAGCGGGGTGGTGGCGGGAGCTTGAGCCTGGGGGGCCCTGTGCCCTTTGGGCCCCTCTGCGTGGGGGTGCAGGGCAAGCCTCCATTCTCCATGCAACTGGCCAGGTAAGGAGGCTTTGCAGAGCAGCCTGTGGGTGCTGAGGTCTACACATGGGGTGGACATCCAGGAGGCTGACCCTGGCCACCGTCACCCTGTTGGTGTGGCCGGCTGATTCCTGCTCCCTGTGATTCCTGTGAGCACTTGTCAACTTAGGGCGACCTTCTTGTCCCATTTTCCCCAGATATCCCCGGTTTTAGCCCTGAAAGTCCCAGGTTCAGGAGAATCTCTCAGTCCCAGGCAAACTGGGAAGGTTGGTCGCCCTATTCTCAATTAAGTCAAGGGTCAAGGCGGTGGGTGGCAGGCTGAGGGACAGAATTGGCCTTTGAAAGCCCCATAAATACCGACCCTGGGGCGTTGGGATAAAACATACAGAGATATCCCATGGAAGGTCCCCAGCCCAGCCCTGGGGTATAGCAGGACCCTAGTGAAGGATCCCCCCATCCCTCAGGCCGGCCTTCTCCTTTCCCCCACCCCACAAATGACAACTGACAGACATCTCTATATTTTTATTGAAAATAAAAAAGTCATGGTGCTTTCTTCCTCATAAGTGGCATATGGACACCCCCAGTGCTGCCGGTCTCGCTTCCGGTACAAAAGTCTCAGCAGGAAACCAACCTTAATGGCTTGTTGGTGGATAAGACGGCATCAACTTGTACATTTGCCCATTGAGAGAACTCCCAGGAGCAACTGTCCTCTCTCCAGTACACGCGGCACGTTGCTAAGAAGGCAGATTTCAGGATATTCACATTCATGCATTACGTATCTCACACTACCTGGGCAGTTTAACTCATACTTTGTACAGATGCAGAGAGTACAGTAGTTGTATTTATATATATATATATATGTAGAGATCTCTTTAAATATATATAGCTATATATAATATATATGTTTATATGTTTACACCTATTAGTCTTTCTTCCAAAACTTCCTTTAGAAGCTTCTTAGGAACACCTGAAACCTCTGGGAGATCCTATGATCTGAGTTCCAAAGTTGGGGTCAACTGTGAGACGGCTGGAAAAGATCTATTTGAGAAAATGAGAAGGGAAGTGCATTTCATTCTTGACCTCAGGGCTCGGACTAGCCTGAGGATCGGTGTGTGTCTAGAGACTGCCGGCTCATTTTAAATAAAAGTTCTAAGCTCAAATACTAGGCCGGCAGGGTTTTAAGTACCCTTATGTCTCTGTAAGCTCAAAATCTAGTGGGTCTCCCTTGCTGTGCCGTATACTTGTTTTTTGAATGGGCGGTCTTGGGCTTGAGGTGGGGGGTGGATATTAAGTGAATCTTTTAAAAAAACTAGGCTCTTCCCTTGATTTTTGCTAACTGGGGTGAGAAGGGATTTTACAAGCCCAGCTGAGAGGGAATTTATGTGCAGACTAGAGCCCTGGATGCGTCAGCGGCTCAGGGAAGAGGATACAGGCCCCAAAACGTGGTGATGGCTCAGCTGATTCCTCACCAGGGAGCCTCGCCTGGGGCTGGAAGATTAGGCTAACTGCAAAATCCAGGCCTCCTAGGTTTAAGCCAAGGTAGGGAATGATGGGACCAGGCGAGTGTGCGCAAAGCTGGGCTGTGCCCAGCCCCTTCAGGCTGCCCACCACTCCATGGTCCCTTAGCCAGGAACCTCCCCTCTTAGAGAAGGTGCCCTCTGATCACTCCTGAGCTTCTGGACAGCCCAAGGCATGGGCACTTTCTCATGGTTGCAGCACAGGGTGGTGTGTGCTTAGGGCTAGGGTCCTGCCCAGGGGTCTGCTTAGGGCACAGCTTGGGGGTTCAACAGGCACCAGAAGGCTGAAGGCAGTAGGGGAGAGTGCCCTGGGGTGGGGTCTGCTGGGTTTCCCCCTTTAACCTGCTGCTGGCCCACACCCTCTGGCCTATTTGTCAGCTGGCTCCGCACCTCAAGAGCACTGTGAAGTACTGGCCAGGTCAGGAGCAGGGGGTGGCACTATGCTGATGCCCAGGTGTCCAGGGGAAGCAAAATTCAAATCTAAACCCCAAACAAGTCCTCAAATAGAAGGAAATGAGGAAAGAAGAAAACCCCTTTATGGGAGGGTATGCCCTGGGCCTGTCCTCAGCCCACACCTGATGACCTGGGCAGGACAATGACACACAGACAGCTCCGTGGGCACTAGGACTCTGGGACAATGGGCTTTTTAAGGTTCGGCCCAAATGGGGACCGGTTTTCAGGTGTGTCTGTCTTCTCTGGACTTCAAAGTCTCACCTGTAGCTTAAACACCTATCAGAGGAGCACACTGGAGGTTTAGGAGGCAAACCAGGTCTTAGAGGGCTCGACAGTGGAACCATTCAATGCATTGGGCTCCTTCTGAGCACATATGTAGGGGTGGTGGGGAGAGCCAGGGGGCCAGGAGTGTCCCACTCATTTTCCAGGAGATGCAAAATCACCCTGTCTCCGTGGGTTTCCTGATGTGGCCCACAGGGAAGGCTGCCACTTGGGAGACAGGCCAACAGGGCAGGGGTCACCAGCCTGGAGGACCCCTCTCCTCCTGTCCCATTTCATCCCTTGATCCTCCAACCACGCTGGAGGGCTCAGCGCTTCTATAGCATGAGACTGTGGAAACAGACATTGAAAGGAAGACCCTGGAAGAACAACACCTCCTTCTTGGCGACTGGGGCTCGGGGTAGGGTAAAATGGGGAGATGATGGAGGACTCTGGGAGAGGGCCTGAGTACAACAGTCAGGCCTCAGGGGACTGTGGGGGACATCCAGCGCCTGGCCAGCATCAGCCTGGTACAGCAGGCCCACAGTGGATTTGGCACAAGTAGTGGCCTCTGCTGACTAAGGCAGGGCCTGGCTCACACAGATGCATCAGTTCCTATGGGGTCAAGTGTGGGGATGAGTCTGAGGACAGGTGCAGTGGCCTCTGCCCTTGCCCAGTGGCCCTGGGCTGCGGGTTCAGTGAGTCGTTTTGCCCCCGGAAGGCCAGACACTGCCCCCGAGTGTAAACGCACTCCTGTGTCTGCTCAGGAGGGGATTCTGCAGGCTGGACTCACAGCCCTCCATGGCAGGCAGTCAGGAGCCTAGGGTGTAGGGTGTCAGTGGGGATAGGAGGGAGAAGGCAGGCCCTGAAGATTGACAACAACTGCAGATGGGGCGATGAACAGATGTGTGGGAAGCACCTTTGAAAGGGGACGTCTGTCTGCTGGCTGTGCCGATGGCTTCTGTTGAGAATGTGAACAGTGGAGCAGGCAGGCTTCCTGGGAGGAGGAGAGGTTTTCCGGCAGGGAGTGGGCTCCGGACCATCTTTCTTTTGGCTAAAGGGGGAAGCCTCCCTGCCACAGTAGAAAGACAGATCCCTCTGGCTTCGCCAGTGCGCATGCTTTAGACAGCAGCTGGGGGCAGTCGACAGACCAGACACCAGACAGGGAGGAGGATGTGGAGGGCCTGGGGTGGGGACACTGCCCAGGTGCTGCGCCGGGCTCAGCCTGGTGTCCGAGCTGCCTGGGCCCGCAGGCTGACCAGGGGCAAGCCTGGGAAGACAATGGTTTCTCCTTCGGGAGGCTCAGGGCCTGTGAGGCAATGAAGTCCTGGACAAGCTCAGGGTTAGCTCATGTCCACCTGCTTTCCCATGTCCACCAGTGCCACCAAGGTGTCCCTCTGGCCAGCGGGTCCAGGGCCTGCAGACTCACACCACTGCGTTGTTCACGTCTACTCCTTTGTTGCTCTGCGAAGCACTCATGGGATACTCAGCAACGCTGGTGCCATTTTCGTCTTTTCTCAGTGGTTTCCTGGAAGTGGGGGGAGGGGACAGGAAAGGCAAAGGAGGGGGAGGCAGGGACACCATTAGTTATCACTGATGGTGGGGTGTAACCTCCAGCTAGCATCCCTGCTCCGTGAGAGTGTCAGAAGGAAGCCAATGGCTCTGTCCTCGGTTAGCATCCTTGGGCTGCTAGTCCTTGTGGGGTTAATCAGAAGCTGGACGTGGTCTTAACTCGGGTGTCATGAAAACCGGGGCACAGTTGAGAGGGAAAGAGGGGAGCTATTAATGATGAAGCAGGGACAACAGGTATGAGTCCAGGCTGTTTTGGACAAACAAGAAAGTATGTTCAGTCTAGCACGATCAGGCCTTGACTGATCTCTTCGATCAGGGCAGAGACAGTTAACAGAAGAGAAGTGCTAGGGGTTGAGTTCTGCAGTCTTCCTCAGTGTGGGCAAAGGCAAATTCAAAATGTGATGAAGCAGATGGTGCTAGTGGTGATGCTGGTGGTAATGGGGTGGTGGTGGTAGTGGTGATGCTGGTGGTAATGGGGTGATGGTGGTAGTGGTGATGCTGGTGGTAATGGGGTGGTGGTGGTAGTGGTGATGCTGGTGGTAATGGGGTGATGGTGGTAGTGGTGATGCTGGTGGTAATGGGGTGGTGGTGGTAGTGGTGATGCTGGTGGTAATGGGGTGGTGGTGGTAGTGGTGATGCTGGTGGTAATGGGGTGGTGGTGGTAGTGGTGATGCTGGTGGTAATGGGGTGGTGGTGGTAGTGGTGATGCTGGTGGTAATGGGGTGGTGGTGGTAGTGGTGATGCTGGTGGTAATGGGGTGATGGTGGTAGTGGTGATGCTGGTGGTAATGGGGTGATGGTGGTAGTGGTGATGCTGGTGGTAATGGGGTGATGGAGGTAGCAATGGTGATGGTGGCAGCAGTGATGATGCTAATGATGGTGGTGATGATAGTGATGGTTAGGGTAATGGTGGTGGTGATGGTTCGGTTGACAATGGTGGTGATGGTGATACTCGTGATGGAGGTGATGGTGGTGTTGAAGGTTAAAATGCTGGTGGTGATAGTGATGGTGGTTATATGGTGGTGGAGGTGGTATTGGTGGTGGTGATGGCAGTGGTGGTGGCGATGGTGATAGCGGTAATGATGATGGGGTGATGATGGTAATGATGATGATAGTGGTGGTTAGCGTAATGGTTGTGATGGTTGGGTTAACAGTGGTGGTGATGGAGGTGATGATGGCGGTGATGATGGTGACAGTGGTAATGAAGATGGGGTGGCGATGATAGTGATGGTAATGGCAGCGGTGGTAGCAATGATGGTGGTGAATATCTACACTAAGTTAGTACACATCAGTGGTTCCTGAACACTTTAAACTGAGCCATTTGAAGCTCATTCCAGAGGGCCCCTAACCCCAAAAGTGGTTTTTCCTACGCATATAAGGGATCAGGAAGGCTGGGAGGGAGGCTCTGAGAAGGCTGTTGCTCACTTGCTGGGGTTCTGAAATTACAGTGTACTTTTGGGCCTGGCTCAAGTCTCACTTCCTCCCTCCCTCAAGTTGTTCAGGAGGGCTCTGGCCCCCAGCCTGAGTGTCTGTATCCTCCTGGTCTAAGCCACATGCTCTCTGTAGCCCAATTCCATGCCACAATTCCGCTATCTCATCCCCACGGGGCTGTAGCCCAGCCCCCTCCAGGGTTCCCAGGGGTGCCAGGGTTGAGCCCGGATCTGCCCTTGCTGGTAGCTGTCCAGGCTGGACACTTATGGTCATTATCATAGGCCCAGGAGTTGATTGCTTCTGCCTTTTCAAATGTTCCCAGAGCCTCCCCAGAGCCACAGTCAGAAGGGCTGGTGCCTGGTGACCAGCTCGATGTCTCTGGGATAAAGCCCTGAGTGAGTGAGTTCAGAGGAGGCAGGGTCTGTGAGGGGATCATTAGCAGTTCATGGGAAGAACAATCAGGCCCACTCAGAGACTACACACTGAGCTCAGTCTGGTAGCAAACTGTTCCCTTTTCTCCTGCAGCAGAAGTAGCTCAAAACTTCTGCTAAGCAAGCCAAGTGCACTCATTCCAGGTGGTCAAGCCCAGCCACCGTGGCTTCTTCCAGGAATGCAAGAGGCAAACCCACAATTCCTCCCACAGTGCATCATGCTTTGTGCAAAGCACTCTCCGTCACAGAGATTTCCTTGTCCCTTCTCTCAGTGGTCACCTTAAGAAGCTAGGCCTGGAGTAAGAGATTCATTTCATGGGGAAACTGAGGCTTAGAGAGGGCTTAATTTGCCCAAGGACGCTCATCTGGTTTGTGGTGGGGCCTGGACCACCACCCACTAACACTGTGTCTTGGCCAGACATCTATCTTCCCATTATTATTATTGTTACTACTATTTTGGAGATGGGGTCTTGCTCTGTTGCCTAGGCAGTGGCAACATCACAGCTCACTGCAACCTTGCACTCCTGAGCTCAAGTGATCCTCCAGCTTTAGCCTCCTGAGTAGCTGGGATTACAGGTGTATGCCACCAAGCCTGGCTAAGTTTTAAATTTTTTGTAGAGACAGGGTCTCGCTATGTTGCCCAGGCTGTTCTTGAACTCCTGGCCTCAAGTGATCCTCCCGTCTCGGCCTCCCAAAGTGCCAGCATCTTCCCATTTAATCAGCATTCCCAGCAGGTATTCCCATATGAGCTCTGGGACCTCATCAACTTGGGAAAGCCTTCCTCCACCCCCCTCTTAGAGATTCTGCAGAGTCCTCCAAGAAAACTGTCTCCTTTTGCTTTAACTCAGCATATCCCACACGTGAATCTGAGAACACCATTTATGTAGACGCTAACAGATACTCTCTGGAAACTCTGGGTTTACAGGCCTCAGCTGTGCTACCTTGTTTATGTCGGGATCCATGGGAAATGATGGACTCTGCAGCCAAGCTCTGCCCTGGGCCTTTTGCTCCCTCTGTCCCCTTCATCCCCGTTCCTGTCCTACCCACCCCTTTTCCAGAAAGCCTTAAGCAGCTCTGATGTTGCTGGGTGTGCCTGACTTCTGACTCCATGAAATCTGCATGGCCTGGACAATTTGTGGGGGTGACATTTTCTTACAGTGAGATCCTGTGCTCCCCAGTGAGGCCGCTGAGGGACTCAAGTGGGATAAATATATCACGAATACATGAAGGGAAGAAAGGACATCAGCATCAGGATTCCAGAAAATATTAACAGGCAGAAAAGAGTCTGGACCCAAGCCCACACTGCATTCTCCTTAATACATATTACATATTGGGCTTAGGGCTAAAATAAAAACAATTGCAACAGGTCCAGATCATGGGAGATATGGCTTAAGGGCCTTCTAGGGTGGATAATGAAGAAATGAAGGCGGCATGGAGCTCCCTTAGAAATAACTAAGCCTGGATGGCTCAAGGTTTCCACCCTTTTGCGGCTAAGGTGAGGCGGTCAGTAGGATTTCTATTGGCAGGAGGCAAGGAGACAGTTCTAAAGGCTTCCTGCCATCTCTGAGACCCCTTCGTACTCGCGGGCCCTGGGGAAGAGGTGGCTCGGAAGAGCTAAGCAGGAAGTGAGCCTGGCAGGAGGACCCTGGAAGGCAGGGTGAGGAGGGGGCCCAGGGCCTTCGCAGCTGCTCAGCCAGTTTCCCAGACAGGAAAGCAGGCAGAGGGGCTTGGCAGAGGCTCGGCACCTGTGGCAGGTAAGGGGCTCGGCACCTGTGGCAGGTAAGGGCCCCAGACAGGAGCATTCGGGAGCCCGCGCGTGGTGATGGGGGAGGGTGGCAGCCGAGGGCTCTCCTGAGAAATGGTCATGATCTGCTCCCCTCCTGCCACCGGAGCTGAGTCCCCAACCACTCTCCTGCCTGGACTGCTGCTCCCAAAGCCTTTCTGGGATTCACTGCAGCCCATGGAAGCTGGGTGTTCCCTAAAGCGAAGACGGCTCCACCTCTGCACCCCCCCAACTCCACCCCTCCATCAAGCACGGCACTTCAGGGTGACGCTGCGGAAGTGCTAAGCGGCAGATGTCAAGGCTCAGTAAACCCCCGCCCCACCATTTTCTGGCCGTGTGACTTCAGGCAAGCTACATAGCCTCTCTATGCCTCAGTTTCTTGTCTTTGAAATGAGCACAATAGTGGTGTCCATTTCATAGGCTTGTTGGGAGGATTAAACACGTTAGTCCATGTCAAGCACTTAGACAAGCGTCTGGCATACCGTAAGTGCTCCATAAATGTTTGTTAGCTCTCAGTACTGCTGGGGAAAAGGTGTCACCAGGTAGCTGGCCCCACCGGCTGGCAGCAGCCAAGGTTCTCCAGTCTGCACAGACTTCCTACCTAACGCGTGCCCCGTGGGGCTCCGGAAATGCTAGAGAGAGTTGTTAGGACCCAGCCTGGCTCTGCAGCTCTGTGAGTCAGCTGAGGCTGGTCTCATTAAACCAAGAAGAGGCATTTCCACCCTGGTCCAGGCAGAGATGGCCACAGAGGGCTCCCTAGATGGCATGGTTCCTAGAAACCAAGAGAGAGGTTAGTGAGACTTTCCTTGGCGGCACCCAGGATTCCTGCTTGTAGGAGGGTGGGCTCTGCCACCTTCAGACTTCTTGTCCCCTGCCCTGGGCTTGGAGGGCAGCAGGCTCCCACATTCCCTGCTCGGAGTGCCGCGCGGACAGCTCCAGCCGCACATGCCAGCAGCCACGAGGGGCCCCTGCAGAAACTGTGCCTCCACCGGCATCTTTGGCCTGGGCAAGGAGGGCCAGGACCCAGGTACCCCTCTTAGGCCCTGCTGATCATGATGTGACAGCCTCCCGCTCAGCCTGCTGCTCTGTGGGGATGGAGGAGATGGAGGCAAAGAACAACTCTGGGAGCCTAAGAAGGGAGGCTGTCTTCCTGCCTCATGCGCCCCTGGGAGAAGTGAAAGTTAAAGGTCCTGGACTCACCTCTTATGAAGGTATTCATCCCCCGACTGCCCACCCCGACACCCTCCCACACCCATACACACACATGAACCTGCGTAACACACACAGGCACGTACACATAGACACATGTACACATGCACAAATCCACATACACACACACTATACACATACACATGTACGCAAACACACACATATATAATATACACATAGACACATGTACACATGCACAAATCCACACACACATACAATATACACATACACATAGACACATGTACATATGCACAAACCCATACAAACATGTACTTACACACACACATATATGTACACACAGGCACATACGCATAAATGTACAAATCCACACACACAAACAATATACACATACACACATGTACTTCAACACACACACAATATACACATACACACATGTCCCTACACACATATGCACACATACACATATGTGCACATGCATGCACACATACATATGAATACACATATGCATATGCATACCTACAGACATATATCCCCACACTCATATACACACACACTCAGCGTTCCATGATGAGACTCCTCTGTAGACCTCAGACTTCCCCAAACCTGGGTCAAGAAGCTACAAAAAGCCTTTCTGAGCCTCGAGGGCGTCACCGTGAGAAGCAGCAGCCCCACGTCCAGCCTCCATCGCCCAGGGGGGTGGGAGACAGGCATGCGGCAGACAAGCGTCCTCACAGCCAGTGGGACCCACTGTCTGGACCATCCCCTGGGATCACCTGTTTGGCCGCCTCCGCTGAGCTGCGGCGGAACTGGCGACTGTGCATTTCTCATGCTTGCATCCTCCCCTGGGAGCTGTGGGCCGAGGGGAGCAGAGAGGGGTCTGCCGGGGGAGGGGCTTCTCACAGGCGTGACTCTCTCTCCCCTTGAGCACTGCTCTGCAGCCTGGGATTTGATCTAGGGCAGAGCCCTTCCCAGCCCGGAGGCTGAAGAAAGGATTGCGGGCTCATGCACAGAGCCCTGGACAGGGACCTCCAAGCTAGCTCAGGCCTCGGTGACTGTCCTTCAAGCCTCTGAGATGCCAGAATGGTGCTGGGGGATGGAGATCCCTGCTGGGGATTCTGTGGGCAGAAGCGGCCCAGACGGTGTCCATCTCACTGGGGGTCTGGGCACCCGCCTCCCTGAAACTCCAGGGACAATGCCTCCCTGCCACCCGCCTCTGTGCTGGGGATGAAGGGGCTGGGGAACACCTCTGGGTAGAAGGGCCTTCGGCTGAGGTCTGGTGGAGGTCCTATACAGAACAGGTGGGCACAGGCAGACACATGTGGGCATGCCCTTGGACACCAGCCCCAGGTCACGGAACCCCCCTTCACCTTGTCTTCCTGTCACAAAACCTCCCTTCACCTTGTCTTGCTGTCACAAAAGGCCTTCATTGGTAATGGGAATACACAAAGCCATCTGTTCTTCCTAGAGGCTGGGTTTCCAGGAGAGACCTGCCCTGAGCTCCTGGGCGGTCACGCCCCACCAGGGCTCCCCTGCATCCTACGCTGCTCAGCTGTCCTGAGCCAGCCCAGCCCAGCCTGGTCACCATGGGCACTACAGAAATGCCCGGCACTGCTTCGGGGGCTCCTGAAGCAAACAAGGAGGCTGAGGGGGTGTCTCCCCAAGAGAAGCGGCCCATCCCCCTCCCCCGGACTCCCCAACCTCAGGCACAGGGCGCCTCTCTTCACGGGCAAGATTCATTCACAGGTGGCTCCACCTCCATGGTCCTGTGGGTTCGGCTCATTTGAGTGCACACAACGGACTCATATGGCCCAAGGACACTGGCCTCGACCTGGCACCAGGTTGGTAGTCATCTGACCAGCAGTACACAAATGAACAGACTGCAGCAAATTAAGAGAGGAACTAAGACGGCAAAGAACCAGGCGTCGAGGGAGAGAATAGCGGGAGGCCTGGTAGGCTGACAGGTCAGCGAGGTCCAGGGGATGAGAAGGACCCTGCCATGCAAGGAGCAGGACAGAGCTGGGATGGAGGCCTGTGCAGCTGGAGAGTCCTGAGCGAGGGCGGAGAGGAGGAGAAAAACACCAGCAGGAGCAGTGGGGCAGAAGCCAGCCCCTGTAGGGTGCAGCTGGCCGGGGCAAGGTGTCTGGGTCTTATCCTGACTGCAGTGGGCGTCACCTGAAGACTTCTTAAATGGGGGTTCCCATTTACCCTCACCCTGCCCCATGACCTTGACCCAGCATGTCTGGAGAGATGGGTCCAGAGAGGCATGCATTTCTTGATGACAAAAGAAAAAGGCCCCAAGAAGCAGGGATCCGTCTGGGTCTCCCATCAGCTGGCCCAGAGCACACACACCCTCAATCTGCTGAGCATTCTGTCCATGACTGTCCACGGTGCACGGAGGCCTGGGCTCCATGCGCCCCACACCAAGGATGCCGGCAGATGAAGCAGGCTCGTCCCTGCTGCCTGCATCACACGGCAGGATGGGATCTTATCACCCATCATGGAAGATGGGTCTTTATAGGGGGACAAATAAGTCCAAAGAAGCATTCCAGCCCAGGGCAGGTAAGGACCTCGTGCCCCTGCCCCTTGCTGGCCTGACCTCTTCCTGGATGGAGGATGTGGGTGTGATGGTGAGGACACTGCATCTTCTGGGACTCCAAAGAGCCAAGCCCCAGACAGCCTAGAAGGTGGCAGTGAGGCCCAGGGGAAGGCGCACTGGCCAAGGAGTCAGAAGATCGAGTCTTGATTCTGGACTAAGCACAGGTGCCAGCTCCTTGAATTCAGCCCAGGTTCCAAAGGATGCAGGATAGTCTCTGAGCAGCCAAGGCCATGCATCAATGCTCAGCACTTGCCCTCAGGAGGCCCTTCCTTGGAGTACACTAACTTTGACCTGACTCACAGTACAACCAGGTGTGGTGATTCTGGGTTGGATTTGGGGCAGTGGGGAGGAGGGAGTGTTGCTACAGGTACGCATGTGAACAGCAGGGAGAGGTGACAGATGGGAACCACATTGAGACCCTACCTGGCCAAGAGGCTTTGGCCCATGAGATAACCCCCAGTCTCAGGGCCCCAGGAATGCACCAAGATGCATTCAAGGTGAATTTCTTGCTCCTGGAAGTTTGTGGTGAGTTGAGGGTGGATGGAGCAGTTCCACTCCTGTCCTGATTCCTGGTCCTCACTGCTGGCCTCTGGGCCTGGCCAACCTTTTCTTCCCCATGCCCCTCCTTTGGCCCTGACTCTGCAGATCAGCTGAAGGCCAGAGCAGGCAACGAGGGAGAGAGGGCTGGGTTGGCCCCTGGCACAGTAGGTGTGTCCTGCGGGGAGGAAGAAGAGGAGGTAGATGGCGGAGCTGCTTCACTGCATTCACATCCTGGGAGTGTGTTATGCGCAGGTGGGAGAGAGGCTGTGCTATTCCGAAGCTTGGAGAGGGGACCGCTGAGTCAGGGTACATGCGTATGGGGAAGGGAGAGAATGGCAGGAGGCCTACTGAAGAAATGGGGTTGAGAGGGAGGGGGCAGGAATGGCAGGGGGCTGGGAAAACTGAAACTGGTGAAGGGGTGAGGCCCAACACTTAAAATTTGGTGCATGTTATTTACACCAAAAGCAGACGATTTCACTCACCCAGATAGAGAAAAAAAATGAGTTTACTGCAATTCTAAATAGAGTCTGTCAGTTTAAAAGGTGGACTCTGGCAAGTCTGTGGGAACAAGCCTCCATTCACACCACAGAAACCACCACTGACCAGTTTCTATGTGCCAGGCATCGTGCCAGGCACCGTCGGGAGAGAGATGAGTAAGATGAGATGACCAATCCCCATCTACCGTGTGTGCACACAACCACGCATTCGCAAGGGTGTGGGCACACGAACACCGACATACACCTACCTACAGCAGAAAGCAGAATTGTAAATTCAGGGACAGCTATAACTCTAGCAGTTGGACAGGGAAGAGAGAGCTCTATACTCGTCCAGGATGACATCTCAGAGGAGGTGGCATTTGAGTTGGGTCTCCAGGGAGGAGCAGCAAGGACTCAACTGGAAGAAATGAGGGGAAGGACACTGACCAGAGAGACCTCTGGGAGTGCTCGATGAGCCAGGAGGAGGGCAGGAAACCTCTGGAACCTGAACCATTTCTCTCCCCACCAAGGCCTCAGTTCCCACATCAGTAAAACAAGGGATTGGCCCTTGACCATGAAGGTTCATTCTGGCTCAGACTCCATAGGAAACTCATTTCCACCCCTCCCTGGCATTCCAGGTGCCCCCAGGTAACCAGATCTTCTCTATATGCCACACATTCAGTAAGAACTAACCTTTCTCTGGGCTATCCCAAAGCTCCAGAAAGAGTGTAAATCCTAAAAAGAAAACTAATTTCACTGATTAACTTTCTATTGAGTCTATGATCCAGGAAAGATCTTGGGAAAAATATCCATGAAATAATCAAGCTAAGGAGATGAAAGACTGGAGTTGGAGAGGGAGGGAGAGAGCTGAGGGTAGCAGGTTCCCAGGGAGGAGCCATATTGGGATCATCCAGCTTGGAAGGGTGCTGGAGAGGATGATTGTAGGGTGACAACTGTGCAACAGGCTCAGAGACCCACAGTCCACCTGGAGAGGAGCATGGAGCCCCCAGGACAAAAATGGAACTGATAAATTTGACTGTGTTGAGAGGAGGCATTGTTAACCCCAGGAAAGGAAACAGCATAGTACGCTATGTGGCTCAGCTATGCACAATATGTTCTTTGTTACACTAAGGTAAGCACTGAATAGGCACAGAATCCCATACTGAGCCCCATTCTAGGTGGAGAATGAGAAGAGGGGAAGTATGTTGTATGTCTGTACTGCAAGGGTGCTGGCCTTGGTATCTTCCACAGTGGAAAGTAAATAGATGGTGCTTAAAATGGAAAGAAAATTTAAATAGCAGTATACACATCACTTAGCATATGGAGAGAAACATCAGAAGAAACAGCTAACTGTTGAAAGTGGTTGCCTCTCAAGAATGTGACTTGGGGGAAAAGACAGGGGGCTGCTGTCTTTCTTAAGAGCCTTGGGAGCACATTTGACATTTTAAGCCATAGTATGTATATGTATTCCTTTGATAAAAATTAAAACTAAATTAAAAGGAGGGAATAAATGTGCAATGCTCTAGCCATACTTTCTAATCATTAAGCTGTCTCAAAAGGCATGCACAACATGCCTGACTCTTTGGAGAGGACACAACCTTCACTCCTTTCTCCTTCTCTTCCCCATTAACCTGTATTTTTTTTCTCTTCATAGTCTTTAAGATCACCTCATTTATTAATTTGCTGGTGTGTGTGCTTAATCTGCCTCCTCCAGCAGGAGGAGAACAGGGACTGTCTTGTTTCTTCTGCATCCCTTGTGCTTAGTCCCCAGCACACATTAGGTGCTCAATAAATGGATCAACACTGAACAGTCCTGTGCCAGTCAATGGGTTTTCTAAGGCACCATCAAAAAGGCTTGAGCATTCAAAAGTGCTCGTTCTACTGAAAGTGGCTCAACCACAAACAGCTGATGAGGACCAGAGCCCAGCAATAAGTGGTGCTTAGGCACAATCACGCACACTCAAGCCCACATCCAGGAAGCAGCACGCTTGCTTAAGGTCAGCAATTAACGTCTGCAGGGTCAGCCAAACCGTCCTGAGACCACGTATTGGTCTTTCTGCCAATTATACCAGTAAGTGAGAGGGAAATGGCTGTCCAGTGGCTTCATGGCAATTGGGAACAGACCCACGCCACAGATGGCCAATGGAGGCAAGGTGTTCATCCTGTGCCAGCATGGGCGTGTCTCCGTGCAGGGGGTGGGCATCATCTCCCCTCAACACAGGAGCTCTTCTCTGAGTGAAGGGTGTGGCTGTCAGAGAAGCTGCAAATGCCACCCCAGGAAAACAGCCACATCCCTGCAAGTGCACAGGCCTGTGGGGCTCCCCAAGCTGGGATCTGAGGTCTACCTGGGCAGCGGGTGCCTTGCCCCTTGGAGCTTTATCTTGATGACTCTCTGTGGTCATCACTGGTTTTAGGTTTGTCTCCTGCCCTGGACGGACACTCGTGTTGTCTCTGCTCTTCTGCCTCTCCTCTGACTGTGATCCACCGTTCTTTGGGGGCAGTCTGGTCTGATTGATGTCCACTTCTTCCCCCGAAAAGGTATGTGCAGCATGGGCAGGGACTGTGCCGGTGGTGCCCACTCCTGTAGCCCAGTGCCTGGCACCTGGTCCTGGCACCTGGCCCAGCCCTGGCGGGCACAGTGATCAGCATTTATACGTCCAAGAGGCTGAATGCCTGAGTGGTGATGGTCCCCCTGCGATCCAGGATGGGGACACAAAAGGCTGCTCGGAGATTGTCATTTCAGAGAGGGAAAACGGAGGCCACAGAGGGAAGCGATACCTGCTGAGCCCAGCTGAGCCCAGCTGAGCCCGGCGGGGCTGGGGCTGGGAAGGGAACAGGCCTGGGGACTTGACTCCCAGTTCTGGGCTCTTTTAACAAATCAGGCTGTCCTGCTGTCAGAAACATGTGCCCGTCAGGCCTAGGGGTGGGAGGACACCCAGGTGCCAGGCACGGGGGTACCCAGCACCCAAGGGCTCTGGGGCCTGCTCTCCATGTGGCTGTAGATAAAAAGGCTTGTTTACAACAAGCCCGGGGCAATGAAGCCACCAAAATGCATGTTGCATGGGCTCCCTATGGCTGGGAACCCCCTCTGGAGTTTGGGGTCATTGACAGCAGACTTGGGGGCCACTGCTCGTGCTCATGCAAATTCAAGTAACACCCTCCCCGCCCAGTCCCCTGGCCTGGCTAATGTACCTCTTTAAGAAACCTCCCACCCCACCTGGCTACCAGGTCTGGGCAAGGTGCCCCTCCTCTGAACACCGTCTACCCAGTGCACAGGTGGGACTTGGTGAAGGCTTGCTGAGTCACAGGAGAAGTGTTATTTCACCTAATCTGCGTCTAGCAAGTGCTAGTGAGACTCTTCCTCCTGCCAAGGTCCAGCCCCCTTTCAGCCAGGCCTTGGACACAGATGTGAGGGCCCTGCGGGGTGCGCCTTCCACAGCTGCAACTCAGCCCTCGGTGCCGCCCGTCCCTGCCGAGGCCCGTGTCCCGGCAGCTGACACCCCCAGGTGCCAAGGCATCTCCAGAGTCACCTCCTCCCTGACCTACCCGATTCTAGAAACATCCTCTTGGCAACCTGGCTCTGAAAGGCTGTGTTGGGGCCATTTACAAAGATCTCTTGGAAATTCCTAGGACTCGAGGCTATGAGAGTTAAAAGAAAAAAAAAAGAGTAGGGTTTATCACTAAATTTTCCTTTTAATGGTTTTGCAGTGACATGAGATACTTTTGTTTCCTGAGAGAAAAGGCATGTTTTAGATGAATTATTGACCAAAAACAATTGGCCGTGAGCAAGAAATCCTCCACTTCGCTGGAGAGAAATGTGGACAGGCAGCTGGCCTGAGTGAGGATGCTATCTCTTACAGCCCCAGCTGAGGTCAGCGCCTGGGGGGGCAGTGGGGAGCACTCTGCTCTGTAGGCGGGGTTGCAGCTTCTGCTGCCTCCTTCTCTCTCCACCAAGGGGTTAGGCCGCCCTCCCCAGCCTCCTTCTAGGTGGGTTTTGGCAGTATTGGGCTCTATTTCTGCCTTCACCCTCAATGAACACAGTCCCCTCTTGTCATTAAATATCTGTCTGCTGCACCAGGGATACTCTCTCTGGACTATGAAGACCTCGAGGTCAAAGGGCTGGGTCCTATTCCTCGGTGTCCCCAGGTCTTGGTCTGCAGATGGATGCACAGCCTGGTGCAGGGCAGCAAAGGGGCTGCGCAGCATAGCGTCGGCTTACACCCCAACTGCCTGCTTCACGGGCTTTCTGCCCTGTGCCCCCGGGAGGCCGACCTTACTGACGGTGTGTCCTGATTCCCCTGCTTCTTGGGTTTGGCCAGTGTGAGGCACCCACGGGAAACCTAAGCATGGAGAGCTGCTGGGAGCAATTCTTCCCCCTTCCTGCCTGTTTTGGGGCTGCTTCTCTGACAGTTCCAACCGCAACTCCTGCTAGGCGGCCCTTCTCCTAAGTGCGAGTCTCTCACGAGGTTCCCACGGCACTAGTTTCCCGCTTGCCTGTCTTCCTAGAGGTGCTAACCGCCCCCACTCTGCAAGTCCCTGAGTGCCTCACCTGCCCCACTTGCTCTCTGGGCCTGCCCAAAGCGCTGGAATAATCCTCGCCACCCGCTGGAAGAAGCCCCATCCATGCCCCAGAGGAGCACCACCCACACCCCTGGAAGAAGCCCCGCCCACACCACATAAGGATCCCCGCCCATGCCTCTAGAAGAAGCCCCGCCCACGCCCTGGTGGAGCCCCGCCCCTGCCCCTGGAAGAAGCCCACTATCTGAAGTCTGGTCCACTGAGCCATCTGGGATGAGTTCTGTTTTTTCCAGGGTGCTAACAGACCCAGGAGCCAAGAGCTCAGAGAAAGTGGAAGAGGACAGACAGGAGGCCCCTCTATAGCTGCTCTGAGATGACGCCCCTCACACCCTTCCTGGGAGCCCCCAGCCCACCTGAGACAAAGCCCAGCAGGCTACCGCTGAGCAGCACTGCCCTAGTGAGCTATTAATGTGAGTTTGTTCTCTTTCCCTCCTCCGGTAGAAGCAGGTAGCACATTTCTTCAGGGGAGGTTTGGGGCAGGGAGGGAGGCAGAAGTGGCTCAGGTGTCTTTTGTAAGAACACGAGTTTATATTAAACAGATTATTCATGTTGAGCCTCTCCCAGGGGAAGTGGGGCGTGTCTGCAAGGAGACTGGCAGCCATGGCCTGGTGGCGCACACTCTTCCCCCAAAAAGCAGCTACCGAAGCTAATCTTCAGTACTTCCTAGTGTCTAGTCACGGGCAAAGTCACCACTCAGCCTGGTGACAAAGGCCTCCCCAGTCAGGCTCACGGCTTCCCAGCCTCATCTCCTGCGTCGCAGGGGCTTCCTGGTGTCCGGCTGCTCCCCTCACAGGTGCCTTGACCTAGAATGCCTCCTCTGCTCCGCTGCTTAAAACCCTCCTCCCATTCCAGCAGGCCCTCAGCTCAAATGCTTTATGGTCCAGATCAGAATGCACCGTGACTCCTCCGGGCAGCCACAGCGGGCTGCCAGCAAACCTCGCACAGCCTCATGGAGCAGCCTGTAGGCACAGCCTCTGTCTTACCTCTTTGTATGCCCACCAAGCCTGGCACAAAGAAGGTGCCTACAAAACACGTGGGAATTGGATTAGCTATGTCCCCTGGGAGACTCCAACCATCCACTTTGGTTTTCTTTCTTCCTTTTTTTTTTTTTTTTTGAGATGGAGTCTCGCTCTGTCGCCCAGTCTGGAGTGCAGTGGTGTGCTCTCAGCGCACTGCAACCTCCGCCTCCCAGGTTCAAGAGATTCTCCTGCCTCAGCCTCCTGAGGCTGGGATTATAGGCGTGTGCCACCATGACCTGCTAATTTTGTATTTTTAGTAGAGACGGGGTTTCACCATGTGGGTCAGGCTGGTCTCAAACTCCTGACCTCAGGTGATCCACCCGCCTCCACCTCCCAAAATGCCGGGATTACAGGCGTGAGCCACCACACCTGGCCCCACCTTGGTTTTCAAGACTAAGCCGCTACCCAGAGTTACAGGGTCTTAGAGCATTGGGCCTTTCTGTCTGTATGTCCTTCTGGCCTCAAAGAAGCACAGACGGACCTCACCAAACCCCGAGTGTCCCCTCTCCCACATCCCTGAGGAAGGGCAGGCAGGAATACCGAGGTCTGTTCTTAGCCCAACACTGGAGTCGAACTCGTCAATAACCCTGAAACACGGTGTGTAGTCAGGGCTGGGCTTTGGAGTATTTTTGTTCTGGGTTCAATTTCTGACTCCATTGCTCACCAGTTGTGCCACCCTGGGCAGCTCTCCAACTCCTTAGAACCTCAACCTCCTCTGCAAAATGGAGCTGACTGGGAAAATGTAGGTGGAGATGAACTAAGAGAACGTTGGTGAGGAGAACCCAGTGCCCGGCTGAGGTATTGCTGATTACAGTTATGCCTGTGTTATTTATCAGTGTTTTTGGAGACTGCCCTGCAGCATGTGCATTTTGGGCAGAGGGGGCTCTGAGTTTGGGTTCTCGGCTGGGTGGCAGATGCCCAGGACATGGCCTGTCCTGCATGGAGCCGCCATGCCCGGGCCCTGCCGCCAGGTGTCCTCCCTCCTGTGCCCCGTTACCAGGACGCTCCTGGTCTATTGGCTTTCTGTGGCCCCCCATCCTGTGTGCCTGACTTGTTTTAAGACTTTTACCTTGATATTTTACTTTCTGCTTTTGAATTACTAAAGTGAAATCACATAGAACAACCAACTTAAAGAGTAAACTTAAATATTTTAGATGTTAGGAATGTTCTTAATGTGGCCCTCTAATTTTGGGAGTCAGGAAATGTTTTAAAAACTTCCTTAGAAATATTATATTGTTAACAACTCCTATGACTCTTTGGTGTTTTGCAACATTTTTGTATTTTTCACGTTGCACTGGGCCTGACATATAATTGGTGCTAATCAATTGCTTGTGGAATCAAACTCTCTAAAGTGACAGAGACATTATTTCTGAGATCAACTTTAAAATATTTCGGCAATGAAAAAGATCAAAGGAAAAATAAAATAGATATAGCAAATACAGCAAAATCTTGATGAACTGTTGAATCGGGGTGAGGGTAGATGGAAGGTCACTGTATATTCTTTCTGCTTCTTATATGCTTAACAACTTTTATAATTTAAAATAATGATACGGGATGTGTGTAGGAGCCCCAAGCCCAGCTGGGGTTCCCTTCGGCTTGAAGCTGGGTGCAGTGAGTGAGCACTCACCTTTTTATGGCTTTGTAGCAAATGATGACAAGCACAGTCAGAAACACCAGGGAGGCACAGCATACGGCAATGATGATCACCAGCCCCGACCACCAGCTTTCCTCAGTGGGGCAAGAGGTAGAGTTGGGAGCTGAAAAAGACAGGAGCAGCCTGAGTGTCACCTGGATGAGCTGGTCATGGCCAGTGACAGAGGTGGGACCATCATGGGTGACACCAACAGAGGCGTGGGGAGGTCACTGGTGGGACCATCATGGGTGACACCAACAGAGGCGTGGGGAGGTCACTGGTGGGACCATTATGGGTGACACCAACAGAGGCATGGGGAGGTCACTGGTGGGACCATCATGGGTGACACTAACAGAGGCGTGGGGAGGTCACTGGTGGGACCATTATGGGTGACACCAACAGAGGCACAGGGAGGCCACTGGCATCCATCACCTGGCTGAAGGCTCCCTGACCTTTCCGGCCATCCCTGCCCCCACCCTGCGGCAGGTGACATCATGGCTGGCCCCCAGCCAGGCTGGCCTCTGAGCGCCTCCATCCCTGCCCCGGCGTGCTCAGAGCAGGGGCTGAGCGCCACGCCCCAGGCCATCCATCCTCCCTCGGCATGAGCTAACTGACAGCAGGGTCAGGTCTAATTCCCCATAAAAAATAACAGAGCATCTCATTCTCTCAGCTGAGGCACTAAATCTGGTTCCTCTGCAGGCGGGGGTGGGGAGCGGGGCTCACAGGGGATGCTGAGGGAGGAAGGAAAGAAAGGGAGGACTGCCAATGTCCGTTTCTTGAGCTAATTTCTTGCAAGACGCAGACTTTCTCCCTTCTTGGATTCAGCCCGTGGGGTGGGTATTTGCCGCTGTCTCAGTTTGCACGGGGGTGGTCAAAATTTGGAAAAGTGTCACTGACAAGGCACCGGACACTGGTGCTCCAGGGCCCTCTCTTAGTCACTCAATCCGTGGAGTCCTTGGGGTGAACCTGTCCTCCCTCCCTTGGCACAGGCTGTCTTGGGGTGGACCTGAAGGACTTGTGTCAGTGAGGCCGGTTCGCTTTCCTCTGAGAAAAGCAAAGACATCACACAGCCTCATCCCAGGGCTTCTGGGAAGACTCAGACACAACTGGAAAGGAGTGCCCAGAATTGCAAAAGGAATGGGAGGGAGAAAGGAAGGAAGTGAGAGGGAAAAGAGAAACAAAGAGGAAAGGGGATGATGAGGGAGGAAGGAAGGGATGGACGGATGGATGGATGGACAGAGAGACAGTATTAACTTTGGACAGGTCTCCAAGACGTGAATATATGCAAAAGAATCAGAAATACACCCCAGACTTGGTGTCCACTCTATGATAGATACTTTGAGGGGTGCAACAGTAAGTGGGGAACCAGGGGATGACTTCCCAAAGGGTAATATGGATGGCTTCATTATTATGATTTTTATCAAAGTGTAATCTACATCTAGTGAAATGCACCCCCCATCTTAAAAGTACCATCCTCTGAGCTTTGACAAATGCATGCACCAGTGGAAGCCGCACCTTCAGCATGACACAGAATATTTCCAACAGCCCAGAAAGTGTCCCCGTGCCTCTTTCTAATCAGTCCCACCCTGGGGCAACCACTATTCTGATTTCTAAAATCACTGATTAGATTTGCTTGGTTTTGACATTCACATACATGGAATCATGCAGTGTGTATTTTTTTTGTTCCTTTATTTAGCATAGCGTTTCTGAGATTCATCCATGTTACTGTGTATTTCAGCAGCTCCTTCCTTTGTTGCTGAATAGTATTTCTTTATATGAACATATCACAATTTGTTGTTGTTTTTTCTTTCTTTTTTTTTTTTGAGACGGAGTTTCGCTCTTGTTGCCCAGGCTGGAGTGCAGTGGCACGATCTCAGCTCACCACAACCTCTGCCTCCTCGGTTCAAGTGATTCTCCTGCCTCAGCCTCCCAAGTAGCTGGGATTACAGATATGCGCCACCATGCCCAGCTAATTTTGTATTTTTAGTAGAGACGGGGTTTCTCCATGTTGGTCAGGCTGGTCTCGAACTCCTGACCTCAGGTGATCTGCCCACCTCGGTCTCCCAAAGTGCTGGGATTACAGGCATGAGCCACTGTGCCTGGCCACAATTTGTTTATCCGTTCACCTGATGACCAACACCTAGGTTGTTTCCAGTTCTGACTATCTTGAATAGAACTGCTATAAGCATTTGTGTACAAGTCTTTGTACAGACACATTTTCCTATTTCTCTTGGATAAATATCTAGGAGTGGAACGGCTGGGTTGTGTGGTGTGTGTATGATAAACTTTAGAAGGACATGCCAAGCTGTTTTTCCTGAATGCTTGTACCTTTGTACATTCTGTGCAGCATGAAGAAAGGTGGAAAGAAGGAAGAAGATGGCAAGAAGGGAGCAGTTACTGATTTGTTGCAGCTGGATTAGGAGATCCAGGGAGCCACTATGTGCTTCCTAGTGAACCAGCACCGAAACCCCACTAACAAATGCAAGGTGCCTAGGAGTGAGCCTCAGGTGTCACAGAGACCAAGTCGAATCAGAAATTCTTCCTGATGGTGGTTCACGCCTGTAATCCCAGCAGTTTGGGAGGCCGAGGAAGGTGGATCACCTGAGGTCAGGAGTTTGAGACCAGCCTGACCAACATAGTGAAACCCCGTCTCTACTAAAAATACAAAAATTATCTGGGCATGGTGGCAGGCACCTGTAATCCCAGCTACTCAGGAGGCTGAGGCAGAAGAATCGCTTGAACCGGGAGGTGGAGGTTGCAGTGAGCTAAGATTGTGCCATTGCACTCCAGCCTGGGTGACAGAGCAAGACTCCAGCTAAAAAAAAAATCAATAAATAAAATAAAATAAAAAGAAAGAAATGCTTCCTGAGAGATGGCTGATAGGAGGATGCCACTGGGCCTCTCAGTCAGGGCAGCACCAGGCCTTTAGAAACCTCAACACTGAAAAGATACAGAATATAGCATTGAAAATAGGAATGAACTCTAAAATAAGAAAAAGGAGACCCAAAGGGATTCTCATTTTCCCCATGATGAACTTGTTCAAGGCTTTCTTGGTGAAATATCAAACAAAAAATCCTTCCCTCCAATTCCTCACCTTGGGGTATCCCTGACTTGGCTGTGTCTTCCTGGGGTGATGCCCCCACCTTCCCTACACTCTGGGAAGTCAGAAGTCACTGCTGGAGAGTCAGAAATATAGCCAGATCATCCAAGGCTGTTCTGTCTACACTGCACCCCTAAGCCTCAAAGGTCTACCTCCTCATTTTCACCACAAAGGGAAGCAATTTTGGTTTCCATGGCTCTACTTCTTCAGGCTGTGACACCTCTGGGAGAGACCCCAGGGCCATGCCTGCCACCAATGGTCCAGGACCACAGACAGTCACACCGACACTCCTGTGGCTGGGGACAGAGCTACCAGTGTGTGGTCTCAGCCAGGGGCTGCCACACCCCCTCCAGTAAGCACTTGGAAATATCGGAGTGGGTGCTGTCTTTGGTTGTTGCAATGTGTGATCCCAGCAGCTACGGATGTTAATGACAATGAACTGGATACTCTCACACAAGGCAGAATTGTCCCTTGAAAAATACTAACAGGGCCCCTGTTGAGAAATTTCATCAACTTGATTGATTATAAGCCTCATAGGGAATTTGGCACTAAATTTCACAGTGCCTCTCTTCTTTACATTCTCTGTTAGTTAAGTGGGAATTTTCTTTTGCTATTCCTTTTCAAACATAATTGATACTGAAAGCAGTGAGCCCATGGTTCACAGTATCCTGCACAGGGTCCCCTCTAATATTCTGCAAGCACACTTATCACCGCATGTGTATGAGAAAACTACCAGAGGCAAAAACACTAACGGCTATGAAATGAGGGAGGCATTTTGTGAAACCTAGTGAAGGCATACATCTTGGATTTTGCTCAGAAAGCCAGCTGTTGTGTTCAAAGAATGCATGCTTATTTATCCTTGCTTGAGTCAATTAGAGAATGTTGGAGCTGGAGGAAGTCTAGGAGGTGTTATTTCAGAAAAGAGAATACAATATGGAGTCCCAGGATCAAGAAGCAACTTTCCCAAGGGCCGGGGTTGGGACCCTGATCTTTGGGCTACAGCTGGGTCTATCCCTGCCTGAACTTCCCTCCCATGGGGTGTGGCCAGCACCTCTTTCTGGAGGTGCTAAGACAGCTTACATGTGTACAGACTGATGGTTCATATTTGAGAAGATAGCATCATGAAGGTGCTCATTCAGTCATTTGTTCATCCAGCAAACTGAGCACCCTCGGTGCCTGGCAGTGTGCTGGGATCTGGGAGTACAAAGATAAATCAGACGTAAACTATGCCTTTACCAGGGCTGGTGCTAGCCGCCCCATGAATTATTAATTACAAAGCTAAGACCTGATCATCTTGCTCAGGAGTCTCCGGGGGAAGAGGCACGCATGAATTGCTAATACAGAAGGTGAAGGTTATTTCAGGGATGCGGGTGATGCTTTGTGAGAGACAGGTGGTCAGACAGGGAGGCTGAGACAATCAGAGAGTGCCAAGTTCCAGGACTGAGGCTACCTGGGCTCTCTGCCTCCTCTGTCACCCCCTCTACCTCCCAGCCAAGATTCTGCAAACACAACAGAAAGGCAGGAGTTGACATCTCAGGGGTCGCAACACCTTGTCTTCCCCGAGGCTCAGTGAGGCTTTGTCCGCTGTATTCATTTAACACTCCTGACGCCTGTAAAGACGATGAAGCTGGCAACCAGAGAGAGCAACTGCAAGCTGCCCAGGCTCAGTTTTGCTTCATCAGAGGAGCAGCTGTCTTCTCATTATGAGATGCATCGTTAAAAGCTTTGGACTTCTGCTTCCAGCCAAGATGGAGTAACAGGGGCCAGATCTGCCCTCCTGTCTGAAACATCCAAAAACCATACCAAAGATTTGAAACAGTGGTTTTTAAAAGAGGCAACCAAAGACACTGATTTCCCAAGAGACGATGAAACAAATGAGGTGAGTCCTACCATAGGCCCAGCTCACTGCCTTGAGAGAGTTTCCAAAACAGTAGTGCAGGAAGAGAGAATCCGCAGGGCCTGGCCAGCTCCATAAGTTGGAGAGATTCAGCTGAGAGTCCAGAGAGTGAACAACACAGATGAGGTCTCTCCCCAGGGGAACTCTGAGAAGAGTAGAAGCAGCCAGTGGTGAGCAAATACACCAATAAATATATAATGGCACATCGTGGCAAGTGCTGGGAAATAAATAGAAAAGAGAGGTCCCATGGATGTTTGCAGAAGAAGCAGGTGGGGTGGGTAGCTTTGGATGTGCCCACCTGTATGGGGTCCAGGGAGGCTAAGGAGACCAAGGAGACCAGAAAATTCCCTTGGGCAGGGTAGGGGAGGTGGACGTGTGGACCCACCCAAGGTCCAATGCATGAAAGGAATGTGTGAGGTCAGACAAGCCCTCCAGGTACTCTTGGTGGCAAATGCCTCCCCTATCGTCCTCATAGGGTTTTTGTGACTATCAGAGGAGATGATGGAGGCAGCCTTTTGGTGGGTACCAGGAGTAGGAAAGACTTCAAGACACTGCTAGGCACAATGGCGCATAGCTCAGTTATATTCCCCTTTCAGAAGTGGAGAAACAGGCCACACAGCCAGGGGCCTTGCGACGGTACTCACAGCTAACTCAGTACATACTAATGTATGACCCGGGCAAACAGCTTTCCCCGTCAGAGCCAGCTGTTGGAGAGAAGCTGCACACAGGAGGTGCTGGACTGACAGGAGGGAACAGAGCCAGGGATGAATGAATCAAACAGATAGCGAGTAGGTTGGAAACAATCTCGGTTTTGCAAGATATCTTTAAATAGGAATGCCGTCTGAGTCTAGAAGAGGGGAGTGAGAGCCATGTTCTTGGTTTTAAAATTGCTTCTCCACTGTGAGATGGAGGCTTTATCCACTGCTGGGTCTCTTGACCCTGTGAGTGGCAGCCCACTCGCCCCCATGGCTCCCTGGTTCCGGAGCACAGCCTGAGTACCAGACATTGCTGGTGACACCATGGGCATGCTGGGGGCCTCTGGGCCTCAGAGGCATCATTAGATGGCTCTCCTAACTTTCCAAGTCTTTGGGGACTCAAGCCCTGGGCTGCATGAGCAGCTTCCTGACTGTTCCCCAGGAGCTGAAAGGACCTGGCGCTTCACTGGCCTTGATTGTAGTCAGGTGGGAGCTGTCACTGCAGTTGCTGTCTCTGCTTCCGGCTTCCTGAGCAGCCCAGCTCCGGGCCCATCAGGCGGGTCACAACCGCTGACAATGCAGTCTAGTGCCACTTGTCTAGGACCCCCCTGTGCCGTAGAGATCAACCTCCATCTCCCTCAAGGAGCCGATGTCGGTGAATGTGCTTCCCAAGACTCCGAGGTTAAGTTCAGCCTTTGCTGTGGGAAACCGAAGGCAGAAGCACCTGGGCTGGGAGTTGTTTCTCTGTCTTAAAACCAGTGTGGGCCTGGTGACTCGGCCATGGGGAGCAGAGGTGAAAGGAGTCACAGCCCTGCTTCAGGGACAGTCTCATGGCACCGCTGGTCCTCAGCGTGTGCAGGGGTCCCCTTTGGCACCACTCCCTCCCGCCCACCAAAGTGTCTTGAGGAAACTGTCCAGAATGTCACGGAAAAGTGCAAATGCACGGGACTCGGTGCGCGCTGAAAGGGGGCGGGACGCTGAAAAGCACTTAGGAACGTGTGTCCTCTTCGGCCCTGCCTCAGCCAGCTTGCTGAAGCGCCCGCTGGTTTTGTCTGTCTCACAAGGACAGTGTGGGGGCCGGAGCTTTGCTAAAGATTTGTGTGATGCAGAGTCTGTTTTGTAGACCCTTTGGACAGAGGCAGAAACTGAGGATCAAAAAGGGGAGGACCCTGCCCGAGGCCACACAGGGACCAGACCCAGGTCCTCTGGTCTCTCAGCCTCATTTATGAACTGCCCCCCAAAGCACCACAAAGGACGCGGTTTCTCAGAAGTCTCTTCTGGGCTGACCACCCTTTCCCTGCCTCAGGGCCCCCAGCCCCAAGGCCACTGAGGAAGGAGTGGTGTGGGGGTGGGGCCGGCCACTCTTCTGCGGTGCCTGCTCCCACACCGGGTCCCATTGTCTCAGGGACACAAGGGCCGCCTCTCAGGCCACTGCTCTCCATTCCTGGGCACAGGGTGCCCTTGCGGAGGCCGGTGCCAGGGCGTCCACCTCCTATGGCGGCTGGGGGAGGTCTGGAGAGCCAGCCTGGGTGCGGGGCTGCTCACTCACTCCTCACCCCGAAGGCAACCAGAGCATGTGGGCCGCACTTGAAAACCACAAATACAAAATCAGACCTCGATGCCTTGGCCAGCCTCTGCAACAAGCCCCTATTTCTACAGAGAAATGAGAAATCTCCTTTGGGATGTGACTGGATGAACACGGTGCCCTTGTGCGCCTGCAATTCAGGGCCCCCCCACGCCTTCTCTGCCAGTGGGAATTTGGCTCAGGCTTCTGGGTTTAGCATGGAGACCCCCTGTTTCATAAGTCTCCCCAATTCCTCCCTCCAATCACGGATTCCTACAGCAGGAAGCTCTTGGCTGCCCATAACCACAGGTGAGAGGCACCCGTGCCTGGCCCATGCTTGACAGAAAGCCAGGGAGGTGCATTTAGCCTCCCTGGGGCACAGAGCTCCTGGGGGTGCCTCAGTGGCCTGCCTTTTCCAAAACTAAGGGACACACCCTTCTCTACTGTGCAGGAGGGAAGCAGCTTGTGGGCACTGTAGCCTAAACGGGTCTCTTGCCCTGCAGCCTGTAGCCCGGGGCGGGGGTGGGAGGGGAGTGTCCCCGGGAAGTGATGCTGGCTTGGCCTGTTTTGGGGCAGTCTGTCTCTTGCCCACCTCCCCCATACTGCCTCCTGCATGCCAACCATGCCCCTTCCTGCCCCAGGAAGCTGGGCTTCGGTGGCCGGCAGCACTGAGCACGTCCCCCCTCTCACCCACCATAGACAGGAACAGTGGGCCTGTGGATATGCATAACGCCTTGGTCAGCCTGTGGTGGGTGGTTTGGCAGGAAGTCAGACCTCAATATGCCACCAGGACGGTCTCAGGGCTCCAGAGCAGCCCAAGCCACAAGGGTGGGCCAGGCTGGACTCTTCGCTGAGCTTCATGGGGAGAGTTGTCAGAGCCCCGGGTCCCACCCTCACTGCTGTACGAGTGGCCCTGAAAACATCCTCTCTGCCCTCAACCTCTTCTCAGCAACTGCTTTGTGTGTGCAGCGCCTTTCAGGCCCCCAGCCCCAGCCTGGTGGGCCCCCTGTGCTGGAGGCATCCAGCAGGGAGTGGGGCCTCCTTGCCCCACGCTCCTCAATACCGCTGGGGCAGTGCCTTCCTCCTGGCTCAGGCCCCCACCTGGGCATTCCCTCTGCCCTCTGAGTGGCCACATCCTGTGGCTGCTCCCTTCAACCCCCTCTCCACCTTCTTCCTGACTCCAGCCCTGTGCTGGGTCTGCTGGGTTATCACGGTTGTCCCATCCCCCTGCCAGCCCCTCCTTCCTGGGATATCACATCAGCTGCCCAGTTCAGCACAGTGGTTATCCACACGGGCTTTGAATCAGAAGTACCAGGAGTTAAAATCCAGATCCTGACTTTGGGCAAGTCATTGACTCTGTTAGATTTAATCTCAGTTTCTTCCACTGTAAGTCGGGGGAAGGCAACAGAACCGCCTCCTCAGAGCTGGTGCAAAGACAACGTGAGAGACACGATCAGAGAGCCAGCAGCAGACACCCCTCCGCCGCTGCCCCCATCCTTCCCCTTCTCCCTGCAGAACTCTGATTCCCCTCCTATATCCCCCACCCTCCAGAGGGCCTAGGCTTTGGGAGAGGCGGGCTCAGCCTAGGAGGTCGGTTTTCAGGGGTCGCAGCCGGGCCTGGTTGTTCCAGTACTTATGCCCCTAATTGGTTTAGAGGTCATAGAGTTCCCGCAAGGACAGGAGAGGAAAAGTCTGCTGGGGGCTCCTGGGAATGGTTTCCCAGCTCTTAAGGGAGATGCAGAGGAGGTGGCTTCTCCTCCTGCACACTGCTGTGTCCTTTACTCCAAAGCTGAGCAGCTTATGGGGGCTGAGGGTGCTGGGGTGCAGGGTTGGGGGGCTCTCAGTGTGACGCACGGTGGTCAGGGTCAGTCTCCAGAGGAGACACTGGAGCAAAGACTGGAATTCGGCAGGGAGTTCATCATACAGGTATCTGGGGGAAGGAATGGCTGGAGTGCAGGCCCGGAGGTGAGTGTGGGCCTGGCAGTTCTGGGGAGCAGGAAGGAGGCCAGTGTGGCCTAGAGGGAGTCGCGAGGGGAGACTAGAAGGAGATGGGACCACATGGGGCCATGGGGATGCCATAAGGAGGCCATGGGGAGGACTTAAGAGAGGGTGGTGAATTCTGACCTACAGGTCAGCACAGTCCCTCTGTGTTTAAACTGGGTGTGTGGCGTGGGGGAAGGGCGGGAGGCTGCGGGGATACTGCTGATAACCTAGCAGCGAGATGGCGGGGCTCAGACTCAGGGTTCTCCGCAGAGGCGGTGAGGAAAGGTCAGAGTCTGGAAATGCTCTCGAGGTGGATTTCATGGAAATGTGGATGTGGGCAGCAGACACAGAGAGGAGCTAAGGATGACTCTGAGGGTTTGGGGCTGTGCTTGTGGGAGGAGGAAGCTGTCACCAACTGATGGGGAAGATTACTGGGTCCGTGCAGCTTTGGGACGGGTGTGGAGGTCAGGTGTGAAGTCTGAAATTGTCACACACCACGGGAGACAGTGAGAAAGCAGCTGGGGCCGGACTCTGCGTTGAGAATCGAGAACTGGAGGCAGGCATTTGGCAGTGGCCAGCACCTAGCCCTGAGACTGGAGGGGGTTGTCAAGTGGGAGAGGGTAGGCAGAGGGGAGAAGAGGGCCAAGGCCTGGCCCTGGGGCACCTCAACATGAGGAGGTGCAGAGGAGGGTGACAGGGGAGGCTTGTGAGGAAGGCGGCCCAAGCCATCCGGTCCTGCAGCCACGTCAGGAAGGGACGTCCAGGAGGAGGGGAGGTCAAGTGTGTCCACCGCAGCTGATGGTCAAGTACAGCGAGGCTGGGAGCCAGCCATGGGATGGTGCCACGTGGCAGTTGCTGCTGGCCGCTGAAAAGTGGTTTGGCGGGAGTGGAGGGAGGAAGCCGGATTCGGGGAGTCAAAGAGAGAATGAGAGGAAATGGAAATGGTGGGGATGCACAACTCGCGGTTCAAGTTTTGCTGCAAAAGGGAGCGGCATCGTGGAGCCATATCTGGGGGGAGAAGTCATGGGAAGGATTTCAAGGCAGGAGGTGGAGTGTGTGAGTGTGTGAGAGTGTGAGTGTGGGGGAGTGTGTGAGTGCATGGGAGTATTGTGTATGAGTGTGTGAGAGTGTGTGGGGGAGTGTGTGAGTGCATGGGAGTATTGTGTATGAGTGTGTGAGAGTGAGTGTGTGACAGAGTACATGGGAGTGCATATGAGTGTGTGAGTGTATGAGTGTGTATATGAGTGTGCGAGTGGGAAGTGTGTGGAGTGCAAGTGTGTGGGAGAGTGTGTGTATGAGTATGTGAGAGTGTAAGGGGACTGAGTGTGTGGGAGTGTGATTGTGTGTGAGAGTGTATGAGTGTGTGTATGAGTGTGTGTGAGTGGGGACTGAGTGGGAGAGTGTGTGTATGAGTGTGTAAGAGTGGGGGACTGTGTGGAGTGTGATTATGTGAGTGTGTGTGTATGAGTGTGTGTGTATAAGTGTGTGAGTATGAGTTGGGACTGAGTGGGAGAGTGTATATGAGTGTGTGAGAGTGGGGGACTGTGTGTGGGAGTGTGTGAGTGTGTGTATGTGAGTGTGAATGTGTATGTGTGTGAGTGCGTATGAGTGTGTGAATGTGTATGTGTGTGAATGAGTGTGCATGAGTGTGAGAGACTGTGTGAGTGCTGATGGCTGTGGCCCAGGCGAGGGGGAAGAGCTGAGCCCAAGGGGGCCTGTGCCCGGTGTGTGTGATAAAGTGAGAGCAGGGAGAGAGGGGTGAGGGGCCCACAGGGAGCAAGGACAATGCTTGGCCAGATGACGAAACTGAGATTGAACCCAGACAGTCTGGCCCCAGGGCCAACCTGTGACGGCTGCATAGACACAAAGCAGGCAAGTCCCCGCATGTGACAAACGGCCAGGAGAGACGCTTTGGGGGACTGGAGGGAGCAACGCAGTGTGTGGAAAGGGGCGATAGGGCCACCCTGGGCATCAGGAAGGCCTCTCTGAGGAGGCGACGTTCAAGCTGAGCCCGACAGGGTGCAGGAGCAGTCCTGTGAGAAGGTGCCAGCAAAGGAAGGAACGGGGGACACAGGCAGCGGCACCGGGAGCCTCTCTGCCCCCCTGGCTGGTGGCCGAGGCCCTTCCTGAGCCCTGGGTGAGGGGCTCTGTGCCCTTCCATCTATGGCTCCTTATCTGTAGCCTGTGCTCTGCGGGCCACTTGCTCCCCTGGCTTATCTATTTCTGCCTGGTGCTCTGTGCGCGGAGCCCAGTGTGGTGGCAGATTGGCTGCTTATCATCAAGGGCACTGTTCTCAGGCTCGGCTCCTGAGGGGACATTAAAAAAAACCCCAATACATTATTAATAATTGTCTCCATCATTCCTGTGCCTAATTAGGAAAGGAAAATTATGAATCGGGCTTATGTCTCTTGGTGGGGGCAGCCTCAGCTTTTCCCGGTGCAAGGGAGGGTCTGGGTGGAGGCTGGGGCAGGAGCCGGGAACAGCAGGACACTGCCTGATAGAATTAATTACGCTTCTGGTAGCGACTGGAGAACACGTCCCCCTTGTTTTTGCCCAAATAGCCCTCTTTGTTAGACTCCTTAAGGCAAGGCCTTGTTACTCAACAGCATCTACTCTCTTTTAGTAGCTGCATTCCACCCTTTTTCTGTCCTGGCCCTTGGTCCCCTCCCCAGATCTGCCAGGCCTTCTGTTCCCACCAGGGCTGCAGACGCACGGCTGCGCAGAAGGTCCGCATACTTGCCAGCTTTAGGGCAGCCCAGTGCCTTTGAGAAGCAACGAGAGGGGGCCACATGCAGAACTGTGCCCACCCACCCTCGCTGCCTTGATGACTCCTCCTCATTCAGCTGCGAATCCACTCACTGATTCGCTCAATACACATCTGTTAAGAGCCTGCTGTGTGCCATGCACCATGCTAGCACTGGGGACAGGATGGACCCTGTCCTCATGACGCTTATAATCTACTGGAAATTGGACATTCATTAAATCATCACCAAGTAAATGCAGACTGATTCCCAGCTCACCGAGACACTTAACTACATGTGACTTTGGTAACAACAACAGGAAGCTGACAAACAAAAATGAGAATGACTTGACATGGAGAGCCAGTGTGAGCTGACTGAACGTAATGAGCTCATCTTTGCTTGTGAGAGCTCGTGACCTTGGGAAGGGAGAATGCTCCCAATGGTATATATTAAACGCCCAGCAGAGCCCCAGCACCTAGTTGATGCTCAATAGATTGCTTTCTCTCATGGGGGCACTTAATTAACAGGTGATGAGGCTGGGTGCAGTGGCTCACACCTGTAATCCCAGCACTTTGGGAGGCCAAGGCAGGAGGATAGCTTGAGCCCAGGAGTCTGTGACCAGCCTGGGCAACATAGCAAGACAGAAAGTTAAAAAATTAGCTGGGATAAGTAAGCTGGGTGCAGTGGCTCATGCCTGTAATCCCAGCATTTTGGGAGGCCTAGGCGGGCAGATCACCCAAGGTCAGGAGTTCGAGACCAGCCTAGCTAATATGGTGAAACCCTATCTCTACTAAAAATACAAAAAAGTAGCCAGGTATGGTGGCACATGCCTGTAGTCCCTGCTACTTGGGAGGCTGAGGCAGGAGAAACAGAATCGCTTGAGCCCGGGAGGCAGAGGTTGCAGTGTGCCGAGATCGTGCCACTGCACCGTAGCCTGGGAGATACAGTGAGACTCCGTCTAAAAAAAAAAATTTGCTGGGATAGTGAGACAAAAAATAGTGCGACAAAAAATTTTAAAATTATCTGGGCATGGTGCTGCACACCTGTAGTCCCAGCTACTTGGGACTTGCACTGGGAGGCTGAGGCAAGAGGATGGCTTGAGCCCAGGAGTTTGAGGCTGCAGTGAGCTATGATGATGCCACTGCATTCTAGCCTGGGTGACAGAGCAAGACCCTGTCTCAAAACAAACATGACGGGGCCCTCATGAATGCTTCATCAGGTAGAACGTGCTCTGTCTAATTTGTTGTAATCACTTTGCAGAGGGGTTCAGGGTCAACTTAGACCAGTGGTTGACACTGATCTGAAGGCCAAATCTGGCCCACCACCTGTTTTATAAATAAAGTTTTACTGAAACACAGACACACCTATTTGTTTACACCTTGTCCATGGAAGTCTGTATGGCCTGCAGAGCCTAAGATACACTATCTCGCCTTTTACAGAAAGTTTTTTTACCCCTAATTTAGAGGAGTCTTAACCTGAGATTCTTAGACAAGCTTAGAAGAGTGGTCTGAAAGTGTCCTGAAATTATACCACAAATTTGTATTTTGCAAGTAAACAACCCACTCCTTCCGTATTATTTTTAGAAAGGCCCTTTACCCCAAATGTCACACCAAGGCCTAGGTGGAAGTCTCTGGGCATGGGGCACAGGGCTCCATCTTGCCTCGGAGTTTTCATGGTGACAATGTGGTCAGAAAGCAAAGCACAGCAGAAAGACAGGCACAAATTTGGATCCTGACTTGGCCACACCATACCCACTAAGAAACCCCCAGACAAAGCACTTACATTTTACAAGCCTCAGTTTCCCATCGTCAAAGGGTGACAACATTCCCTGGAAGGCTCGGGGGAGCTGCTTCCCACCTGCTGGCCGGGACGCAGGGACTCTGCTCTGGAGGCAGAAAAGCGTCACCTGAAGCTACACGTCTGACTTTTCGGGCACCTGCAGCCCTTCTTCAGGGTCTGCACTAGGGCTGCCAGGGTGGCTATGCACAAGGTGGGGAGCCCAGGAAGTGAAGTCCCATGCCCTGCAGAGCATCCTCCACCAGTAACTGACAGGTGCTAAGTGTGACAGCCTGGCTGGGGACAACTATAGGCTGAAATTGCCTTTGCAGGACTTGGCCTGAGATGGTGCTTTCACTCGGCTTCCCCCCTGCTCCACCCTACCACTTCCGTTGCCTCCTCAGTCTCTCCTGGGGAGCACTTCATTTAAAAATTCTTGCGTTAGGGTCTGAGGACAGGTTCCACATCAGGAACCCCAGACATGAGGTTACCAAGATGCTGAAAGCTCCTGGCCTCCTTCTAAAGCATCAAACAAGAGATGAAATTATATCCCAATGAGATGCATGTGAACTTTCCACATTCTAGATGACTCCTTCCCAGGACCACCCTTTGCTAGTCTCTGGACAGAGCCTAAGTCCTGTTTAAAAGGGTCCTGTAGGGTTAAGCTAAGAATGATTTGAGTCCAAGTTGGGACCAAAAAGGGATGATGACACGGCTGAGAAGAATCACTGCTGCTCAGTTGGTCTTTGTTAAAAAAGGAATAAACCTGAAATGTCTGTGGCTCTGGGACAAAACCATACGTAGTATTGAAGAAAACAATATCCGTATTGACAGTCCAGAGCTGTGTTGTCTAATACAGTAGCCACCAGCCACATGTGGCTACTTAAATTTAAACTCCTTAAAATTAGATACATCAAGAATTCAGTTCCTCTGTTGCACTGGCCATATTTTAAGTGCTCAATAGCTACACGTGGTTAATGGCTACTATTTCGCACAGCACAGACCTAGATCATTTCCACCATCGCAGAAAGTGTATTGGGCCGTCCAGAGTGTTGGGAGGTGGGATGCTCGCTTCTCTTTCCAGAAAGGCAGCCAGGAGCCGTTTTCTTACCCTACTGAAAGCAAATGGAGACAGCCACCCGGATCCTGCCAGTGCTACCTACTTTCAAAGCACATTTTCCTTAGATTCTTTTATTTGATTCTCAGATCCCTCCCCCTCAAACAGGCAAGGCAGGTATCATTAGAACTATTTATAGATAAGGAAACTGAGGGTTCCGAAGGTCAAAGAAGCAAAGTCACAGAGCTGCGAGTAAAGTCACAGTCAGGGCTTGGGAGACCGCAGGAGGGAGACCCCCCCGCCCCCGGCAAGCCAACGCTCTGCTGAGCTGGAAACATGCCAGGTCATATTCCAACCCCACGCGGGGCCCCTCACTCCCTCTCTCTTTCAGCAGCCACGTGGCTTGTTGAGTGGAACACCTGAATCTAAAAAGTACTAAGTACTCACTATATCTTCCTGAAAATAACAAGCAGAGGGCTGCCCCGGCTCCAGCCTCCTCAATGGGCAGTTGGGCCACTGTGGTGAAACAGGGCCAGGCCCCAGGCCCACGAGAACTCCACCAGTGCAATATCCAAAGACAATTTCTGTGACGCTGGCTTGTCCAAGGATAGGGCACACCGAGACTTGGGCAGGTTTGGCAGCCAGCTCCTGCCTGGAAATTGAGTTCTCTGTCTGGACAAGCAGCCCAGTCTGAAGATCCGGGGCACGCAACCTGGGTTATGGCACTGTCATCGAAGCCCTTTGGACATCTGCAAGTCACTTCACCTCTCTGGACATCAAATGCCCATCTGCCCAATGGGAGTGGTGACCTTGGGCTAGGGCAGGGATCCTCAACATCGACATCGTGGACAATTTGGACTGGATAGTTCTTTATGGTTGGGGCTGTCCTGTGCACCATAGAATGCCTCGCAGCATCCCTGGCCTCTACCCACTACATGCCAGTAGCACCCCTCCCCCAGCTGCGATGACCAGATGTCCCCTGGGAAACTAAGAGAGCCACAGGGCTGGAAGATGGCCAGGGCTCTTTCCTGGCTTCTGCACTTGGTGGAGACTGATGCGTCCAACACAGGCACAGCCAACAGTGCCTGACTTGGCCTCCCAAGTGCACTGCACCAATCCCAGCCAATTGAAGGAGTTAAACTGGATGGCCTTCCAGCTGGGACATTCTGAGATTCCAAGCCAACTGCCTTCAGGATGACCCCTGGCTACTCAGAGGCTGTGCAGTGGAACTGTCTGTAACAGGGTCCAAGAAGAAGCCAAGGCATTATTTCCAAGGCATCCATAATTCTCTCTGCCAAGTCCAGAGACAATGGGCCTTTGCCACCCACGGTCCAGTTCATTCTAAATCTGAGAACAAGGAACCCATTCACTCTTGGGAGGGGCAGATGGTACAGGGATAGGGGGTAGGCCAACATCTCTTCCAGGAAATGGTGGCCTCTGGCCTTCTCTGATTGCTGGCAGGGATGACACAGAAACTTGGGAGCAGGGAGCAGGCGCTGCTTCTATGGCCTTATTTTTCTCTGGTGGAAGCAGGGGGCAAAAACCAATGGATGTTGCTCACTGACCCAGCTAGCAGAACCTCGCCATCTTTCCCAGGCAGAAGGCCCGACAACAGAGCTTTCCCAAAGGCCACTGGAGACCCACCCTTGCCTAAGTGGAGAGATGATGCTGCCCCCTTTGTGGAGAGGACTCCTTTGATAATGGAAGGAAGGTGTAGGTGAGCAGGGCAACTTTGACCTATTCCAGGCAGAACAGCTCCCAGTTAAAGTGCACGCTGCCAAACCCCCGGAAACACGAAATCCCACAATGTGAACCAGGAACTGCCTTTCCCTTCATAACAGATGCTATGATGGCGATTTACACAGAGTCACGGGCACCGTTGCTTATGTTCATGCAAAAGGCCACCCCTCTGGGCTGGGCCTGCTGTGCTGTCTCTGAGCCTTCGCTAGGGTTTGTTTGTTACTTGCCATCTGCTGGCAAATGAGCAAATGCTTAAGGTTTCAGAAAATTTTATGGAGGAAAATATTTATATTAAAGGATGTTCACTTGCTTAATAAAAACGTGATGATAAGAGTTGCTAAGCACTTGTCATGCACCTTGCCCAGGTGACATCTGATTTAAGTTTCCTGATCCATCAGGAGCTGTGGGTGTCACTGTCCCCCTTGACTGAAGTGAGAACAAGCTCAACGAAGAGCTTGTGGAGCTCTTCACAATCCCAATTGTGGAGTTGGGATTCTGGGACAATCTGACCCCAAAGTCCATCTTCTTTCTATCATGTCCCACTGCAAACCAGGCAGAGACCACTGCTACTAGATTTTTAGCAGCAGTGCCTTGGTCCAGCATAAAAGATTTTAACATTGCCTAGGGGGGCCATGGTGGGGGGGGCCTTGACCTCTGTCCTCTGGTCCCCGCCTTCTCCAGCCCTCTATCCATCCCTCCCTAGGGCAGACAGCAAGACTAAACTCAACCGAAGAGACTGTGATAGGTGAGCAAGACCAGAGAGGGCAAAGCTGGCCACACCCACACCTTGGATCATAGGAGGGAGGGAAAAGGGAATTAAACTTCTCGGCAAGGGAGAAATGTATATCATTTTCAGGACAAGTTCTTCCCCTTTAATTCCTTACAGTCATGAGCTCCCAGAGCACATTATTTCAAAATCCAGTGGACATTGAGCCCCTCAAGAACCCAGTCACTGCCACCCACTCTTTATTTTTCATGACAGCCGGCCATGCAGCTCACCATAATCGACTGTTCCATCACCTTACTTTGACAGGGACATGAATGGGGTCTCAGAGGTGAGGGCTGCGTCATACAGACAGGGTGACGCTTCAGAAACCAGCCACGTCCACCTGCTTTAGAAAACCAAAGTTACCAGAAGCAAGCGCCACAGCAGCTGAGGCCTTTGGGAAGGCACGGCTGGCTTGGCTCCTCACCAGGAAGTGAGGTGAGGTCTCGAAAGCTCTCTGGGAACTGACATTCCCAATTCTGGACTCTCCTGAACCATAAAATATAACCAATAACCTGGAAGGTTCTAGAAACATCCAGAAGCTGGTCAGTGGGGGAAAAAAACCCGAGGCCTAAGAGTTAGCTCAGGTGCTCCCTCCCCAGAGGCAACCATTGGAGGAGGTAACCGATTCCCATGTATCTTTCAAGATGATGTGTGTGTGTGTGTATATATGTATCCTGAGTGCGAGCACCCTGCACACGCCGGGATGCTATGACTGTGAGATGCAGTGCACATTCCACTTGTTACCTGTGGCAATGCTTTCACATCGGTGTGATGGGGGCCACCTTCTTTTTTTTACGAGCTGAATGGATGTACCACAATTTACCTCACCAGTTCAGGAGAGGCTGTTTTTCAGATGTAGGACTCCAACCCTTTATTGGTAATTTCCTAACCCAAAAAGCAGTTTGATGCCAAAACTAACTGAGTAGGAAAACCAGAGCCGAGTAGGAATGGGGTTCTTTGTGGTCTTGGTTCATCTCACTTAGTGTGAATGGCTACATATTTCACTAGAGAAATATCGTTGGGCACTGGACTGCCTGGTGGTGTTACTTCATCTATGGTCTATACATGGTACTACTTTGCTAAAATTTGAAATATTCCGATTTCCAGAACACACCCAGACAAGGCATGTACAGCCCTTTTCCAGTACTTCTGGTAGCTGGAGACGTGGAAAACCAGACATGATGGGCTCCTGTGGCCTTGGACCTTGGCCCAAATCCACTGTGGAGACAATTCAGCATCCCTCCCACCCCCCAGAGCCAACCCACAAGGGTAATGAGAACCCAGCATTGTACCCACGAGTGCCTGGCGAGGTGAGGAAGGGCTCGCCATGCACCCCAGAGAGCAGAGATTACTCCAGCGGTTCCGTGGCCCTACTCTTCCCCACCCGAAGCTCTTCTCCCACACGCAGCTGCCTCTTCTCTCCTTCTCTCCCTCCCTAGCCTCGTGCTGTCTGCAATCCAGGTTGAGAGCCCTGTGAGATGCCAATTTTTAAAAGACAATAGAGAAATCTGGATTTTTTTTTAAGTCTGGGTCTTGCTATGTTGTCCAGGCTGGTCAACTCCTGGCCTCAAGTGATCTTCCAGGCTTGGCCACCCAAAGCATTGAGATTCCAGGTGTGAGCCACCTTGCCTGGCCTAAGATAAGAAATATCTTTGATTTTAAATACCATTTCTTTTCTTTTTTTAAACACTGGGCGTGGCTCATTAGTGCAGTATCTAATGGCTGCCACTGCTGGACTTCTGAGGGGCAGTGGCCCAGGCTGTGGCCTCAGACATGGATTGATTTTAATCTATCATCTCTCTGGGAATAAAGGAGGGAAATGAAGCTGTCATCCTAAAAAATGGAAAGTAAAAAATAAATGCAGCCTTCTTAGGTCCTGGGGCTGTCCTCTGCCTCTCCCTGGCTTGCCCGGGCGTCTTACCCGAGGGTGGGCAGGAGGAAAGGTCCTATAGCTCCTGGCCCCGGACCCCGACCCCGCCCCGGCCCTATCGATGCTCTTCCCCACAAATTGATCAGTCCCATGCCTTCAAGTCCCAGCCAGATGCCAACTACTCTCATGTGTACAGCATCGGCCCCAGCACGTCCCCCAGCCCCCTGACTTCCATATCCAGCTGCGACTCAGTGTCTCCACTGGGGTGGTCCACAGGCCGGCTCTGGGTTCCCTGTCCAAAACCAACCTTCATCTTTCCCCTGCCCCTCTCCTCCCCCAATCCTCCATTCACCCAGCTGCTCAGTTCAGGAACCCGGGTCTTTCGGACAAGCCTTCCCTTAGCCCTCCCTCTGTTCAATCCAGCAGCAAGTCCCCTTCAAACGTGTCCTCCACAGCAGCCTCTGGGCCAGTCTCTCTGCCTGCCCTCCACGGTACCCAGGGGGTTCTTTGTAAAGTGAAGTGAGATCCTATTACATTCCCGCTCAGTGTCCTTCAAAGGCTTCTTACCAGAGATAGAAGAAAACCCAACCTTTTTATCATGGCCTTTGCGAAATATTTCTCCCATTTGGGTCACTCAAGTCTAAACCCTTGTAGGGAAGAATCTAGAAAGTTTCCAAGCAGTGACAGAACTGTCAGAGCCAGCACGCAGTGGGAACACTTCCAAGTGGGGATGGAGAAATTGTGAGACGTGGGTTTAAAAAAAGGAAGGAAGGAAGGAAGGAAGGAAGGAAAGAAGGAAGGAAGGAAGGGAGTCCTCTTACTTAATGGCTGCCCCTCTGACACGGCCGCACTTGAGAACCATCAGCCACCACCACCAGCTCGAGCTCACACTCCCGCCGATCCGTTCCCTTCGGAGGGATGGGAGGGATGAGCGGCTCTATGGACACGTCAGAGCCGGCTAATCCCACAGGGTTTAAGTGGCCCACAGAAAGCATCTCAGATTAGTTGAATAAAAAGATAAACTGCTTTGCTGCTTATAAGGACCAGAATGTTCTCAGAGATGGGAAGAAAATCCTTCATGTATTTCTGACTGTGAAGGAGTCCAGGGTTCCGGCCTGGGGTGGGGGCTGGAGGGAGGGGGCTTCGCCCAGCAATTGGTCTGTGGTTGAAGGCCACGTGGTGACAGCTGGCCTCTTCCTTGTGTGGAGTCGTTCAAGCTCTCTGAGTCTGTGCAGTGGGCTGAGTGGTGGGCTTTGTCTTGGTGGGAACATAAGTTTAGTGGAAATGGGGAAAAAAAGGAATGAAGGGAGAGGAAACGGAGGGAAATATTTTAAAATCTCAAAAGCAGGAAGATAAACCTGGTAGCTCTTAATGCCATTCGATTCTGCTATGTTTAGGCCAAGAACTTGAAGAGAACCCTGTGTGTGAAGGAGGGAGCCTCTCCTCACTTCTAAGAGGAACACATGACGGACACTGTTGGTGTCCACCCACAGGTTCCCTTCGCGGGGAGCCGATGATGCTTTGATGGGGGGCCTAGGAGGCTGCTCTTGGCCTCAAGGCAGAACTTCCTTTGTGAGGCTTCTCACTCCAGAGATACGGGGGGGTTCCCATGGAACATTCCAGCTGAAACCACGCCCTGGCTCATTCCTTCACTTTCCTGTCCTGCCTCCCTCGCTTCCTTACAGCTTCCTCCTGGGTACACCCCTGTCTCAGCTCAGCTTACTCGGCTCTGCCACTAGGGAACCAACCAAAGACAGGATGGCCAATGAAGTCTTGACACACATCAAGTCTTTAAAGACGCGGCCTAAATATGAGCAGCTGACCACATAAGATGACAAAAAAGTTCCAGTGAAATATTGACATTTGGCTGGGTGTGGTGGCTCAGGCCTGTAATCCTAGCACTTTGGGAGGCCGAGGCAAGCAGATCACTTGAGGTCAGGAGTTCAAGACCAGCCTGGACAACATGGCAAAACCCCATCTCTACTAAAAATACAAAAATTATTTTTAATTTTTGTATTTAAATGGTGGTGTGCACCTGTAATCCCAGCTACTTGGGAGGCTGAGGCACGAAAATTGCTTGAACCTGGGAGGTGGAGGTTGCAGTGAGCCAAGATTGCACCACTGCACTCCAGCGTGGGCAACAGAGCAAGACTCTCAAAAAAAAAAAAAAAAAAGAAAAAGAAAAAGAAAAAGAAATAATCGACATTCAAAAGCAAAGAGTAGAACAAAAGCCCTGATGAAGGACACAGACACTCTTGTCTTCCAGCCACTTAGAATGTCAGTAGCCACCAATGTGGAGTCCCTGGATCAACTCAATGTGCCACCTATTTCCTAAGTGTACCATGAGCAAAGCATTGTGCAATGGACTCTGTGGGGTGGGTTCAGGGATGATGAGGGCCCACTGTCTACCCTCCAGAGGCCTGCATGTTGGTGGGGTCATCAAAGACCACCAAAGACAATCGGCAATGCTACCTGCCCGCTCTCTGTGGGCTTGGCCTGGGTTTTGAATATTTTGCATCTCTCTGTTGTTGGCAGGTAGTAGGTGTTCAGTAAATGGTTCACAAGTGAATCTGGAATAGCCCAAAACTATCATACAGCAGTGAAACAGAACCATCAAAACAGACAGCTGTCGCTTTCCATGATAGCAACGGGGGTCACTGAATTTTCCAAAAATGGAAAGAATCAACTCTCCGCAGGGCACGAGGTTAGGACTTGAAGTCTGGCTGCTTGGAAAGGAGGCTTGAGGGCTAAGCAGTTGCTCAGCGGGTCTCTATTGGCTTATGGGGAGGGACAGTTCTCTGTTGTGTGAAACTGTCCCTGCAGTTGCATGACATTTCTCATCCCTGGCTCCTGCCCAGTAAATGCCGGTAGTGCTTACTCCCTAGTCACTGTGGCAACCAAAACCTAGACACCCCCATTTCCAAATGCATCCTAGGGGGTGTTTCTACCCCTGACTGAAAACCACTGGTGGGATAAAATCTGCTCAAGGTGAGAAAGGGAAGGAGAGCGAAGGGCGGGGCGGGGGGCAGTCCATGCATATATGTGTGTGCGCGTGCATGTGTGCGTGTGCATGTGTGTGTGCGTGTGTGTGCATGTGTATTGTGTGTGCATGCACGTGGGAGGAGTCACGTCAACTTGCAAAAAAGAGAGCATGACGGAGAGGGCTAGAGAGGGAGGGGAGGGAAAGGAGAAAGAACACCTATGATGAGAAGCCTCCCTGAGTGTTCCAGGACGCTTTGCATTTCCAGCACAGACGGAGCTTAGAATCTCCTCAGCCCAGCCATTCTCCTGGTGGAGTGAGAAGGCAAGTGGCAGCTCTGTCCCCGGGAGCCCCACAGACCAGCGAGAGCAAGCAGTGGGGAGGGGGAGGTGTCCCTGGCAGAGGAGCTTCTAGGAAGGACGTGGTGTTCACCACCCTGCCCTGCTTGGCAGAGGCCCCGGCCTGGACATCACAGTCTGGAAGCTTCCCAGACAGGCTGGCCTGAGACACTTGAACCTTTACTGGGCTCCTCCTCCAGGGGCCGAAGGGCAGCACAGATGCCACAGCCAGGTCACAGCCGGTGCTGACAAGCTGCAGGAAGGCCCTTGCCACAGGGCAACAGCTGCCGTCCCCGAGGGCTGCCTGACCATATTTAGACAGGAGCAGACGGAGAGGCAGCATAAATCAAGCCCCACAGCCTGGGCTGCCAGGGGGAACAAAACAAGGCAACGTCTTGGCACAATCTTTGAAATCAGTGGTTGCCACAGTGAGGAACCGAACACAGACACACACATGAGCGGGGAACTCGGCCTCCTTCCCATCTCCGTGAGATTCATTGTCCTACCTCGACTAACTCAGCTGCTCAGAAACCTTTAGATCTTCCAGAATCACAGCCAGACTCCTCTGCCCATCCACCCTGAGACAGTTCCCACTCCTGTTACCTCCCCTAAGTGGGACTGTACTGAGGTTCCCCAAAACCTCCTATACCACCCGTCTTCGTGAATGCCATTTCTTCTACCTGGAGCATCTCCTCCACCCACCCTTCCACCCCTCCCTATTCTGCTCTTCAGAGTCCTAACTTTCTCGGAGGCAGAGTTTAGTGCCACCTCCTCCAGGCAGCCATCCCTGATGGCTCACGGCCCATCTACAGCACTTGGTGCCCATTGAATTCCCTGCTGGCTGACAGCTTCTTATCCCCTCTTGCCTGGCTGGTGAGCTCCACCAGAGCAGGGAGCAGCTCTCACTCATCCTTGGCTGCTCCACCCAGCACCTGGTGCACAGGAGGTGCTCAGTACACACTAGCTGGGTCAATCAATGGCCTTGCTGGCAGATGGCCCCAGGGCCACCAAACTCTTAGCAAACACTTGTTGGCCTCACTTTCTCATCTTCCTTCACACTACATCTGGCACCTATCACCTCTCTCCCCCTCCATTGCTGCCCCAGTCCAGCCCACCACTTCTACCACCTTGACAACATCTATAGCTTCTTGACTGGTCTGTTGCCAGCCCTCTTACTACCCCCACCCCAATCTATTCTCCACTCAGATGCCAGTGATTGTCTTAAGAAGCAAATCTGTAAGTGTCATCCCTATGGTCAGAATCTCTTCAACAGTTTTCCATAGCACTTGAAAAAAAAACCCACCTCTGGCTGGGCGCAGTGGCTCAAGCCTATAATCCCAGAACTTTGGGAGGCCAAGGCGGGTGGATCACTTGAGGCTAGGAGCTCGACATCAGTCTGGCCAACATGGCGAAACCCTGTCTCTACTAAAAATACAAAAAAAAAATTAGCTGGGCATGATGGCGCACACCTGTAATCTCAACTATTCTGGAGGCTGAGGCATGAGAATCGATTGAACCCAGGAGGCAGAGGTTGCAGCGAGCGGAGATTGTGCCACTGCACTCCACCTTGGGCAACAGAGCGAGACTCTGTCTCAAAAACAAAAACAAAAAACCCACCTCTGTCCTATGTAAGCTATGGTTTATAAAGCCCTGCATGATTTTGGGACTAACCTCCCCAGTCTCATTTACACCACTGTCCCTCGTGGTCACTGTGCCCAGCTGTGTGACCTTCTCTGGGTTTCTCAAACCCTGATGGTTGTACCACAGGACCCTTGTATGTGCTGTTCCCTCTGCCTGGAATGCTATTCCTCGTCTTCAAGGGGCTAATTCCTTCTCCTCCTTCCAATATCAGCCAGCTCAAAGAGAGACCTTCCTGGGCATGCCTTCTCTATGGAAGGTAGGGCCCTCTCTGTAGTCTCTATTCCCGCCCCAGAATCATCCCTATATCTCCAGCTCCCCACCCTCTCCCACAGCATCTGGCCCATAGTCGGTGCCCAACAGATGTTCACTGAGTGAATAAATGACTGAACGGACCTCATGACCACCTGCAGTGACCTCCCGCTGGACACCCAGATTCCATTTCTTGGTTCTTAACTATGAAAATTAGAAGAGTTTTGGGCTGTGCACTTTTTTAGCAAAAACCAAGAGTGGCTCTTGCCTCCCAGCATATTCCACCTCTTTCTGATTTTCTGTTTCATTTGTCAGCACTGATTTCCTTAGGACACCCCTCACATGGTATTGCTTACAGACTCTGACTGTTGTTCTGTATCCACAGAAACAACCTCCCTCGATGGTCAGAGGGGCCTTGCCCTGGGCCAGGGCCTGGGCGGTAATGTGGAAGCCCAGGAGGCAGCTTGGGGACACGCCAGTCCTGGGACCCTGTGGGATGCAGGTGGGGCCGGCCCCACCTTCCCAGCCCAATCCAGCACTTCCTGACAGTGACGAAGCTCTCTCGACTTTGCACCAAGAAGCCCTGATGTGATAGTGCTCGTCTCCCACCCGGCAGATGCATAAACCATTCCCCTCCCCTTTTAATTGCACCAGTAGCCAGTCATTTACTGGCGGCCTCATCAAATCCCTGCTGGGATTGGAGCTGTTGCTCGGTGGGTTGGCTGGGAGATGAAATCAGATGGCCTCGTCCTGGCTCCAGCACAGCCCCCCACCCCCCAATCCCAGGCCCACTCCAGGGAAAAGGGTCCAGCTATCTTCTCTGTGCCCTGTCCTGTTCCCCTGGGACACCACCCATCAGAACCAGGCTGACTCAGAAGTACAGTAGGCTCCCATCCGGAACCCAACCATTCTCACATCCCCCCTGGTGCCACCTGGTCCCGGTGGCTGTCACCTGTCCCCCAAGTCACTGTGGCAGGCTTGTAATTGGTCTCCCTGCTCCTGCCCTGACCCCCACAGTCTCATCTCAGCACAGCAGCCAGACTGTCCAATAGGGAGTGAGTCAGATCGTTCCTGTCCTCAGCCCTACCTTACACGGGCTCCCCACTTCACACCAAGTCAAGAAACACCCTCTGTGGGCCTGTAGGCCCCACTCCATCTGCTTCTTCCATCCTTGTCTCCTGTCCCTGCACCCAACTTCACTCCAGGCACATAGGCCTCTTGCTGCTCCTCCACCCCAGGCCTCAGCCCTGGCTGTTCTCTCTGCTGGGACAGTCTCCCCAGGTGCCAGCCTGCATTGGTCCTCACCTCTGCCAGCCTCCACTCAAATGCCACCTTCTCTTCAGATTGCCACCTGACCCGACCCCAGCTTGTTCTGCTGCATGCTTCCTTTTTCCCATAGCACTTGCTGCCTCCAGCACACTGGATAGCTCACAGGGCGAGCATATCCATGGCTTTCTGGTCCCTCTGCCCCCTGCCAGCATATGAACTCAGGATCTATTTTGTTCCATAGTGTGTTGCAGGCTCCTAGTATACAGAAATGCTCAAGAAATGTTTGATCGAATAAAAGTCTGCCCCCCCAGCATTGCCCCTGCCTCCCGAGCCTCAGCTTCCGGCATCCCGGGGACTCTGCCTCTAAACCCCCGATCAGTGCACACACCTGTGACAGCACTGGGGGTCCCTGGTCATCTCTGGCCACACCCATGCTGCTCCCTGACCTTTGCTCATGCCATTGCCTACCCTGGGAGGCCAGCTCACCCTTCTGAGGCTGAGCTCATCTCTCCCCACCTTCCAGGCCTGCAGTGAGCTCTGCCTCCTCCCTGAAGCCTCCCTGGACTATTGAAGCTCACACCACCGATTGTCTTCCATGGCCCCCAGCCGAAGCAGCCATTTGTTTCAGAGCTGGCTGCTCCCTCCTCCTTCCTTCCACTCCACTCTGCAGCTTGCAGGTGCCAGGCCTAGAGGAGGGTTGAGGGAGGAGCGGGTAAGGGGCAGTGGGGGTGGATGTGGGGTGGATGCGTGCCCCGTCTGCTAATCGGTGAGCACTTCCGGTCCTCAGCTCCTTCCCTTGGCTCACAAGGTCCCAGCACAGTTTTTGGCTCTTCTCCTTCCCTCTGGTCCTCTGCTGGCTCAGTCCCCACCGTCTCTTCTCCCGCCCCACGCTCTCCCCAGTGATCTCTGATGGCTTTGGAGCCATAGCACTGGTGCCTCCACCCCACATCCTTGGGGCTAGCCCGGGCCTCTGTCCTCAACTCCAGAGGCACCAGCCAATGCCTCCTCTGCTGTCTCATGGCACCTCCAACACCTTGTGTCAAAGCCTGGGACTCGGGATCTCCGTGTGTCACATTCTTCCTCCGAGAGAAGCATCTGATCAGACACTGGCACCCAGCAGTCCTCCTCCCTCATACCATGTCTGGTCGGTCACTGAGTCCTGAAGGTTCTCAAACTCCCACCCTTCTAACCCCCCAGCACTGCCTGGCCCAAGCTGCCGTTCCCTGCTTGGAGACTAAGTCCAGAATCTGCAGGCTGCCGGGCTTGGCCCGCCCTCACCCCTCTGGCTCATCTCTCAGAGGACAGACCAAGCTCTCTGGCCTCCAACCTGCAGGTCCCTCTGTGGAAGCACAGCCCTTCTTCCCCTCCCCCACCCCCGCCTTCAGCTGAAGAATCGTCTCCCATCCCAGCCCAGCCAGCACCTCCTCCAGGACACCTGCCCTGGTCGGACACCTCTCCTCTCAGCCAGCCCCTCCCTGGGGATTGTTTAGCCTGCAATTCCTGCATGTTCTGCCCCCCCGCCCCCAAAGCTGTCCACAGGCATCTCAAACTCCACATGAGAAAAAACAGAACCCTAATCTTCCCCCGTGAACTCTCCCTGCGGGTTCACCATGTCTTCTCCACTGCGTCATCCTCAGTCTGTGACCACAATGTAGTGCTTGGCACACTCGGTGCTCTATAAATATTTGTTGAATGAATAAATGTTTGTGAGTGATTTACTGCTCCTTAAATATGTTATTTAGGTCTCCCCATGATAGGAGAACACTTGCTGAAATGCTGATGCACTTTTTTGAGTGGGAGAGAGAGGTGTGGACTCCTAGCTAGAGCCGCAGAGGGGAGAGAGGCATCCAGTGTGAGCAGGTGTCAGGTCACCCATGGCAGTCACAGCGGAAAAAGGTACTGCCCGTAGCAGATGCTGCTGGTGCCTTCCAGCCACATATATCTGCCCAGGAAAGTGACTCTGACGTTTCCTGGACCAGCTCTTAATTGTGCCTGGTGGGAGGCAGTGCATATATGCCCTGGCTCCTGCAGGATGGGGTAACTCTCAGGCATGTATGCACCATTTCCCAGAGCTCCTGGGGGAATTGAGCTGGGGTTATTGGCTTGACATAGCACCCTTTACTGGCTACTGTCCCTTCCCCGTTGAGTCCCCCCCACTCCCCTTTTGGTGTTTTCTGGGATCACCTCTCAATTAACCACTAGTACTTAAATCCTTGTCTCAGCATCTGTTCCTGGAGAAACCAAAACCGAGACATGGCCCCACATGCTCCCAGGCAAATGGCAGGCTCTTACAAAATGTAAGCCCCCTCCCTACTTCCTTTCTCTTCCAGAGTTGATCTTTCATCATTGTCATCCAGCCATGCATGCATTCATTTATGCAAACACTCAGCATGCACTTTCCATGTGTCCAGCCCTGTGCTGCCGCTGAGGACACAGAGGCATAAACAGTTCCTGTCCTCAGGGATCGGATCAGACACTTAATAGGTTAGACTGGTTGCTTTGTCCTGGACACAAGTGGGGCATCCTAGATGAATTTCATAATAAGATGAGCTAACTAACCTTGGCAGAGTGGCCACCCTGTACTGGACACTATTGTAAGCACTGAACATATTATTCCTTTTGACCCTCTCATCAGCCCGAGGAGGAAAAGGAGGTCTACACGAGGGCAAAGCTCCTTTCTGAGGCCACACAGCTACAGCATGGCACCTGGGTTCCAAATCACTGGAATTTGGGGAAAGAAAGTGCAGGTGTTAGCTGCTGAATCAGGACCGTGGGAATAAGCTTGCAAGTGATAAGTATCCTTGCTTCAAATTATGTCCCTTAGACATTCTTCCTCTCCCTCTTAATGATCAGTCACTTTGGGGAAACCAAGTCAACACTGAAGACCTCCAATCCTAGCACCCCCAGTTCTCAGGACCCTCATGCTCCATCCCTGCAGCCCCCTAAAGGCCAGCTGAAAGTTCTCTTCCCCAGAAATTATGCTTTCTAAGTCATTTATGTTACTTGATGATTTTCTAATTTGCCTTCATCGATAATATATAAAATGAGGGTAGTGACCTAAAACTGAACCCAACATGAAGCTGCTAAGAAAAGAAGAAGCCAAAAGTCCTTTGCACTCAGGGCCACACATTTTTCTCCACCTTTCCAGGTAGCATCCAAGAGGGAGCCAGGCCACTTACACAAGGCACAGTGGCTGTAGATTTTTTTAAAGACCAGTTTTTCAGAAGATGCTCATCTACTCTTGACACTACGGTAGCAAACCAATGCCTCCTCATGGTTCAACGAAATGAACATGTCCTCAAAGCACCCTTGCCTGAGACATGGCTCAGGGCATCTATTGTGCTTGGGTAACAGCAGAGGCAAAGAAAACAAGACCCAGATTCCAAAGACCTGGGTCTGGGTCCCACAGCCTTCCCTTGGTGGTGGCCTTGAGCAAGTCATTTGGCCCTTCCGAGTGTGAGTCACCTCAGGGTCAGGTGTGCTGGGAGAGATGGATGATTGGATGACAAGAAGCCAGCCTCTAGCCTCCAAGAGCCAGCATCAGGTGATACCCAAGGAATTCCTGGTTCCCCTCAAGGCCAGCATCTCTCCCACTCAAATGAGTTTGCCACTGCCCACTGCAGACACATGTGTGATTTCAACCACGGGACAGAGCTGGATGCAGCAATGGCAGGAGCCTCACTCTAGTCATCACTGCATCCTGGGGCCTCACATGCAGCATGACACAGAGAATTCAACAAACCTTTGGTAAACAAATTGCAGACGCTCCTCAGCCCTGAAGGTGAATGAGTCCACTTATATCCCCACACCCAGCAAAGACCCCTTGCAGACATCCACTTTAATATTTTCCCATGAACAGCAAAACCAAAACAATCAAAACCAATGACTGGGTTTCATGCCCTCAGTGTGCATGGCCAAGTCAAGTTCTGCAACTCAAGAAGAAGAAATGAAGAAGGAAAATAAGATACAAACTGATTAACTGATAAGGACCATATCTTCTTTATTTTCATCTCTACCCAGTGCATGAGACACAGCGAAAGGACTGAATGAAGGAATGAACAAATGAACAAATGACAGGGCATCAAGTCTTGGAGCCCACTGATGGGCAGAGTGGCCTACAAGACTTGAACCAACCTCACGTCGCCATGACCAACGTCTGCAATAATTGACAAGATCCTCTGGGCAGAGAAAGTTGTGCCCAAGAGAGAGGAAGGCCTTGAAGGGGGTGGGCAGACCAAGAAGGTGATACTGATCAGAAATAGCAAACGTCACAACAGCTACATTTATTAAGAACGATGTATGCCAAGCCCTGGGCTAACTAACTATCTCTATCTCAGTGAATATTCAAAACAACCCTACTGAGTAAGTGGTGGGCTGACTCCCATTTTACAGATCAGGAAGTTGAGGTTAGTCAAGTTAGGAGGCTTTCCCAAGGTCACAAGATTCTAACTAGGTGAGTCTCACTGTGGACCCTGCTGCTGGAGAGAGGAGGAGCAGGGAAAGGGATGGGAAGTTAGAGAATGCCCGGCACTATCAGGTCCCAGAGCCCAGAACCAGGGAGTGGGGCCTTGGTCAGGAGCAAAGGGTTGGCTGACCCTTCAGCAAACTCATGCCAAGGTGAATGTCAACTCACTGTTCCTGCATCACAGCCGATGCTGGGAATCGCAGAACAATGCCATCCTGAGACCAGAGTTCCAGGGGTGCCGGAGCTAGCCCTTGAGCCCAAAGGTGGAGACTTTTAGCCAGGATCACACTCCCCATCCTGCAGAATCTCCTGCCATTATGGGGCCACACCCTCCGAGCACCTGCCTCATGCTAGGTGGCAGGCTGACCCTACACACCCCCCCTCTCCATTCTGCCTGGAGACAGCGAGGAATGAGCCATCATCCCCACTAGCAGATCAGAAAACTGAGGCTTGGACTGCCTTGCTCACCTGCCTCTGAACACTCAGGTTCATATGAAATGTCCAGAACAGGCAAATCCATGGAGGCAGGCGGAAGATCAGTGGCTGCAGGGGATGGTAGGTATGGGTTTCTTTTAGGGGTGAGGAATATGATCTGGAATGAGACGGTGGTGATGGTTGCAAACATTGTGAATATACTGAAGACCTTTTACATTCTATGTTTTTAAATGGTCCAAATGGTGAATTCTACATTGTATGAATTTTACCTCAACAACAAAAAAATCTCTTTTTAAAAAAAAAGCACCCAGGAAGCATATGCCGGGCCTGGATGCGGCCTCTTGAAGACACACGTGTCCCTTTTTCCACCTCAATGTTCAGTCCAGACTCCACATAAGACACAGAACCCCTGGAGGGCAGGATTGAGTTTGGCCTAAACCCTGCAAACATATTAGTGGCCGTGTTGGCAGCAGGGGGCCACGGAGAAGGTGCACTGTCCTCCCCACCTCTTCGCCTGCAACTCCCCCAGTCTTTTGGGTCTAAGTTCCATCACACCTCACCTGTTTCTATTTTGATACAGGTCTCTTTGTGCCACTGGTTTTAGCCAAAGGTCTCAACCTTGATTCATGCGAGCATCACCTGGGGCAGCTTTAAACTCCCGTCTAGGGTGGGCCTGGGTATCAGGTATTTTTAAAGCCCCCAGGTGTTGTCAACAAGCAACCAGGGCTCAAGTGTCCAACTAGAGGCAGGAGTCCGAGGGCAGGGCTATGTTGAATTCACCTTTGTAGTTCCAGAACTTGCCATGGCACAACCTTGGTAAATGTTCAATAAATCAATAAGTAAAGGTTTGTTGAGTAAATTAAAATATGTATAAACTTGCAAGCTTTGATTATTTGCTGGACACAAATAAATAAACAGAAGACTGAAACAATTCCTTTTACTGCATTGGGAGAGGAAAATTCAGTACTTAAAAAAGATATGATCACTTTTTTTCTTTTTTTTTTTTTTGAGATGGAGTCTCACTCTGTCGCCCAGGCTGGAGTGCAGTGGTGCGATCTTGGCTCACCGCGACCTCCACCTCCAGGGTTCAAGCGATTCTCCTGCCTCAGACTCCCGAGTAGCTGAGATTACAGGTGTGCACCACCACAACCGGCTAAAGATCACTTTTTTAAAAGGCCAGTGATTACAGGTGTGCACCAACACAACTGGCTAAAGATCACTTTTTTAAAAGTCCAGCCATTCTAGAGGCTCTTACGGATCTCAAACTCATCTGGAGATAGGAGTCATGTTCATACCTGCATTGTGCTTTGTACAGAGGGGAATGCAAGGCAGAGTCAGCCCATTTTATGAATGAGGAAGCTGAGGCCAGTTTGGATAAGAACTTTACTCAAGCAAGGGTTATACAGTGACGAGAGATCTCATTTACTGTGAGTGGACAATGTTCCAGGGCTGGGCCAGGACCTCGCATGTGTGATTTGCACAACCCACTTTGGAGGACGGGAAAACTGAAGCTCAGAGAGGCTGAGTGACCAGCACACATCTGGAAAGAGCAAGAGCCTGGCCTGGCCTCCAGGCCCTCCTGCTTGCAGACCAGGCAAGTGGATCACAGGGTAGCAAAAGACGAGCATTCAACACCCCGAGGCCGGAATCAATGGCAACAGTGAGCTGGGCATGAACACAGCCCTTGAAGCAGGAGACATTCAAAGTGACATGGCCCGTGTTTGATGCCCACAGTCCCTCGTCACAGGCTCACACTGCGTCCAGCCAAGGGCTAGGGCAGCGGCATTCATGAGGTTTCATAAGGAGCCTGTCGCCTGCAGGGAAGGCGGGTCACGGGGACTGGCTTCACTTGCTGTGCCTGTCGCTCAGCTTTGCGACCCACCAGGCCTGGACCTCCTCTTTTGTTAGTCGGAAACTCATCACAACTTGGAGGAAACTCTGGTTTGCACCAGCAGCAGGGAATTCATTTGATGATGATGAAGCCTAGTTAAACCTTGGATTCTTGCGAATGTCCCAGAGCCTGGGTCCTTCTGATGGCAGCAGCTAAAACACACTGATGGTGGAGGTGGGGAAACTGAGCCACCGCCTTCCTTGCACCACCTGAGTCTGCTTCATCATCCCATTCATGAGATCACAGATATCAGGAGGACCAAGGAGAGGGGGCGCCAAGTGACATCTGGTGGTTTCTTCCACGCAGTCATTCCTCAAAACCTAGCAGCATTCTTGCTTCCGCTCTCCCCCTACAGCCACAGCCATCACTGAGTGAGTCCCTGCTGCAGAATGATCTTAACTTAGACCAGGGCGTGACACCTCCTCTTGCCTCCACCCCGGGTCCAGCCCACCACCACCATCTCTCCCTGCACCGTCACTCACCTGGCCCATGGCAACAGCCTCCTCACTGGGCTCCCAGCCTCCACTCTTCCCCTTCCTTCCACTCTCCAGAGTCAGTCTTTGTAAAGTGCACGTGAGGGCATGCCACACCCCCTACTCAAAACCCGCTGGCTTCTGGCTGCACTTCAGATAAAATCCAAACTCCTTCTCTAGCCTCCACGGCCCTGTGCGGTCCGGGCACTGCCTCCCTGTGGGCTCACCTCCTGCAGTCTTCCCTCGTAGCAGGCAGCAGCCACGCTGGCTCTTCACACAGCCAGAGTGCTTCTCCACACGAGGACCTTGCACATGCTGTTTCCTCTGATGAGAAAGCTCTTCCCCCAGATCTTCCTCCACCAGCTATTCCCTTTCGGTCAGCTCTCAGCTTAAATGGCATCTCAGGTCCACATAACCTAGGCAGCCCCCCAGTTACTCCTATCAAATCGTATGATTTTCTCTATCTCTGTAGCATGTTATCTTCCATTTTTCCTGTGATAGTTTTGGTTTGCTTATTTCCTATACCACCATCCCATGCCCCCTCCCGCGCACACACAGAGCAATCAATCTACAAGCTCTGTGACTGCAGGGCCCTTCTGTTCTGTCCACCACTAGATTCCCAGCACCTAGTACCTAGTGCCTGGCATATAGTAGATATTCAAAAATATCTGTAAGGTAAGTGAATTAGTAGCTACGGAGGACTCATGACATGCCAGGCACGTGCTAAATATCTGGGGCTATCACTGAGGACCCAGCAGACACTGGACAACTGTGTACGACTAACAAAGGATCAAGCATTGGTCAAGTCATTAATTACATATTTAAAAGGTGGAATAACTGCTACAAAAGAAAATGAAAAATTCAAAGTGAGTGCATGTATGTGTGTGTGTGCATGTATGTGTGTACATGTGCGTGCGTGTGCATGTACGCGTGTGCATGTATGTGTGTGCATGTGCACGTATGTGTGTGTGTGCGCATGTATGTGTGTGTGCATGTGGATGCAGGGCGGTATGGTTTCCAAATGTAAGCAACTCCTCTGACACTGCTCCATCAGGGGTGGTGTCTAATTCCCCACTGTTTCAATATGAGGCAGCCCTGGTCCCTTGATTCTAAAAAACAGAATGCAGTGGAAGTTGATGCTGGGTGACTTCTTCAACTGCAACATCAAAAGGGATACAGCTCCCATCAGCCTCTCAACCTTCAAATTCAGCCACCATGTTGTAAGGAAGCCCAGTTCACAAGGCGGCATCACATGGAGTGTTAGAGTGAACAGCTCCATCTGAGGACCCAATCTACAGCCAATATTGACCACAAGACATGGGAGAGGAAGCCTTCAAGGTGGCCCCAGCCCTGGCTGACAGACTATCGGTGCATGAAAGACCCCAAGCAGGGACCTCCAGGTGGAGCCAGTCAACTCCTGTAGCAGCAAGAGAAAGAAAATATGTTGGTGTTGTAGCTTTTGGAGTAGTTCGTTCTGCAGCCGTAAATGACCAGAACAGGGACTGGTGTGACATTTGTGGAAGTCAGGGAAGGTCTTCCTGAAGAAAGAAAGGAAATCTGAGCTGAGATCAGCATGAGTCAGGTTCTACTTCGAAGGGGAGGCTGGTGGACAGAAGGACTATACGTGCAAAGGCTCCAAGACAGGAAGGAGTGAGGCCCAGGGAAGGAAAGGAAAGGGGGGTCCCTGAAGCTGCCTCTCAGCACTGGAGGGAAGAGTTAGGCAGGGGCCACACTAGGAAGTAATCAGATAGCCTTGAATAACCTCCCTTCCTCTCCAGCTGGGCAGCCTAGAATAAGTAACTCACCCTCTCTGAACCTCTGAGCTCCGCATAAAAATTGGCAATAATACCACCTATTACAAAGAAGGGTTTGAGGATTAAATGAGATGAGGAGAGCAGAGCTTCTCTCCAACAGTACTGGAAACTAAGTATTGGCTTCTTTCTAGTGTCCTGGGTGGGTAAAAAGGAAGCATCTTAGAACTTCCACAGTCCCATTTGTCTCTTTCTCTGTTGAAACTTGGCCTTTGGCACATAGGAGAAGAACCAGGTGACCCTATTCCTGGCTCCACCACTGTTGTGTGACCTTTGAGGAGTCACTTAACCTCCTTCTGATCTTTCCAAGAACAAAATAAATGCCCCAATAAAATCTCTATCAGTGCTTTGAACTCCTTCAAGACAGGCACTATGGAAATGCAGGCTCACGCCTCTGTTCTGCCACAGCTATTTTTGGCCCCGTCAGCCTTGGAAGCAGGTCTCACAGAGGGCGTGTGTGTGCTTTGCTTGAGGGCTGGTACACATCTCCTTCCATGGCCTCCGCCATCTGAGTCACAGGCGGGGACAGGCAGGCCATGGCTGACATTTACAAAGCAAGCCAGGTCCTGGGCTCTGGTGGCTGCTGAAGGCTTTTTGTTCAGGCCACAAGCAGGCCTCTAGCTCTGCCAGGGTTCATGCCCACCCATGCCTTCCAGAAATACCTTCACCAGGGACACTCCGTTGACACTGAGGATCACATGCCTGGCAAGGGCTGCCCAGGAAGAGACACAGATGGGACTCTCTGAAAACCTTTTCTTTCCTGTTGAAGATGCAGGGGAGTCTACACCTCCTTCGAGAGCCCATCTCATCCTCAGAGTGTCTAATCTGATGCTCCTATCTCAGCAGAGATATGCTGGAACCCTGCAGAAGCAACTCCCAATCTGAAGGTTAGTGACGTACTCTCATTTCTACTGCTTGCATTAGAATTATTTATGAGCTGCCATTTATTGCGTGTTAACTGGGTTCCAGGCTCTGTGCTGTGTTAGTTGTAGGGCATCGAATCCTTCCAACCACCCATGTGCAGCAGGTAGGGTTGTTAACTCCATTCTACACATTTGGAAATTGGGGCTCCAAGCAGTTAAGGATTCCTTGCCCAAATCACTTAGCTAATGAACAAGGGTTGGACCTCAGGTCTAGAGGGCAGGAAGCCAGGCTCTGAGCCACTGCGCTACATAATACCACCTTTTGAGCACAAAGTTTCTGCCCAGGATGGCCTGGATAATTTCTAATCTTCATGACAATTCCTCTGCAGGTAGGAATCCTATGAGAAAACTGAGGCTCTGAGAGGTTGTGACATGGCCAGAGTCTGAGCTAGGAGTGAAAGGGCTGGGGCTGGCCCCAAAGCCCCTTGCTGAGATTGTCATTCTGTAGGGCACAGGTTCTCAAAGTGTGCTCCTACGACCAACAGCGTCAGCATCACCTGAGAAGGGAATTGAAAAGGAGGTCCTCGGGCCCCACCCCAGACCTACCGAGTCAGGAATTCTGGGGATGAGCTCCAGTGATCTGTGACTAAACAAGCTCTCCAGGCGCTTCCGATACAAGCTCAAGTTGGAGAACCCCTGGTCAAGTGCCCAGACTCAAAGTGAGGGTTGTGGGCAGAGCCTGAAAAACCCAAGGGCAGAAAGTGGAGATGCTGCTTGAGAACCTTCCGCTTCACCAGATCCCTTTCCTGCTCTTTCTCCAGTGGCAGGCAGGGCGCAGGGTAGGGCTGCTGGGAGCAGGGCACAGATCTGGGCCTGCCACAGAGGAATAGGAGGCCAAGCTGCCCTCTCCAGCAATGAAGTGGGGGAGGGAAGTCAGGACTCTCAAAAGATTCATGGTGGCTGGGCACGGTGGCTCACACCTGTAATCCCAGCACTTTGGGAGGCTGAGGTGGGCAGATCACCTGAGGTCAGGAGTTTGAGACCAGCCTGACCAACATGGTGAAATCCTCTCTAATAAAAATACAAAACTTAGCCACGTGTGGCGGCTCATGCCTGTAATCCCAGCTACTCGGGAAGCTGAGGCAGAAGAATCACTTGAACTCAGGAGGCAGAGATTGCAGTGAGCCGAGATCACAGCACCGCACTTCAGCCTGGGCGACAAAGAGAGACTCCGTCTCAAAAAAAAAGAAAAAAAATTCATAGTAAATTAGAACAAAACAAACACCCCCAAAATAAAGATAACAAAAAACAATTTGAAAAACCACTCTTGCCTTTGCCAGAAGAAGGGTGGCCCAGCAGTGGGGTGACCCGCTGTTCCAGTTTGTCCAGGACTGAGGGGTTTCCTGGGGCACAGGACCTTCGGGGCTAAAACCTAGAGAGGCCCGGGCCAGCCAGGACAAGCGGGTCACCCTGAGGGGCAGGGCAGCAGCAGGTGCTGTCTGGATGAAGAGCAATGCCTGCCTGGCCATGTGAAGGACGCCCTGCAAACGTTCCTGGTCATTACTTCTAGGGGGCACTTCACAGGCCTGCACGAATAGGTGTTTCTCTCTCCCCTCTTTCTCCCTTTATGCCAGACACACACACCAAAGCTCAACACACCTGTGGATCAATGTCACTTCAGCAGGGAGCCTCCTGCCTGATCCTTGGGCTGCTAATTCTGGCTGTCTGCTTTGGCCACTCCCTCTCCTTCGTGGCCTGTGCAGCCTCCCTCTGCTCCCACCTGTCCCATTCTACCTGGGAATTCTCCCACGTCTTCCCAAATCCGTCCTCCCTGCCCCTTTTGTAATTACGTATCCCCTTCCCAATAGCACCTCTTTATCCCCCAAGTCTGGCTTGCACTCACAGGCTGCTCTTCATCAGAACGCTTTCCACAGGACGATTACAGCAATGGATACCTGTCTAGTTTTCAAAAGTACTTCTCACTTTCAGGAACCCTCAACTCAACCCCATGGGGTGGGTGTGGCCCATGACCTATTTTATAGAGGAAGAAATTGAGGCTTAGGTTAACCGGCTCTCTTAAAATCACGAAGAGGAAAGAGCAGGGCTAGCACGCCAACATAGGCTAAAGAAAGGCTCATGGAATCGGCCTCTTATGCCAAGTCCTTGGCCTTTCATGACCTGGGCCCTGCTGATGTGGATAAGTCCCTGTGTGACTCTGTATCCCTCAGGATGCCCAACGCAGGGTTGGACCTAGAACAGGTGCCTGGCAAATGCTCGCCAGGTGAATGAGAGGCCCTTGTGAGTGGCAAGAATGCAAAGGACATCAGATGAGCAAATGGGACAAGGACTGGCACATGCCTTGAGCCAGTGAATCCAGAGAGATGGCAGGAAGGGACACTCCAGTGAACACCTTCTGCAAATGACAGTCCACTGGACTGTGAACTCCATGAGGGCAGGAGCTGTCTGCTGCTCACTGCTGGTTCCCGGGCCCTGGCACCATGCCCCACATTTGGAGCTCAGTGTGCACCTGTTGAGTGAGAGCTGAGGCTCCACAGCATTGAAGCCCTGTGCCCTCTGGGAGACATGAATTCCTTCAGGGTTATATAGCAGGCACTTGTTTTTTTTGTTTGTTTTGTTGTTTTTTGCTGTTGTTGTTGTTTTTGAGGCAGAGTTACGCTCTTATTGCCCAGGCTGGAGTGCAATGGTGCAATCTTGGCTCACTGCAACCTCCGCCTCCGTATTTTATGATTGGCAGAAGTTGTGGATGTGGCCGTAGCTCTGACATTTATTGGGCACTACTTGTGTGCAGGGTTCTGGGCTGAGCTCAAGGAGGACCAAGAGAATGAATAAATCACATTCTCCACCACTGGTCTAATCCACCTTCCATGCCGGAGGCACTCCATGGCTATGATAGACATTCCCTGCCCTCCTGGCCTGGTAGCCATGTTCTTATTTTTGGGTTTTAGCCCTTCTATTCGGATTTTCCTTTGGGAAACCACCTCTCCCTGAGCCTCTATCCACACATCCCAACTCCAGGGGTGGTCACATGGCCCGGGCCTGACCAACCAGCATACTCTATCCCATAAGCCACCATGATTGGTCCACAGGTGGGCACATGACCCAAGCTAGTCCAGCAAAAGTCAGCCTCAGGACTTCCCTCGGACTACTGGGAAACAGAAGGTCTCTTCCTAGGGATATTACTGCCTGTAAGAATGATGGAATGCTGGAGCCTGGAGCTACAGGAACTGAGCCAGCCTGAGAGAAAAGGCAACCCAGGAGAAATCAGGAGAGAGCGACAGAGCCAGAGACAGAAATCCAATACCGTCATCATTTGAGACCATGGATTCAGCAGATCTGCTGCCTGGATATCCTGATACGTGAGCCCACAAGCTAACATCTTTCTCCCTAGTTTTTGTATTGCTTAAACCACTTCAAGATGTGTTTTTGCTACTTGAAACAGAAAAAGTCCTGCCATACAGAGCTCTCCTCTCTTACTCTCCTCTCCCAAGAAGCACCTTCAGTCCCAAAACTCAACATGAGTTCTCTCTGTACTCAACCAAGCACTCTCCTCTAGCCTCCTCCCATCTCCGTAGCCCCCAGCCTGGTTTCAGGCCCTCTTGGATGGTCTGGGGTCTGAATGATCTCAAGAGACCCCCACCTGACTCCAGTCTGCCAGCTCAACCCCAATCCACTCCAATCCAACCCACACTGTCAAAACAGTTGATCTTTCTGAAACAGACAATATAGGCTCATGTCACTTCCCCACTTAACACCTTCGTAGGCTCATCACTGCCCAGAGCAGTTTCCTAAAGCACTGGGTCCATGTCCCTGCAGTTATGAGAGCTGATTTTAGATGGTATATGGACCCAGCACTCAAACACATTGAAACCTGTAATAAGAAACTTAAGCTCCTTTTGATTCACTTACAAACTTTCCAATTACTTTATAGAGAAGGTCTCAGCACTGTGCCACTATGGCTTTCACATCTCTCTACCGCTTACTTCTCTCCCTTTTTAACAAATAGAGAGAAAGTCTCAAGCTCAGAATCTTCCAGAGAAAGCTGGAATTTTAAAAGCTTGGTTTGCTTCCACTGCATTTATTATTATGGTCACCTTCCATTTATGCAAGTGGAACTAGTTTCTCATTTAGAGTAGTTTTGTAAAGTTAAGGAGATTAATTTGTATACACACAAAATGAGTTTATTTAAAGAAAAAAATAAGGCAAATAAGAGATGGTACTTGGATATGCGTGAATGTAGATCATTGTTTGGTAAACAATGACCCATAGGATGAAATGCGATCTGCTCAGCCAGGCACACGAGGCCCTTCTAGGTCCTCCTCCTTGGCCACCCTTTCAAGCCACTGAAGGGCTTGTGACTCTCAAGAGGAGTCTCACAGAGCCATACCTCCAAGCCTTTGTCCATGCGCTTCCTTCTGCCTGGATGCCCTTTTCCCCCAACCTGATTAGCAACCTGGAACAATCCCATTCATTCTTTTTTTTTGAGACGGAGTCTCACTCTGTGGCCCAGGCTGGAGTGCAGTGGCGCAATCTTGGTTCACTGCAACCTCCGCCTCCCGGGTTCAAGCAATTCTCCTGCCTCAGCCTCCGGAGCAGCTGGGATTACAGGCGCCTGCCACCAACGCCTGGCTAATTTTTATATTTTTAGTAGAGACGGGGTTTCACCATGTTGGCCAGGCTGGTCTCGAACTCCTGACCTCATGATCCACCCACCTCAGCCTCCCAAAGTGCTGGGATTACAGGCATGAGCCACTGTGCCCGACCAATCCCATTTATTCTTAAAGACCCCTGTTACTATTTACTGGGGCTACTGTTTTGCTTAACTATTCAGGTATTTCCAGTGTACCTGGCAAACCATTTCTGTGTTCTCTCAGGCCACTCTTTGTGGGTTGCTGACAGGATGGCCTTCCCTGGGAGGGCTGAGATTCCAGAGGGCCAGGACGGTCCTTCTCCTCTGTCTGACACAGATGCTCAGTGAGCACAAGAAGACCTGAAGGGATGCTAGCTGGGGGATGTGGATCATTAAATACAAACCGCTGGGAGACTACGTGCCGTGGGGCCCAAAATGTGGGAGAGTGAGGAATTCTAAAGGAAGGGAGAGGAGTGATCTCCAAGAGTAGGTGCAGGCCCAGGGATTCTTTCAGGAGAGAGGAGGCCAGTGAGCATCCCGGGATAGAAGGATTTGGCAGAGGCCTGGAGCAGAGGGCCTGGCAGGCCTAGGTTCTCAACTGTAACTTGCATTTGAATCACCTCAGAACCTGTAATTGTGACGATTCCCAAGTCTCACCCCAAAAACTCTGGCTCAGTGGGTTTGAAGTGGGCCCAAGAAGACGCATTTTAAAACAAATGCTTTGGGTTATGCTGAAGCAGGTCATTTGAGGGCCAGGCTTTGAGAAGGAATGGGCCACAGGGTGTCAGGGAAGGATGGAGATATATAGAGGCCTCACAGTCAAAATGCAGAAATTCACACAAATTGCAAAGATCCTCCAGAACATTGCATCACTGACTGGGGACCAAGAGGCTGGAAACGCAGCCTACCAGAGAACAAGCTTTGTGCCAAGGTTATTGAAAATACATCCCAAATAATTCCATGGAGATGTGTTTAATGAGGTAGATACCGACATGATCACGGGCATCCTATAGGTGGGAACTTGAATGAACCACGTGAAATACAGAACCTCCTTTGGAGAGACCTTATCAAGTAGCAATTGTAAACAGGGAACTTTACCATGTAGAGGTCAGGGCTGAGGCCATTTCTGGCTAAAGAAACGCTCCTTTGTTTGAACGACGGCGCAATCAAATTGTTCAGAGATGAAATCGTCCAAGGCAAACAAGTCACAGAGAGGTTTTAGCAGAATTTGGTGCACATAGCTGAATGGCATCTTGAAACTCTGCTCCCAGAGCACTGACTTTGGTTCTACCCTAACTGCCTCCTTAAATGTAAATTATAATAGAGAAATAGAACTGTGTGTTGGGGGAGGGGGGCTATTTAAGACCAGTCCCCAGCAGCTGCCCCCTTTAAAGATCTGGCCTTCGGAACTATCCAGGCCAAGTCACTCATCAAATGGAGATTGACTTTTATCTGATTAACTGATGGAGAAACATCCTTCTCCATCTTGCAGGAGCACGCTGTGGGAAAGGCGTTTTGCAGACTGCAGGGGAAAGTTGGGCCTTGGCTTCCCTCCTGCTTGGCCAGTGGAAAATTACCAAGGAGGCAGGGCTGCCCTCGGCCACACTCAGTGGATCTTCGTGGGCCTAGGAAAACACAAAGAGAAACCCGAAAATGGAGTGAGCCATTACTTACCTGGGGCGGAGAGGAGTCTGGGAGGTGGCGGGGGTGGGGGCGGCGGGGGCAGCGGGGGAGGGGGCCGGCACTGGCAGACGTGTCGGCAGCTGTCAGTCACTTTGGAGCAGGACTTCTGGGGCTCACCATGCGTCACCTGTACACATGGGCACACGTACCCAAGAGAGAGAGAAGACCATAAGGCAACTAGAAGCTGAAACAAGCCCAGGCCACCCCGTCCCCTGCCAGGCTGGGACTTGGGATTCCTTTCCAAGACCAAGGCAGGAAGAATCAACAGAAGTCGGATTGGTTCAAAGGGGACAATGTTGTTGGCGGTTGGCCTGGCTGGTTGGAGACCAAGGTTTTCTTCCTAGCTTTGCCAGGGACCCTGGGCAAGTGACCTGGATATGAATGAGAAGTAGACAAGAACTTGAAGGTTAACTGGTAGAATTTCCCCATTGTACAAACGAGTAAACTGAGGCCCAGGCAGAAGTAGCTGCCCAAGGGTCTCACATTTGGAGAGTGAGACCCTTTGCTTCCTTTGTAATCTAAGCCCAACCGCTTCTCCTGTCTTCCTTGCTACAGCCCAAGGCCAAGCCCTGGCCTTCTCTCCAGCCCTCGCTCCTGATGGCCTTGTCATGTCTACTCTGGGGCAAGGCCCCCCTCTCTTGGGTAGAAACCTCACCCAGAGAGGCCTCTACTCCTGTGTCCCACGTGACCAAAGGGAGCAGAGCAACCTGCTTGATGCTCTCCACTCAGCATCCAGGTGGTCTTGTGGGAAGGGCACCCCTCCAAACCACCTCCATCCCCCCAGAAAGACCCAGATGCCACCCCACCCCTCGTGGGATCATGTGGCCTACAAGGTCTGCAAGGGGCGATCCCTGACAACCTCTCCGGCCCCACCTCGTCCCATGCTCTCTCCCCATCTCTCTGCCCTCATTCTCTCCTTTCAGTTCCAGGCCCCCGGCCTCTGCAATTGCTGCTCCAGTGGTGGAAATGTTCTCCCATCCCTACCCTGCTACGCCCCTGACTCAGCTTGGCGATGACCTCACAGATGTGTCTCTGACCTCTTTATCCAGCCAGATCCTTTTGTATGGGCTCTCCTGGCACCAGGTTCCCCTCTAGGGGCAGAAAGCTACATTTGGATGTTACCTGGTTCATACCTATCTTCACCATGGCACTGTGAGCTCGCTGAGGGCAGAGCAGGCCTTGTTCCTTCTCTCTCACTATCATAAATCACCACTTAAGGGAATGCCCACCATTTGATAAATTTTTGGTGAATGAATGAATGAATATGAAAAACTGGGCCACAATCCACGCCTCTTGAACCTTGGCCTGGTGTTTTTCCAGCACCAATCTCAGCTTCCTCATGTGTCAACGAGAAGGGTAGCCCGAGTGAGCTGGGCTCCACCAGCAGTTCCCAGCCCTGGCTGTACCTTGGAATCTCCCTGGTGGTTTTAAAAAATACCCATGCCTGAGCCACACCGATTAAATCAAAATTTTGCAGGTGGAGCTGGGCCTGGGGATTTTGCTTATGCTTTCCAGGTTAAACTTCTTATGCAGAGCCAGCATGGGAACTGGGTAGATGGATTAGACTGACTGCCAGTGTCCCTCACTATACAGAGTGCCATAAATCCAAGAGTCTGGTGTTTCATGCCTGTCCCGGGGAACAAGCTGGTTTAAAAGCACAAAGAGTTGCCAGTCACCCTCCACCTCCTCGACAGCCACGGTTGATTTCTCTGTCATCTCTGAGCCACTGGAAACCAGAACTCCACTTTCCCTGCAACTAGCCATGTGTTGCCTGCCTTTGAATGCTGATCCAGCCCCTCTGTCACGTGGCAGGGAGAGCCCCCCGGGGCTGGGAGGCTCCCATCGCACCTGGAAGATGTGGAGAAGTAATGTGGGTAATGTCCGCTGGGGTGGCAGCGGGAAGTGAGCTGATTTACAGCCCCGGCTTAATATCTACCAGGCTAAGAGGCTCCTGCTCATCACCTTTTAATGTTTTTAAAAGGCCATTGACTGCGTTTCAAACCCTGGAAGGCAATCTTCTCTCCCACTGGGAAGAGCATGCCGTCTGATGGTGGCCTCTGCTCAATTATTTTACAGAAATGATTAACTCCTTACATGTCAGTGGGAAATCCACCGGCTTCTAGACCGGTGCCATTGTTAGACATCCCATCGTTGGGCCTGTGCCCCTCTAGATTCTGACCTTCTGAGACCCTGGGGTTTGCTAGAAAGCTTCATTCTCCTAATAGCTGGCCTCTGAGACCACTTCTCCAATGCACTCTACCAAGTGTGTGAACTTCAAGCAATACCATTGCCAGTGTAATTATTTTCTCAATCTCCAAGGTGCAATCTATGAGAGAGAGTTCAAGAGAAGCACGTTTGTTTAACCTGGCCCGACACAATGACCTATTTTTGTGAGAGGATATGAAGGCACAGATGTATAAGGGTGTTTAATGTGATGAAGCTCTAGGCAGAAAAATCAGGGCCAAATTTCAAGGCTGCAGGAGGAAGAAGTGAAGGAGCACACTGCATTTAAAAAACTGATAGTTCTCGCCTGTAATCCCAGCACTTTGGGAGGCCAAGGCGGGCGGATCACCTGAGGTCAGGAGTTCGAGACCAGCCTGGCCAACGTGATGAAACCCTGTCTCTACAAAAAAAAAATACAAAAATTAGCCAGGGTGGTGCACGCCTGTAGTCCCATCTACTCAGGATGCTGAGGCAGAGAATGACTTGAACCTGGAGGTCAAGGCTGCAGAGAGCCAAGATCATGCCACTGCACTCCAGCCTAGGCGACAGAGCAAAACTCCAGTCTCAAAAAAGAATAAGGCCGGGCGCAGTGGCTCACGCCTGTAATCCCAGCACTTTGGGAGGCCAAGGCAGGCGGATCACGAGGTCAGGAGATCGAGACCATCCTGGCTAACAGAGTGAAACCCTGTCTTTACTAAAAATACAGAAAAATTAGCCGGGCGTGGCGGTGGGCACCTGTAGTCCCAGCTACTCGGGAGGCTGAGGCAGGAGAATGGCGTGAACACGGGAGGCGGAGCTTGCAGTGAGCTGAGATCATGCTACCGCACTCCAGCCTGGGCGACAGAGCAAGACTCCGTCTCAAAAATAAATAAATAAATAAATAAATACATACATACATACATAAATACATAAATAAAATTGATAGCTTTGGCCAGGTGCGGAGGCTGACGCCGGTAATCCCAACACTTTGGGAGACTGAGGCGGGCGGATCATTTGAGCCCAGGGGTTCAACATCAGCCTGGGCAATAGAGTGAGACCTCATCTCTACAAATTTTTTTTTTTAATTAGCTGGGCATGGTGGCACATGCCTATAGACCCAGCTACTCCAGAGGCTGAGGTGGGAGGATTGCTTGAGCCCAGGAGGTTGAGGCTGCAGTGAGCTATTACAGTGCACCACACTCCAGCCTGGGCAACAGAGCGAGACCCTGCTTCAAAACAAAACAAAACAAAAAAATCAATGGTTCTCAGTCTCTTACATAAGGGCCTCTCTGAAATGTGAGCAGGCACAATTGCTTAGCCAACTGTTCTCACAAAAGGATCATGTCTGGTCCGTCCTTATGCCTGACGGCTGAGCCCCCACTGCAGTGTCCTGATAGTTTGGTCCAGTCCAAGCCTGTGGCGTCTGAGCCTGCCTCGACTCTGGGTTACTCAGACCCCATATCCACTTGCTAGCCTCTCTCCATCCTTCAAACCTATCTCTTGAACAGCCTTCTTGGGTGTTCATGCAAGAACAGGACTGAGATTTCTCTCTCTCCTTTTTTTGAGACAGGGTTTCGCTATGTTGACCAGACTGGTCTCAAATTTCTGGCTCAAGCAGTCCTCCTTCTTGGGCAAAACCATCCTAAACCCTCCCTCACCCCAAATTAGACTCACCTGCTCAATGCTGCTGCTTTATTCTGCAAACACTTCTGTCTGGGACATTTCCATGCTATTTTGCAATGTGTGTCTGTCTACACTAAGTTGTGAGTGTCTTAGGGCGGGCAGGTAGATGAGTACTTTATTAATCCTGAACAATCATGACTTTCTGAGCCCTACTATGTGTCCATCATGGGTTCAGGCTCCCACTTCGCCCTGGGCATAACCGGGAGAGATAGGTGATATTATCCACTCTTAACAGGTGGCTTGAAGGCTCAGCGAAGCTAAATGATGTACCACAGTTGCCCAAGGCCCAGCATTCAGTTGGCACAATGCCCACCAGTGGGGAAACACAGGATCTGTCCCATTCCCCAGTGCTGGTTCCACTTGGGGGTTCTGTTGATTGGCAGTGTTGTATTTAGACCAATAGAGAGGAAGCCTCGGGTGTCTGGAGCTTGTCCCAACACCTGGCGTTTGGTTTCTATCTTGGGGAATTTCAAAAGGAGAAGGAAGTTTCCCCTGAAGTAACATGCTCTTAGCTGGACTTCGTTAAGAAAGAGCAGAGGCCCAGAAAAGTCAGTGACTTGCCTAAAGCCCACAGAACGCAGGCTGGTTTCAGTACTTCCTGGGACCACTTCTTATTCCCATTTCACAATCGTCTGCCTTCCAGGCCCTATTCTGCAGCCAGAATCCTGTAAATGCTGTAGTCCTGAGAGTGGGCTGAGGCACAGGTATGTCCTGGAGTCCCCTGGATTTGGTACCTGTAGCAGAGGTCTGAGGGACACAGTGTTCCCAGCATCAGTTCCCTCTTCTCCAACCACCATCCTACTCCTGGCCAATCAGTGTCCTACCACCATCCTACTCCTGGCCAATCAGTGTCCTACCACCGTCCTACTCCTGGCCAATCAGTGCAGTTTTGGGTCCAGCAGACGTTGCCTCCTAAATCATTCTTGAATCCATCTATTCCTCTGTTTCCTTTGCCGCCACCTGAACCAGGCCACCATCAGGTCTCCAGTGGGCAGTACCTGCCTCTCATCTAGGATTGCCAGATAAAATATAAGACACCCTATTACATCTGAATTTCAGATAAACAACAAATAATTTTAAAGTATATCCCCAATATTATATGGGAAAGATGCTAGAAAAACAATTTGTAGTTCATTTGAAATTCAAAGTTAACTGAATGTCCTGTATTTTATTTGCTAAAGCTGGCCACCCTCCTCTTACCTACCTCTTTGCCCCTGCCTTACCTCCTCCCTGCATCCATCCTTCATGCAGGAATTGGACTGAGATGTCTCTCTTTTTTTTTGAGACATGGTTTTGCTGTGTTGTCCAGGCTGGTGTCGAATTCCTGGGCTCAAGCAATCCTCCTGCCTTGGCTTCCCGAAGTGTTGGGATTACAGGTGTGAGCCACTGCAACCAGCCTGGACTGAGATTTCTAAAATACCAACCTGAGATTGTGTCATCTGTTACTTAAAATCCTTTACTTAAAATGACATCCATAGCCCTCAGGATCAAGTCCAAACTGCAGGACACTATGTTAGTGGCTTACAACAGTGGCCTTACCTGGTGCTTCTTTCCCCTGGGTCTTCCAAAGTCCCTCTCTCCTCTGGCCTTGGGCTGTTCTGTCTGCCTGGACACCTCACCCTCATTTGCATCCTAACTTCTCATCCTTCATGTCTCAGCTGAAGCACCACACCATTGAGGCTTCTATGACTCTTGCCCCGGGTCCAAGCTGTTTGCTCTTGCTGAGCTCTCTTGATGATAATTACTTGTTTAATTAGCTCTACATTGCCAAACTATCAGTGCCACGAGGGAAGAGGCCACTAAGCCCCTTGCACTTAACAAAGGGCCTGGCATACAGTAGGCGCCCAATAAATGCTGCCGAATGAATCATCAAAGCTGCAGAGACTGACCATGGAAGGGGTTCAACATCACTTGGGTCTGGGGTGGCTCCTCATCAGCACACAGAGACCCATAAGGCCAGATAAGAGGCTGTCTCTCTAACTAGTACTTTAGGAGGGCAGCCACAAAGATGATGGCTTCTGGCATCTTTCATGGAGACAGGCCAGCACCACGGTAACTTGATGAGACATACTCCTGTCACACCTAATAAATTTGCCAGCCTGTCATCCTCTTCTCTTTCAAAAAAAAAAAAAAAAAAAGAATCATCTGGAAGTGAACTTAGAAGAACCCTAAATCACAAAAGCTCAAAATCTCAATTCCAGACACATTAAAGAACAGGGTGAAAGGCTAAGGAATGCTCCCACCAACTTTCTGGCAATTTAAATATCGTCTAACTTTAATGATTAAGTTTCTTATCAACTAGCAGCAGTCAGAGGCTTAAGGCTGATTGCAAGGTAAGAACCTGGTGCTTTGGGGGACCCCAGGTCTTTTGCCTCATCGACGATCCCATTAATCATAGGACTTTGTTATGTTGGCCTTGTCCTTCCAAATGTTCTTCTGGCAAAATGCTCATGGAAGGGCAGATAGCTCTGAGTTTGCTCTCCAGATTAGAGAAACTCCTATGACATGACAGATTTTATTTTCCCCACTTAAAGAGAAACACATGGCTTCGTGCATTTCCATTTTTCCTCTTCTCTCCTACGTTCCCTTGGATTTAGCTCTTTTGCTTAAAGCCAGATCCATTCATTCCAAAACCCCTTTCCCTTGATTTCCCTGTCCCTATCATTTGTAAATTAATTTTTCCAGAGCCTCAAGCCAAGATTTTACCCATTCTACTTGTCTGGAGGGTTCCTTTTTAAATTGATTTTTATGAAAATTGATTTGTATTGAGTGAGAGCATCTGAAATACACCCGCACACACACACACCCCTGCACACACACAGACACCCCTGCATACACACACACACACACCCCTGCTTGTGTAAGTACTGCCTGGCTGAAGGACACTTAAAAAACTGAACTGCTTTCACAAAATTATTTCTTCTGGGAGGAGTGCATGGTGCTTGGGGGTCTTCTGTTTAGATCCTACTAGCTTACACAGCAGAATTCTAGTCCTGGAGACTGACAACCTCACTACGTTGCTTCCCACCCCAGGTGAAGGTGTCTTATGGAAGAGAGAAAAGTGTAAACAAATGAATCTAAAAACGAAGTGAACTCAATATCTGAGGTTCAGCTAAAAGTTGAACAAGCGAAGCTGGTCCCAAGCCACTAAAGTGTTTAGAAGTGACAAAATCATGTTTCCTGAGGAGGCACAGCTGAGTTTAATAACTGCTGTTTCACACATTAGACAAAGCTGTCAATTCCAAAAGGAAAACAATTGTGAGACGGAGGCAAGCCAGAGAAGAGAGCAGAAGATGGGGCCTGGGAGTAGGGGGTGCTGAGCAGCGTCTGAACCTGGCTATCGATGGGCAGTCACCCAGGCCATCATCCAGGCAGGACTGACTGAGCAAGCTCTCGGCAGGGCCCCATCATTTGGGGCAGCTCATGGACCTCGGTAGACTGGCAAGTGGTCTTGCCCGCATCCCTTTTTTTCCTGGTCTGTCACCCCTACTAGTACAGAGCAACCATGTGAATTGTCCCCAAACCCCAAAATGCCATCAGGAGCACATGAGGCTACAAATACCCCAGAGTGGATCCTCAATGCCCAAAACAATGAAAATGTCCTCCAGAGCCTGCAGAAAAAATGTCAAACAGACCACGCAGTGATAAACAGAGTACCTGGTCAGCCAGGCAGAAGAACGGCATTGCTATTACTCCTATCAACAATGGCAGCAACCACTACTGGTTAATTTCATCATGGACCTGGCACTGCACTAAGTAATCCTTACATGCATTTATCTCATCAAGTACTTACAATAGTACAGTCAGGAAGAAGAAACTAACTCTCAGAGAGGGTAAGTGGGTTGCCTAAAGCCTCCCAGCTGGTGAGGGACAGAGCTGAAGCTCAAATTCCAGAGCTGACATCGAAGTCCACCTTGTCACCTCTCCACTGTACCAGTGACGATGCGCATTCTGGGGGGGACTAGGGACCACCCCATTGAAACCCCTCTCTGACCCTAAGAGGTAACTCCAGTTAGTGGCTGCCTGGCCTCTGCCCTGGGATTTAAGGGACCCAGGGTGAGAGATTCAACCCTGGGCAGTCCTGACAGATGGGCCACCATGCATTATCTGTCTACATCCTCAACTCTGATACCTATAAGAAACACGGCTGCCTTCCGTGTTGAAAACCAGTTTAAGAAAGCTAATTTGAAGTTCATCAGTGGTTCTGGTGAGAAAGAAATAATATATATCCTTGGGATCATTTTTCTTTGTAAGTTTGTTTCTTTGCTGAATTTCTGCCCTAGAATGTTATCATTGGAAGGTATTCTCTGAGCCCCTTTCCATTCCAAGGCCAGCCCGGTCCTGCAGGATTTAGGCCACAATCGAAGCCTCTCTTTGGAGTTTCTTATCTTTTCAGGGGTAGGGTATAGGGGACCGTAGCAGCTTTTCTTTTCCCAAGCTCTTCCGAGAACCAATCAGTGGGGTGGCTGCAAGAGGCCAGGGTCTCAGGAGGGAAGGGACAGCTCGCCCCTTACCCAGGAGGCCCTCCCAGCCAGTGCGCAGCCGGCGCGTCTCACCTGCACGAAGCCCCAGAGCGGGTGGAGCGCGCAGTGCAGCAGCAGCGAGGACCAGCAGCAGCCACGGCGCAGCACCAAGTCCCGGAGGAGCATCTCGGCCAGCGGCGCCCGCTCCTGGGGCGAACTGTCAGGAGAGCAAGGCTAGGGTCAGGCGGACACCGCGCAGGCACTTCCGCCGCCGCGCACCAATATACCTCCCAGCCCGGGTCGGACGGGCACGCCCCGCACCCAGGGGCACCCTAGTAAACCAAGCCTGCACTTACACTCCAGCTTACACCTTCACTGACTCTTCGTCAGTCCCAGAATTCACACTCTTCTTACGCACATCCCCAGAGCCCCGCGTGTACACTTTAGCTCCGCGCACAGCTCCAGAATACTGCGTGCATACCTTGGCCCCATGGACACCTCCAGAAACAGCCAAGCACACTTACTGCGCCCCATTAACCCCCATACAACTCACTCTCACTGTGAGCACACTTCAAACCCGGCGGGCACTACTCACCTGCGCGCACAACCACAGAAACAGCCGTGCACACACACTGATCCCCGTGCACACCCACCGACTCCTGCCTGCACCCTCGCTGACCCTGCATGCACGGCCCCAAGAAATCTCACGCTGCCTGCACCCACACTGCCCAGCCGGCCTCATTGCGCACACTGCAACATAGGCACCTCCGTGCGCTGCCCCTTTGCACGCCTCCGCCCAGCCCCGATCTCCCGCTCCCGGGCGTGGGTTCCCCCACGCCTCCATCTCCGCCCGCACCCTTCCAACGCCTCACGCTACCTTGCCTGGCGGCGGCCCCAGCCGACCCTGGGCTCGGGGAAAAGAGGTCCGCGTTCCCCCCGCGGCAGCTCTGTTTCCCAGCAGCCGGACAGCCCCCATTTAAAGCCAGCCGCCTCCCCAGTCCCCCGCCCTCTAGGCGGGGCCTCCGTCCTCACCTTGGCGGCTGCGCGGGCGCCCGGGGGCTTCACATGCCGGGGAGGAGCGCCCGGCGCTGGAGCAAAAGTTTGCGCGCCGGTTGGGCCTCCCGGGCCGCTGAGCAGAGGACCAGGAGCGGCGTCCTCGCACGGGGCGCAGGGCGCGGTGGCTCCGGACTGCGCCTAGCCGCGCGCGGGGCGGGAGGGGCGGCACCCCGCTCCCAGGGCCAGGGCTGGCCGCCGAGGCGGAGGCAGAGGGCGGGGAAAGTCTCCTCCACGCCGCCTGGAGCCGGCCGCGCGAGCCCTCCCCGGGCCCGCGTTGGCTCCCCGCCTTTCCTGGTGGCGCCGCGCGGCTGCCCGGGGCACTGGGGTGCCCGAGCTCTCTACTACCCTCACGCTGGCCCGCGAGAGGCAGCGGCGGGAGGCGCCGGCAGGGAGCTCCCGCTGGGGCAGCAAAGCCGTGGGTGGAGGCGAAATAAATAATCCACGAAAAAGGAAAACAGACGTGAGCCGAGCCAGAGCCTCTCCCGCCTCCCGCCCGGGGTTGCGCTCCCCCCGCCGCCGCCGCCAGCGCCGCTGCAGTGATTCCTCGTCTCCATCTAGCGAGGCTATTGTGTATTGGGCGCTTAATTATTTATTCACCCTGGAGGCCGAGGATTCCCACTTCCATGGGGTTTTGGCCCTTGCCTGCGCTTCCCCCAAGCCTCTCCCGAGGCTGCGGAAAGGTGGCGAGGACTGACTTGAGACCCTTTTTTGCGCTCCATCCTTGAGGACTCTCCCCGCCGCACTCCCCGCAGGCTCTCCCGGGCGCCGGGGCTGAAAGGTGCAGGCCGCCCCTCTCCCGGCCATGGGCCTTGTCCTCTCCTTTGTAGTCCCAGCAGCAGAAACTCTCTTGCAACACTAGGCTGCGGCTGGGAAGGAGTTGTGACGGCCCTGGGGAGAACATTTCTACCACTGCTCTTCCTCAACCATCTGCAAACTCCTCTGTTTGAGGCAAGATTATCAACAAGTCGGTTCTTCGGGAGGTAGCCTGGTTGCATCTCTTTCAGACAAGCTGTGCCTAGCAGCATCACAGGCATGGCGCGGCCTCTCTGCTCTTGTGGTGGAAGCACTTTGCAAGCGCTTTGACTGATGGGGGCGCCTTCCAGAAGGCCCTCAAGGCCTGGACAATCCTATTTTTAGGTTGGATGAGAGAACCAGGGGCTTAAGACACAGAGCTGAGGGTCAGATACTACAGTGCATGCATGGAAGAAACATTTACTGAGCACCTTTTCCCGGTATTTGGACACCCTTAAGCCACTCATGTAAACACACACTATAAACGCTGGTTTGCAGAGTATAAACTACCTTGCAAGCCAGCTTTCAGAACAACGTCTTAGCGGCCTCCTTCATGCCAGAGCGCCGCCCCGAGGCTGCAGATTGCACCTCAACCAGCAAGATGCAGGGACAAATGTGAATGAGACCTTGTTCCTTCCCCCCTAAGAATTCAGGGGCCTGTCAGGGAGATGGATAAAACCAACCATTCCACTGTGCACTGGCATGTCACACACAGCTGCCCCGAGAAAGGGGAAGACAGGAATGGAGGGCGGGTTGAGTAAAGGCTCCCAGGAGAGGGTGACTTCCTGGGAGTAGGGGAACATCTCAAGCATTGGTAACTCTTTGTGCAAAGAAATGGAGACATTTATTCAATCCTTCATTCCTTCATTCCATATGTAGCCTCCATGGGCACCTGCTGGGGGCCAGACAGAACTCTGGATGCTGGGTAGAAAAGGGAACAAGAGGATATCTCACTGGGGGTGGGATAGGATGGAGGGAGGATGGCAAGAAGATGAAGGGGTAGGGACTTCCTAGGTGACTCATCTACAGTTTGGAGAAATGGAGCAGCTATTGGTCAGCTGAGGTCAAAATAACACTGGATATTTTAATGCCTGTCCGGCTAAAACAAGTCGTGGTATTTTGCTCAGCACAATCTTTACATTTGACAACAGCTCCTGATGTTTACACATGGAGCTCATTGCCACTTACAAATGTTATTTACACCGCATTTTAATTCAGGTCTCACAACTCTTTGATGTAAGTGTAATTGCCCTGTGTGAACAGTTCAGAGACCTTTGTGCCTGAGCCAGAATCACACAGCGGCTCACTGGGGGTTCAGAAATACTAACCCCCAACTAGAGGCTCACGACGTTGGGAGAACTTAGGTAAGTTTTGTGCATTGGAAAACCTGCATTGTCTAATCTGGTCTTCAATATTGCTGTAGTGGACCTAATCTATGCACCTCTCGAGGGTCACCTGGTGTAGATTGCCCGATTCTGTCACTGTTCAGTGTGCCACTTGTAGCCTGCACGGACCTAGGGGGACTGAACAAAGCGGGGCGAACGTGGGAATAAAAGACAAGAGATAAAAGAGTGTATTTGGAAGAAGGGGTCAGGGGGCGCCTTGCCTCTACTGGACAAGGGCCCTGAGTTTTACACAGCTCTCCATATTTATTAGGCAAAAGAGATAGTGAGAAAGGGGAGGGGGTGTGATTGTCCAGTAATTGTCAATTGGTTCACAGCAGGCTTGTGAGGCTGCATCCTTTGAACAATAGGTGCTAGATTTCCCAATAGATAACTTCGAGGAGCCCGGCACCAAGGAGTGATGTCCCTCAGCAAACCTTTTGGTGGCAGGGCCTTGTGAGTTTGCCCTCATCCTGCATTCATGATAAACAGTTTGCTGTTTGATCATATAGCCTCCAGCAGAATGATGAGTTGGTTACGTCCCATGGGCCTTCAGCTCCCTGCAACCTGGCCCCACATCCTGCTGACGCCCCTGTGACCTCCCTTAGGGTGAAGACCAGGCTCTGTCACAGGCCTCTTATGCCATGAGCGGCCTAGAGAGAACATGGCTCTTCTCACCCTTTTCAATCAGTTGGTAACCCACACCACGGCCACATGAGGTCTGCCTACAGGGGCCAGATACATCTACTCAGAAATACAGGGGAGTTAAAGCTTGGGACACATTTTGACCAGTGAAGGACAAGAGGTGGAAGGGACCCAGCATATGGAGTGCAGTGGTTCCATTTGGCCTGTCGGCAGATGTCCAGCAGGTGCAACTGAGCAACTGGCTGTTTTTACTTCTGAGGATATGACCAGCTCAATAATGTACAACCTGGTGGCACACATCTATAGTCCTAGCTACTTGGGAGACTGAGGCAGGAGGATCCCTTGAGCCCAGGAGTTCAAGAACAGCCTGGGCAACATCACAAGACCCTATCTCACAAAAATGCACAACTTTCTATTAGCTTCCCTCCTGCCCTGCTTCACTTTTTGCCTTGTGTCTGTTGCCCTAGGATTTTATCCCTCAATAAAGTATTAGCAAGCAGCATTATTGCTTAATACTCTGTCTCCTAAGGAACAGGGACAGTTGTTCCTGTTCTGGAGGACAGCAACTGTGGTAGCAACTGAATGGAGGGACAGTTGCTACCACAAATTGTCCTAAAAAGTAGACCTTTAGGATGGAATGTTGGATTTGTCTTCTATCTACAATAGGGTCTCCACTGCTGGGCCATAGCTGGCATAC